>NC_000010.11:125990384-126301864 GCF_000001405.40 Homo sapiens | reverse complement strand
TAACTACGCCTGGAAGTTAGGGAGGATGTAAGAGTATGTATAAAGGGCAATGTCTGCAATCTGGATGGGAAGAGAGTAGACCAATGTGTTTTTGTCTTCTGAGTATTTCTTAGTGGACTCGTAATGGTTGCTGCCTTTTTATTGCTTGGGATTAAATATAACCTTTGATGATCATCCTCAAAGCTTCTTACCAGCTGGTCACATCCTACAAGTCTTGACCTCCTATAAATACAACCTGCTTCTCCAAAAATCCACTGATTCAGCTATGTCAGCCACCCCACCCCTTACCCCATGTTCCTCATTTAGCCTAGAAATGTGGAGGTTCTTCTTTCCTTATTCTTCCTTTAAACAAGAACTGAAGGCCTAACTCTCAGGAAACCTCCCCATATTAAATGCACTGCCACCTAATTTCCAGTGTGTCTTCATTTGGGGACTGAATGAAACTATGCTCACCCTGACATAGATTGAATGTAATTACATTTTGGCAAGTTTTCTTCCATTCAAAGGTGGTCTTAAAAAGAACATAACACATCTGTTTGCATATATAAATAAAATAACAAGGGTGGGAGCTGTGTAAGCCAGTGTGTTGTTAGCACTTACAAGGTTATAGACCATCTGGTTAAATGCAGCTATTCAAGAAGAAAAATTTAAACCAGGGTTTCTTAGCGATGACACTGTTAACATTTGGACTGGGTTATTCTGTGCTGGGGAGAGGGAGGGTACTGTCCTGTGCATTGTACAATGTTTAGCGGCACCCCTGGACTCTACCCACTGGTTGCCAGTAGCATCTTTCACCCTGTTGAGACAACCAAAAATGTCCCTAGACATTGCCACATGTTCCCTGGGGGGCAAAATCGCCCCAAGTTGAAACCACTGATTTCAACCAACCTATTTAAGTCGTTGCTTATTTTGAATACTTGTTTTACATTAAGCAAATCAAACTGAAAAGACCTGAGGACAGAAAGCTTCAAGCTGCCTTAGAAGTTGGTCTTTCTCATCATGATATACTAGTGGAATCTCGTGGAATACTCCGGCAATGTTAATCTGTGGACATGGGAAGAGTTAACACACTCAACCTATGTAGCCTTTTACGTCAGGGTTTTAAAGGTTACATTAATTTTTCTGTGCAGGATTTTATTCTCCAGTAGGGTCAGGTTTTTGTGTTTCCTATTAATTAAAAAAAGAAAAGTGAGGTCATATGGTAATAAGCTCTGTGGTAAATAAAATTGGGCTGTTATGTTAATAGCAGAGATAATGAAACAGTACTTTCATTTAACAAAACCGTCTTTTTAAAATGTGTCTTGGCCGTAAATTATCTATACACCCATGATTGATTATTGCTGTATAGATATAATTTTTCCTGCAAGTTGTTAAACAGTAATGCAGATATATGCAGAATTATTGCCAGGGTTTAGGAGGATAACTCTTAGCTTGGAGGTACTGAATTTGGTAAGGGGAAGAAGGAAGGAGAGTGGTCTGGCTGCAGAGCCCCATGGATACTATCAAAATTGGCCTCTTCCCCCCTGTTTATCAGTGGGGGACCAGTGCCCAGGTCCTGTCAGGTGGGATGGGATCAGGCAGGTGGAGCAAAGTGGTAGCCTCCTTCCTTCTTTCCTGGGCCACATTAGAGCTTTAGCTTTGACCCTGACCCCAGTTCTTGGCCAGGGCAAGAGGACAGTAGCTGTGTATGATTTGGGTAGCATCATTAAATGGTTGAAAATTCCAGTGGGATTCTTCTAACTGCAGAACGTTGCATGCTCGCATCTTAAGAAATAGAAGGTCACACGATCCATTTATGAATTCAAGATATTTTTATTCTACAAAGGTAAAAATAATAGGAAAGAAAGTGAAAAGGAATACTTCGAAGATGGTGAAGAGACTGACGGTGATATGAGGATGTCAGAGAAAAAAAGTTGAGTGGGGCTGGGCCAGGTGGCTCACCCCTGTAATCCCAGCACTTTGGGAGGCTGAGACAGGCAGATCAACTGAGGTCAGGAGTTCAAGACCAGCCTGGCCAACATGGCGAAACCCCGTCTCTACTAAAAATACAAAAATTAGCCAGGCGTGGTGGTGGGCACCTATAATCCCAGGTACTTGGAAGGCTGAGGCAGGAGAATTGTTTGAACCCAGGAGGCAGAGTTTGCAGTGAGCCGACATTGCGCCACTGCACTCCAGCCTGGGCAACAGAGTGAGACTGTTAAAAAAAGAAAAAAAAAAGCTGAATGGTAATAGCAATAAAATATTAGACAGTAACATGGGTAAATTCAACATGAGCATTCATGTATGTGACTTTTTAGGGGTGGGGGAGTCAAGGTTGCTTAGTAGAAAATTCCTGGCAAGGAAATAGATCCAGGGTTTGGCTCTGCCATGTAGGAGCCAGGTAACCTTGGGCAAGTTGCTGAACTTCTCTGAGTTTTCCTTCTTTGCCTATAAAATGAGTGTCTTCATCTCTGTGGCCCCAGAACTCTGTATAGTGCCTTGCCCATAATAGATGCTCAACAGATTTGTTGAAAAAATGAGAGAAAAGAATAAAGTGGACGTAGCTAGAAGAAATCTGGGCTAAATCCCTAGTGACTGAAGTTCCAGGCAGGCATGCCGAGGCCTGGGGTCATGGAATCTTCTTCCAGTTAAAAAATATGTTCCTGGAAATGAAGGCATTGAAAGTGGATATGTGCTGTGTTTAAACTGTTGTAAACTTATTCACTGGGTTCTGTTTACCTCCTCTCTTTCTCATTTCTGTACCATGCCTTTAATATTCATTTAGAGGTTCCCACATGTTAACCTTACCGCTTCATTCCTTCCTACAATCTCCAAGCAGCTGTCAAAAGTAATATTCCTCTCTCCTGAAGAAAAGTCCTTAGTATTTCTTTAATGCAATCTGCGGCTGCTGAATTCTCTCAATTTTTGCTTGTCTGCAAATATCTTTATTTCACCTTTAATGTTAAGAATATTTCATTTTTTAAAGGATATTTCATTTTCAATTTTAATCATACAGAACTTTAGGTGACAATTGTTTCTTTGAACCATATAGTATATTCTTTTGTCTTCTGTGGTGTCATTTGTCAGTTATTATTGCTCTTTTTAATATACCGCATCTTTCTTTTCTTTGTCTCTGTTTTTCAGCAATGTTACTATGATTCTTCTAGGTGTGGCTTTTCTTTTTCATTTATAATACTTTGGATTCGTGATTTTTTTTATAAAAGTATGTGACTTGATATCTCTTCCCAATTTTGAAAAATTCTTATTTTCTCTTCAAATATTGCTTCTGAGGTTTTCTCTTACCTCCTTTGCTGGGTCTCTAATTACATATACCTTTCACCATGTCCCATATGTCTCTGAAGCTTTTTTCTGAACTTTCCAGCCTTTTATCTCTTTATGCTTTTGTCCTGCATATTTTCTTCAGACCGATTTTTCACTCTACGATTTCTTCCTTCAGCTGTGTTTAAAATGCCATTGAACCTATTCATTGAGTTGTATTTTCCAGTTTTTAGAATTTCCATGTGGCTCTAGTTCTCTGCTGACTTTTCTGTTTTTCAATTTCTTGAACATATGAAGTGTGGCATTTTAAATTTTAAATTCCGCTTCTGAGTTCCTTTAACTGCATCTCCTATAGGTCAGTTTCTATTGCCTGTGGTTTTTTTCTTGTATTTCAGTCTTATCTTCTCGGTGTTCACTTATGCCTGGTTATTTTTGGAGTGTCAGACATTGTATATGGGCAGCTTAAAGACAAATTGAGCCGCTAGATGATGTCATATGGTTGGTTGGTGCCTAAGCTAGGGGCACTTGTGATCAGTGACTGAACAGGTCTCAGGCTTTGTGAAGACTGATCTACTTCTCATTCGCCCTCTCTCCTTGGGTATAGCATTTTGAGATCCCAACCCAAACCCTGGAGTGGGGAGTTATCAATACTGCCTCTTCGCAGGCCCTCATTTCTGGATTTTGTCTTCCTTGCCTTGTGAGTCTGTGGGAAGTTCTGGTGAGGTTTTTTGGCCTCTCAGCTGCCTCTCCTAATAGCTGCAGATTCCTTGAGTGGGACAGTTACCTCCCCATTTTGGGATCATACCTTCTGTTTTCTTCTCCATCTGGGTCATGGTCCCATAATACTTTATTACTTTGGAAATGCTACATTGCTTTCAAATACCATTTTTGTATATTTTCCCTAGCTTTTCTAGTTGTTTTTAGTGGGAAGTTAGGTCTAAATGACTCAAACTGTCATTACCAGAAACAAAACCCCTCCATTTGTGTACCATCAGCTTAATGACTGTGGAATATCACATCGTGTGGTTCCCACGTTGTTTTGCTGTTTTTCATTCCTGAGACAGGGCCTTGCTCCCTCACCCAGGCTGGAGTGCAGTGGCACAATTCTAGCTCACTGCAGCCTTAAACTCTTGAGCTCAAGTGATCCTCCTGGCTTCAGCCTCCTGAGTAGCCGAGACTATAGACACATGCCACCAAGCCTGGCTAATATATTTTTTAAAATTTTTTGTAGAGATGGGTTTTTGCTATGTTGCCCAGGCTGGTCTCGAATTGCTGTCATCAAGTGATCCTCCTGCCTTGGCCTCCCAAAGTGCTGGGATTACAGGCGCTTATGTTTTTTCATTTTTAACCATTGCCCTGAGTTGGACATAGAAGAGGTGTTTTCTGACTTCACTGTGAATTATGCTGAATGTCTTTCTGCTTATATCTGTGCATACTTTTCTAGTTATTTCCTTTAGATGACTTCTTAGAAGTGGAATTGTTGAATCAAAGCTATGCACATTTTTAAGGAGTAGGAAAACTGTTTCCAGACTGCCTTATGGAAAGCTGTACCAATTTGCACTTTTACCAGCTGTGTGTGGAAGTGCCCATTTCTTGACATCTCACCAACACCAGCATCTCATGCTTTTAATAAGCCTAGCACAGCCCCTGGCAGCTACCAGCTTGGCTGAAGGAATCCCAGCTTTAAAAGTCCTCAACAGGTTGGAACTGTGTGTCAAAATTCACAGAATAAGTTGTTAGGTAAAATGAAAAGGCCTGCAGTTCAAACAAACAAACAAAAAACTAGCTAAGCAGATCCCCGATAGGGAAACCTGGTATAATAGCAGTTCATATTAAAAAGAGTGAGGGGTCATTTTAGATGACAAGTGAATGCACTCCTGGACTGGATTTGTAGACCTTGAAGGTACAGAAATGGAAACATGGGGTCTCAGTGAACTCTAAATTAGGTGGCTCATATCTGAAATACTCCAACCATGGTTACATTTTAAGAAGTCTGTGACATGCTTCCAGAGCAGAATATAGAAAGAGGCTGGTCTGTAACCACGTGGCAGGGAGAACAGCTGAGGGAACAGGGGTGTGTGTCCCTCACAAAAGATGTGTTTGGGGGAAGAAATGAATTTGCATGACTTTGAAAAGATTGTTCTTCTCGACTACATTTAAAAATATTTAAAAGGCTGGGCACAGTGGCTCACACCTGTAATCCTAGTGCTTTGGGAGGCTGAATGGGGAGGATCGCTTGAAGCCAGAAGTTCAAGAGCAGCCTGGACAACATAGCAAGACCCTGTCTCTACTAAAAAATTAGTCAGGCATGGTGGCATGTGCCTGTAGTGCCAGCTACTCAGGAAACTGAGGTGGGAAGATTGCTTGAGCCCAGAAATTCAAAGTGGCAGTGAGCCATGATTGTACCACTATACTCCAGGCCTGGGCAACAGAACATCTCAAAATAAAAATAAGGAACAGGCAGTTACCTACCAAATATTTTATTTTAAAAAATGTTTTGGTGCACATTTCCTGATGGTCCCCACGCACGGGGATGGACATGAGCCTGCTCTTCTCTCCAGTTACTGCCCTTCATGGACTGTTCCTGCCAGAACTTGGAATTGGTTGTAGCGTAGGGTAGATGCCTGATTGCCTGATTTACCCATGGGGTGTGTGTGTTTATGTGTGTGTGTGTTTATGTGTGTGTGTGTGTGTGTTTGTGTGTGTGTGTCTGTTGTTCGATACTTCATGACAGTGGTTCATTTTTAGCTTTGATCATCAGAGGAAGAAAGATGGGCTTGCCTTCTCTCTACTTTACATTCCATAATTTTGTTTTATTTTGTTTTTCTTTATTAACAGCAAGCAATAGGCCACCAAAAAGTCCAGGCATATTGGGGACAAAAGAGTGTGCATGGTTTTCATGGTAAAGGATAGAGTCCCCCAGAGTTATTGAGAAGACATTTATTAACTTTTCTTATTCAGGTAACTATGATTGTCAGTTTGGATGAACTTCTTATGAGTGATTCTTTTTCTCACTTCCAATAGGAGAACAGAGATGTGTGTGTGTGTGTGTGTGTGTATGTGTGTGTGTGTGTATTTTTGTGGTAAGATGTTATGGTTTGCAGCAAAATGAAAATTCAATTGTAAGAACAGTAGTGTTTTCCTGGATTGCAGGGCAACGGAAATATATTCTTAGACAAAAGGAGCAGAGGTATGACCAATACAAATGGCAGTGTGGTGTAATCCTTATTGTCAGTCACATGAAGTGCTTCTTATGTGCCATCCCTGTCCAAGTTGTGATAGAAACTATGTCATTTAGTCCTCCCAGCTGGCATAGTATGACTTACCTGTGAGGGACACTGGGCTCAGAGAGGCTAACAATGACCAAAGCATCACACAGCTAGTAAGTGATGGAGCTTAGATTTGACCCCAGATCTATGTGATTCTATTTTTTGGGGGGAGAGGGAGAGGAAGCTATAATATTAAAAAAAAATGAGTTATAGTTTCCTCTGAAGCTCTGATGGGTTTAACTGACCACTTCCTTTTATTTTCCACTGAGCCTGGATTTTCCATTTGTAAAAAATTAGCAAGGAAACCTTTCATTTAAGCTTGATGATCATGTAACAGTTTTTGGATTTCCTTATTCCATTGCAACTTTAGGTAAGACCCTACTGTATACTTAGGGAGAATACACACAGGCACACACACACATACACACACACACACACATCTACACACAATTTTGTTTATACAAAATTTCTTCTAGTTAATAATGCATCAGAAATCTTTTCTGAACTATTTTCTCTGAAATCATTACAAATAAAAGATTTGTCTGTAGGAGTTCAGGAATCTCTGTATGACATGATATCTCTAGAAAATAATGGAATTTTGGTTCTTACTGGTTGTAAATCATGTTGGTCAGTTGTAAGTTATTCACACCCACGTGCTACGTCTGTTAGCTGTCTTGACTCTTCCTCTGTTTTCCTTTTTTTCAAGTCCACATTAGTTTTATAGTCCAAGTAAGTTGATTATTTACCCAGTTTTTCATCATTTAAGTCAGGTCATTCTTAGGAATGGAGCAATCCTTTCCTCTTCCTAGCAGAACAGGGAGGAAACCTGAACAGCCGAGACTGTCGCGGGAGAAATCCTGCAGTTTCCACAGTGACCCCTTAAATGCTGTGACATTTTCACTCCTGTGGTTTAGTTTCAGTTGGGATCATCCACGAAGGCTGAAAATACGCTAAGGTTTTGGTGATCACACACTTCTGATCATTCCAGCCTCATCCTCAGCAAGGACTACATTTTCTATTTTGGTCTGAAATTCATCTGTGTTAAGGGTGAATTTAAATACTTTGTCAGCAAATCAACAGCCAAAATTCTAGTATATCCACTTATTCCATGTAATGATGACTTTGACTTTGTAGCAAAAATCAAGATTGACTCTCAGGGTGGACAGCCCGTACTTAGCACAGTGTCAGGTTCTGCCCTGTCAGCATCTGATGAAGGGATGAGCGCATTTTATGAGGCATTAATACAGTTGATCCAAAAACACATTGATTTCATACTTTCTATATACAAAGAAGCAATGCTTGAGGCACATTGATGGGTCTTCAAAGTTGCCTGAGGCCTCAAGAGGCTTGAAGCCCAGTGGGTAGACAGTGTTTGTGAGTAAACAGAAATAACTACATTTCAGGTAAAATGTGGCAGTATAGTTAGAAGAGCAGAGATTGGAGAGAAGAGCTCTACCTGGGCCTTCATGGAGAGTTTTAAAGGCCAGGGCATCTGAAGGGGCCTTGTGGAAGATGGGGAGTATTTTAGGAACTAGAAGGAAGGGCAAAAGAAGAAATGGGAGGCCGAGGTGGGTGGGTCACCTGAGGTCAGGAGTTCAAGACCAGCCTGGCCAACATGGTGCAACCCTGTCTGTACTAAAAAACAACAAAAATTGGCCAGGCGTGGTGACATGCACCTGCAATCTCAGCTACTCAGGAGGCTGAGGCAGGAGAATTGCTTGAACTTGGGAGGTGGAGGTTGCAGTGAGCCAAGGTCACACCACTGCACTCCAGTCTGGGTGAAGAGTGAGACTCCATCTCTCAAAAAACAAAATAAATAAAAATAAATGGGGTGCTCATTCACTTGTTTCATGTGTATCCCACATCATCATCCTGTTTGACTTGAGGCCAGGGATTGTGAAGTCAATACCTGTAGGGGCCAGGCCAGGGTTACAAACTAGTGAAGCTAGCCAGACATAAGATGACAGGTAAGCTTTGCCCCTTGGGCTCCATGTGTGGATCCCATAGGGCAGGTGGGGCTGGGAGAATTGGTGGCCTCTAGTTAGTTTTAGCCAACTGTTACCATTGAAGTAGAAACCAAGGGTTGCCATTTTTCCTGGTATTTCTCCCCTCCCAGAAGCTGCACATCCAGATTTGTCTGAGAATTCTCCTGACTCTTAGGTGTTAGCAACTTAATCAAATTGACAGCACTGGATGGCGCCCACTTTGGGGCCATGCCAGTGATAGAGCTACAGGCTGAAGGAGCCTTGTGGGTTGCTGGCCTGTGAAACTTGGTCGAGCAACAATGGTTCTGCAATGTGGTCCCCAGACCAGCAGCATCAGCATCACCTGGGAACTTGCTAGAAATGCAAATGCTTGGGCCCCACCCAGATCATCTGAATTGGAAACTTGAGGTGGGCGCAATGATATCTGTTGTAATAAGCACTCCAGGCGATTTTGATGCTTTCCTGTGTTTGAGATTTTTTATTTTTATTTTTTTTACCTTTTTAAATGACTGGAGAAAAAAATTCAAAAGAATATTTCGTAACACATAAAATGATGGGAAATTCAAATTTTGGTGTACATCAATAAAGTTTGACTGGAACACAGCCACATTCATTTATATGATCTATGACTGCTTTTGCACTGCAGTGGCAGAGTTGAGCAGTCATGACAGGGACTGTATGGCTAACAAAGCTTAATGTATTTATTATCTGTTCCATTACAGAAAATGTGCATCAACCCTGCTCTAGAGCACTGAATGGGATGGAGGAAGAGGAGGCAGGTGGAGGAGCCTGGGATGCTCAGGAACCTTGGCTTTGTACCCAACTTTGGCTTTATATATGAAGGGCAGAAGAATTATTTGAGCCCTGCATTAATAAAACAGCTCAGGGAACAATATACAGGACTGGCTGATGAAAGAGTAGCCAGGGGAGAGCTGGAATGAGGGCCATGTTGCAGGAATAGAAGGAACTGTGGAGGTACTCCAGAGAAGGAATTGCAAAACTCAGCCACTAATTCAACATTGGAACCGAGAGGAAAAAGAGAGTCAGAAGAGGGTACCAATGGGAGCCAAAAGGATGATGATGACAATAGGAAAAACAAGGGGGTCACAAAATGAGGAATGCACTCGGGGGAGTCGGGAGAAATGTGAAATGAGCTGGTGAGTTTTCAGCACTGTAGCCTTTGAGTTGCCAGGGAGAGATCTGCTGATTGTGGCTTGTGGGGCATTTGCAATGCATGTGCTGGGCTCAAGAGAGCAGTCAGAGCTGGAGATTTGGCGTCGAGCATCTTCTACATAGAGGACCAAGTTTTTCATAAGTATGTCTGGGCTTCATGACTGGCTGATTTTTCTAATGTTTCAACGGGAAAAAAAAAAAGCTGAACCCCAATTTTCATTAGCAAAGTGTACAGATTGAGGATGTCTCTGTCCCAGAGCCAGACTGGGTTGAAATGGAAAGTTATACCCATAAAGGTTGCAAAGCCCTGCAAGCCTGGTGAAGTGATAGTCTGGTTAACGTGGTGGCTCCAAGGGGCCACACAGCCAGATGACCCCCAGTCCTTCTCAAGTCCTTCATCTGCTTTTGCCTTGAGTCCTCAATCCCAGAGCTGCATCCATCACCCCCCGAGCCCTGGGCTTTCTGACTCCATCTCCCAACTCCAGTGGAGCTTCTCCTCCAGCCTCAGCGTGCACCTCTGTCCCATTCCTCCCGTGCCATCTCCCTCCTGATGCTGAGGCTCTCATGAATGCCTCAAGACACAGCCAGGCAGGCAAGCAAAGGGAAGAGCAAGTGACACTCTAACTTCAATTTTTGTCTGCAGCCATGAAATGAGAATTCTCTTTGCAAGATCTTTATGAGGCTTGTAGTGTGTGTTTTCATGGTGCAATTTGAATGTGTTTTCTAAAAAGTTAGCAATTAGCTGTAATTCTGTTTGTAATAGAAAAACTTGTTTGCATTCGGCCTCAGTACATAGTGACTTGCGGTGCCTCTGTGATCGATAGCAGGATTACTCTTTAAAGGGCTTAGTATATTCTGCTAATGTTTATTTGAAAGACATTACAGTGATGCTTTATAAATGGATTTTAGTCAACATATGAATGGGGTATTTTTCTAGAAGACAGCTTGCATGCAAACAAACTAGCAACTTAAGCTAACTTCCCCTGACTGACAGTTTTGAAATGTGTTGTAGGAAAAAAAAATGGTACATGAATGTTTCCAGACATCAAATTAGTTATATAAATGCACTTTGAATGGGAAGCAAGCTTTCTGGTTAATAAACACAGTCCATGCTATTCTACCACTGGCTGTGTCTTAGAAGGCCTCAGAGGCCACTCCAAAAACAATGCTCTGTGCTTTTATAATATTTTAATGTCCCTGGTTATATCAGTAAGCATACATTAGAAAGTATTAGCTTAAAACATTCTACACCAAAATGAAGTACATTCACATATTTTGTGCTGCATCTTACAGGTCTTCTAGTACCTTCTATCCCCTTCTATGATTGGTCGTACACATAGTACGTAAGAGCCTCTTCCCATATAGAAGAAGGGGGAAAGCTAAGCTGCTTTCAGCTATCAACCCAGGACTGGACCCAGTGCCTGGCTCATAAATAGGCCCTCAGTTAATAAATGTATAATATTCCTTTTTGAAAAATTTTTGAAGCGTCATTTATTATGCCCATTTTGATCTAACTATAAAAAGCATGAAAAGGGTGCAATTTGGGAAATTAGCAATCGATAATAAGTGAAACGGTATCTTGTCACTGTCATGCTGTGCAGTAGCAGTTTGATTTGTGATTGGATTTCTGTAATAAGCATGCATTTTCATTTTGTCACGCATGATGGTTTCCAAACAGCCTTTTTACCATTTGAATCTCATAGCGATCATACTAATTAAGTCAGTTGTCTAGTGCTGCTATAACAAATCACACCAGTTTAAGTGGCTTAAAATGACACCCATTTATTATCTCACAGTCAAAATCTCAAGGTCAGAAGCCCAGTGGGCATGGTTGGATTCTCTGCTTCAAATCTCACCAGGTTAAAAACAAAGTGTCCACAGGACTTCCTTCTTGGTGGAGGCTCTGGGGGAGAACCCATTTCCTGCTCCTTGACGCACTGGCGGAATTCAGTTCTATGTGGTGGTAGGAACATGGTTCCTATTTTCTTGCTGGCGGTTGAGGGCGGTTCCCAGCTTCTGGAGACACCAGGTTCCTTGGCTCATGGCTCCCTTCTGGCACCTTCAGAGTAAGCACAGTGGGTCAAGCCCTCTTGTCACATCTTTCTGACCCCAGTCATGAAAGATTCTCTGCCTTCAGGAACGCTTGTGATTACATTGGGCCCATCTGAATAATCCAGGGTGAGGTCCCTGTCCTTAACCTTAATTGCATCTTCACAGTCCCTTTTGCCAAGTAAGGTAACATATGCACACATTCCAAGGGTTAGCACATCTTTGGGGACTGTCATTTCTATGACCACAATGATAGGAAAAGCGTTTTGTTATCCCATTTTCCTTGTAAGAAAACTGAGGTCCAGCAGAGTTAAAAGATTGGCCCTCAGTCCATGGCCCACAGCTGCCGTCTGACCGTAGCCTTCTAGCCTGAGGCCCCTCCTACTGTAGCCTCTTAAATGGAAAAATGCTACATTTCCAAAATGAAATAGTTCTTTGTTGCTTAAAATTATTGTTCCTTTGCAGTCAAAAGAGGAGGAATTGCTGCATCTCCATAAACTTTCAACCTAGGATGCTCCTAGAAATTGATCAGGGTGTTCCAAGACCTGGGGTGGTCCGAGGATGCTGAAATGAACTGGGTCTTGGAACCCAGCCTAGGCCTTCTTCCCATGGTGAGCACACCTCCTCATCAGCCCTGCTTTCCAGTGCAGCTGGCATCGACACTGAACGTTGCAAGGGGCTGGTACCCGTGGATGTGGATGCCAGGCACATGGCACTGGGGCTACCAGTGGTCCTTATGAGCCCAGGTGGTACGTGGCTGACAGGAAAGACTCATCCCGGCCTCGGCCTTCTGCCTCCCCGCCTTGGCATCTGATGGTCCTCAGCAGGCAGCCAGGTGCTGGCAGAGATGCCTGGAAGTGGGAGAGGGCACGGGGCAGCAGAGGTCTGAGGAGGTGGTCCCACAGCCTGGCAGGGTTTGGTGTCAGCTGGGGCCTGGTCAGAGGCTGACTTCAGCAACATGATGTCAACACACTATCCAGCCCCCAGGCACCAAGTCACCACATGGTCCTGTCCCCAAGCCATTGTGTCACCACACGGTCCTGTCCCTGGGCCACCGTGTCACCACATGGTCCTTTTCTCTGGCCATCATGTCACCACACAATCTTATTCCTGGGTCACCATGTCACTATATGGTCCTGTCCCCAAGCCATCATGTGACCATGTGGTCCTATCCTCAGGGCTACCATGTCATCATGCGGTCCTGTCCCCAGGCCATCATGCCACCCTGTGGTCATGTCCTTAGGGGTAACTATATTACCACATGATCCTTTCCCCTGGGCCACTATGTCACCACTTTCCTGTCCCTGGGCCACCGTGTCACCATGTGGTCAGGTCCTTAGAGTCACTGTACCACCACATAGTCCTGTCCCTGGGCCATTATGTCACCACACGGTCCTGTCCCTAGGGCCACTATGTCACCACACGGTCCTGTCCCTGGATCACCACGTCACCGCATGATCCTGTCCTTAGGGCCACCATGTCACCACATGGTCCTGTCCTTGGGGCCACTATGTCACCACACTGTTCTGTTCCTGAGGCCACCACATCACCACACAGTCCTATCCCCAGGCCATCATGTCACCACACCCACCTCCACTCTTTACCTTGTATTTTGCATTGATTCAGATTTTATCAAAAGTCCTGCTGCTGCTGCTGCTCTTGCTGCTGCCGCCTCACCCTGTCTGCCCTATTTTGGATTTTTTTTGTCACGAAGATCCAAATAAACTGAGCAGGAGGATGTGGAATCCTCTCCGGAGAGCTGAGGGTGCTGGGACCCAGCCTGGGAACATGCATTCATTGGTCATTTGTATAGTCCCAAGTACAAATGTAAGAAATTCAGCTCACAGGGCAAGCCCTGCCTACTCTCCTCAGAAGAACAGTATGGAAGTCCATTTTCAAAGTCCAGGGTTTCCCTGCTCCTTGTACAGGGATCCTTGTACAGCCACTTGTGTCCCACAGAGGACGTTGGCCTCCTAGGGTGAGGCAAGCAGACAGCCCGCAGGTCAGAGGACCCTCTGCTTGTGACAGTGTGTGACAGGTGAGGAGGGACTGGAGGCCACTGTTATACCTCCTCAGGGGACCTTTGCAGCTTTGGGGTCTCCTCTCCGCCCCCCAGTTAGTGTTCCTCCTGCATCCCCGACTCCTCCTGCCTGTACCCTTCATCCTACAGAGGCATCTCGGTGGCCCTGCTCCGGGTGTGGGGACTGTAATGTGGAGCACGCTGACAAATTCTTTGTCCTTGGGAAGTTTCTATTTTGCCGAGGGAGATAGACTGTAAACAAGTAAAAGAAAAACAACAAATCATCACAAATGAGGAACTTTGCTAGGAAGAGACAGAACAGGGTGTGTGAGAACCAACAACCCCCTTAGGAGGCCGGGACTTCTCTGAGGTGGTGATGTCCAGGCCAGTGCCTGGAGGTTAAGCCACACAAAGGGCCCAGGGAAGATGTTTTGGCAGAGAGTCAGCAGCCACAAGGACCCAGAAGCTTCGGGAACAAGCAAGTGATGACATCCAAGTGAGGTGCCAGGTGAGCAGACGCCAGAGCCTTCACAGCGTGAAGGCCGTGGTTTTGTTCTAAGCACATCAGGTTGCCATTGAAGGGTCTTAAGAAAGGGCATCACTAAGCTCAGGAATTCTGGAGGAAAGCCAGGGTGGATTTTCTCCAACCTCCCCTCTGTCGTGGATCAGGGGTGATGGAGGGAGATGGTCAAATAAAAGCTGAATTTTAGCTGTGTTAAGTTTGAGAAATCCATGTCATAGTGTTTTCCAGGTTGCTTTCTGATAAGTCATGTTTTCATTTCCCTCTTCCAACCCAATAGTAAGCTCAAGAAAGGAACAGAGTAATGTCGTCTGCTTCAGAATTGGCCATTGTCCTCAGACAGATGCACGTGCCTGGTGGACTGTCATTCTATAGCATTCAGATGCACAGAAGCAGACCAGAAGTATTTCAGTGCATAAATAAGGCTTTAAGATGCTCTGGCTATAGCTAAAGTAATCTAAAATGAAAATCTAAAATGTTTGCTGCAAATCTGAGGATTAACAATCACACCGGTAGCGACGGGACAAAGAACTTGAGCTAAGAGCATCACGAGGACCAAAGGTGATGTGATGGTGCCTTTTCCTGCAGGGAGGGAGAAGCAAGCTGAAAAACCAAGACTCTATCATGCTGCAGAAACACAGTGAGAAGATCCTGTGCTTAAAATAATCCAACGTTTGAACACACAAACTTCCAACTGCATTATAAACCTAAGGATAATACATGCCATCCTGTACATAGCATTTTAACAGGTTGTTGGCTAAAGTTAATTATCCATCGGAAAAATTGTCAGTAACTCAAGAATAAACATTATCATTATTTATGTAATAACAAACAGGCCCCAATCCAGGGACACCCCATTATAATGCTGCCGTGCCTTAATTCCTGACTGTGTTATACTGCAGTTAATTCAATTTTGTCCTCTCTAAATTCCACAGTGCGCATATCTTCCAGGCTGTGGAAGTAGCACACTGATATTAAAGTGGTAATCAAGATTGCCTCTAAATATTCATAGCAATAAATGACTCCCTCGTGCCCCGTGAATGCCAAGGCTGCAGCCTGAAGCATTTATTTAGTGCCGGAGAGGGATCTAGTTATTTTAGAGTTCCCTTGAATGCAATATTTTAATTTTGTTGTTCTTCTTGAAAAATTAGATCCCTCTGAGCTTCCAGTATTGATGGTTGAGATGAATGACTTTGGCTCTGGCTGACCATGGTCTTTGGAAGGATAATCTCAGAGTTGTGATGGGAGTGGACTTGGCTGTTGACCCCAAATCTTACTTTTTGGATGGTAATTCCCTCCTGCCTGCCAGACCTGCTGCCGTTCCACTGCCACATTAATTCACCCTCAGAATCAGGGCAGATGTTTCTAAGCTGTTGAAAATTTCTTGTTCTCTAAAGAGAGAAAAACACCAAGGACCTGATGCTGTGTGTCATCCCGTCCTTCAGGGAAAATAATGAGCACCCTACAACCATGCAAAGCTACATTTATGGACTCGAGGTATTTTGTGTTCATTATGGGTGAAATGATTTAAAGTCAAGTTTGGATCAGCCTCCAATCGCACACATTAAAGAAGGGTAGCACGACATGGATAGCACCAAAAAAAAAAAAAAAAAAATAGGGAAATCAATCTAATCAGCCAATCAATCAATCATCACTTTTTGCACATCTGTTTGTACAGCCAGTTCACTGGGATGCCCTAGCCAAGTGCATTGTGGGAAACCTCTGAGAGAACACAGGCACCTGGGGGCCCTAGAGGTGGGCAGCTGGGTCCTGGCCGCACCCGTCTTTGCAGATTTGCCTGGGCTTGCCATCTCAAGGGGAGTCTGCCAAAAAAGCCTTTCTGTGAGGAAGGCACTTGCCTCCTGTGAGCACATGTGCACTGAGGATAGAGTGTCTGATGAGTTTTGCCCAACGACAAAGCTTCCCTCCTAGGAGGAAAGAGGGATTTGGAGTAAATGCAGTATCAGTCTTGGGGTTTATCTCCAAGCCTACATGCCCTAAAGAGGGAACTTAGATCTGACTCCTAGATGGAACTGAGAGTGAAGTATAAGTACAAATAGCAAGAGCTATTTCATGAAAAATTCTATAATAAACTGGGACATCAGCCCAGGTCCCATAATACACTTACACACAAAAGCAAGTGTTCATGCACATGCCTGCATGCATACAGGTAAATAGGGATATCAATAAATGTCAGTGCCTTATGGCCTAAGAGGCAGTGTAGTAGATAAAAATATATCGATTCACTTGAACTTTCAAACTTAAAAAGATATTTTCTTATGACTTTGGAGGAAACAGGAAGCTGTTGAACTTTGCCATGACTTTTTTTGTCACCTTTGTTGAGGAGAGCTTGCCTCCAAATTATAATGCTTCTCTTGCAGCAGAACCCTTTCCTTCTCTCCTACCCAGCATCCCATAGGAAGTGGTCCTTTCCTCTCTAGAATGTCCATTCCACAGACCTCTGTCCAGTCTCTCAGTCTGTAGCCCTTTTTTGGCCAGCACCTACCGGCTCCTCTTACCTGCTGGCTCCCTCACCTCCAGCCTGTATTCTCCCCTGGCCTTCGGCCACTCTTGGCCTGCACAGTCTCCAATCTTGGGTCACACCCTTAACCCTACCTACCTTTTCCAACCTGCCATTGAGCCCTGAACGCTGCAAAAGACAGACAAGTGTGTATGGGTGAATAAGAAATAAAACAGCCCCAGTGAAGAGAGTAAGGGAGCATCCTTTCTCCAAGGAGGACAAATCAAAGTGAACAAATAAAACAAAATTCACACCCAGACATACAATGGCCACACTGCCAAACATGGAAGAAAAAAGATCACAAAAGCAGCTGCAGAGAAGAGATGGGTCACCTGCCCAAGGAGGCTGAGGACTGACTTCTCAGCAACAAGAATGGAAACCAAGTCATCCGTGATCGCTCGAGCCTGTAGTCCCAGCTACTTGAGAGGCTGAGGCAGGAGGATTGCTTGAGGATAGGAGTTTGAGACCAGCCTGGGTAACATATTGAGACCTCATTTTTATAAAAAAGAAATAGAAACAGAAGACAGTGGAGCAATCCCAGGGTGCTGAGATAGTAGAGGTGAGAAGACTCACCAAACATCAGGACTCAGAGTAAAGCTGTAGTAATTAACACAGGGTGGCATTAGTGCATGGACAGACAATGAGACACATGGTATTAGCTCAGAAACAGATCTCCACATGGCTGCTACAGATACGGTGGAAGGATAGGTCTTTTTTTTTTTTTTTTTTTTTTTTTTGAGATGGAGTCTTGCTCTGTCATCCAGGCTGGAGTGCAGTGACGTGATCTCAGCTCACTGCAACCTCTGCCTCCCGGGTTCAAGTGATTCTCCTGCCTCAGCCTCCCGAGTAGCTA
Source organism: Homo sapiens (assembly GCF_000001405.40). Taxonomy (NCBI): domain Eukaryota; kingdom Metazoa; phylum Chordata; class Mammalia; order Primates; family Hominidae; genus Homo; species Homo sapiens. Next base: position 126,284,216 of record NC_000010.11, on the reverse strand, counting down.
GGATTACAGGAGCACAGCACCATACCCAGCTAATTTTTGTATTTTTAGTAGAGACGGGGTTTCACCATATTGGCCAGGCTGGTCTCAAAGGCCTGACCTCAGATGATCCACCCACATTGGCCTCCCAAAGTGCTGGGATTACAGGAATGAGACACTGTGCCCAGCCAGGAAGGATAGACTTTTAACAAATGGTGCTGGAACAATTGGTTAATCACATTTTCTCTAAAGTAGAGTTGGACTCCTACTTGGTACTGGACACAAAAATCAAGTCTGGATGGGACTTAAATGTGAAAGGCAAAATTATGAAACATTTAGAAGATAACACAGTCTGCTTTTTGATCTTGGAGTAGGGAAGGATTTCTCAAATAAGGCACAAAGACTTTAAACCATGAAGGATTTTATTAAAATTAAGGCATTCTGTTCATGAGAACACACTTAAGAGGATGAAAAGCCAAAGCCCAAACTGGGAGAAGATATTTGTCACACATTAAACAGAGAAAAGCATAGCTTCCAGAATGTAGAAATAACTACAAATTCACAATGACAAGAGAAAGGGAGGAGGAAGAAAGCAGGAAAGGAAATGGTCAGAAAACATGAGCAAGTATTTCACAGGAGAAGAAAATCAAATGTTCCATAAACATAAGCAAAGGTGCTCTGTCTTGCTACTGAGGAGGGAGGCGTAAAGGAAAACCCCAGTGAGCCGCAGTTGCACAGTCAGCAGATTGGGGCTGCCCGCCTTTTTAAATTTTTGCCAGATATTCATGAGACTATGGAATGAGAGAAACATTTATAACCCATTTGTACTTTGGAAAACAATTTAAAGATCCCTGGTAGAGTCAAACATGTGCAAACTACACCACCCAGAGTTTCCATCCCAGATTAGCCAGGGAAACTCATATCTGTCCAGCAAGGCAGGGGTCCCCAACCCCTGTAGCCTAGGAACCAGGTCACACGGCAGCAGGCGAGGTGAGCTGCAGGCTGAGAAGCTACATCTGTATTTAGAGCAGCTCCCCACCACTCACATCACTGCCTGAGTTCCGCCTCCCGTCAGATTAGCGGAGGCACTGGGTTCTCATAGGAGCACAAACCCTATTGTGAACTGTGCACGTGAGGGATCTAGGTTGTGGGCTCCTTATGAGAATCTAACGCCTGATGATCTGTCACTGTCTTCCATCACCCCCATATGGGACCATCTAGTTGCAGAAAAATAATCTCAGGGCTCCCACTGATGCTACATTATGGTGAGTTGTATTTCATTATGTATTACAATGTAATGACGATAGAAATAAAGTACACAGTAAGTAATAATAATGTGCTTGAATCATCCCGAAACCATCCCCCACCCCCAGCCCCAGTTCCATGGAAAAATTGTCTTCCACAAAACCGGCCACTGGTGGCAAAAATGTTGGGGACTGCTGTAGTAGGAGACATGTACACAGGAACATGCATAACAGCATTTTAAGAGCAAAAAGGGTTGGAGAGAAAGAATGCCAAAGTCCACCTGTAGGAGAAAGGACTTACACATTGTTTGTGCAATAGAATACTACATAGCAATGAAAATAGATGGACTACAGCTGTATACAACCATATGTATAAATCTAACAAATATAAGATTAAGTAAAAGAAACCAGTCATAGAAGAATGGACAAAGTATGAGGCCATTTTTGTAAGGTTCAAAACAGGGTAAAACTAAACAGTGTATTGCTTAGGAATATGTACACTAGAAACAAAACTGTAGAGGAAATCAAGATAATGATTAATAGAAACTTCAGCATAATGGTTACCACTGGTTGGGAATAAGGGAAATGTAATAATGAATTTAGCATGAGAAAGTGTATGAGATGAATTTCCTCTCCCTTCCCCCCAGCAAATTCCTGTATTGACATCCTAACCCCGGTACCTTAGAATGTGACTGTATTTGGAGAAAGGCCCTTTAAAAAGGCAATTAAGGTGAAATGAGGTCATATGTGTGGCCCCTAATCTTATATGGCTGGTGTCCTTATAAGAAGAGATCAGGACACAGACATACAAAAGGCCATCTGTGGACACAGTAAGAAGGCAACTGTCTCAAAGCCAAGGAAAGCGGCCTCAGAAGAAACCAAACCTGCCAATGCCTTCATCTTGGACATCTAGCTCCAAAGCTATAAGATAAATTTCTGTTGTTTAAGCCACACAGTCTCTGGTGTGTGTTATGACAGCCCCACCAAACTAATACGGGGGCTTCTAAGATTATAGAAATAGTCTGCTTTTTCAGCTGGGTAGTAGGTGCCCTGGTGTTTATTTTAATCGTTGTTTTTCAAATTGTACTTATACATTTTATATACTCTTGGATGTACTTTCCCAATTAAAATAATAGAGCAGCAATTACTGCCAAAACATTTCTGGCCCATTGATTAGCAGTTAATTGATTTATTCAGCAGGTACAGTTCTTTAAGCATTCAATAAAAGACACAGTTCCATTAGGGTAATCAATATATCATTTTTAAGAAAAGGAATGCCGTATTTTACCGGTACTACTTCATCATCTCCAATGGGTAACAATCAAAAGAAAATGGAATGAATACATGCTTTTAAGAAGTCTAAGGCAATTAGTGGTCTTCAATTAAAGTAGCTGTCTGTTCTCCCTCTCTATTGGTTTCTCCTTTACTAGTCATACCTCAACTAATGTACATAAAGATCTTCCCTGAAGGAAAATATGTTCTTCTGCAAGATGTTGACATTGGACTCTCCTAACACTTCTAGTACTTTATGTGGAATTACTACAAATGTTAATGCTTAAACTACCTCAATTCTTTGGGGGAAAAGGGATATTGCAAATAATATATTTTTATTCACATATAGAATTGTCAGGATTTCCATTTAAGGTATGTGATCTGTGCATTGATATCTTAGGCAAACACTATTTGTAACTAAAGTAACTAAGTTACTTATATATACATACATATGAAACATGTAGTTATACACACATGTATACATACATATGGTGTGTTTGGGCACATTTTGACAGAATATTGAGACATATTTTGTTCTAATATTTTATTGTAAATATAATTAATAATCTTGTTCTTCACACATATAATTAATGGGTACATATTACAAACCCTGAAGAGAACATTATGGAAGTGTTTGTAGTTCAACCCGGGTGTCAGCAAGTATAGGCAAATATGCAGGAGTCCCTGTGATGGACTCGAAAGCAAATACCTGTAAGGGCATAAGAACACTTTGACACACTACACTACAAAGAAATGGTGCATGTTTCTTGGCATGTAGGATCCAATAGATTAATTTTCAAAGTCGAGTAACACTCAGAAATGCACACAGTTCTTATAAACACCAGACAGTATCAAAATATATAAATTTGGTATGTTTTTGTACTCTTTTGCTAGAGTAAATCCATCAAAAACAAGGCCTGTGTAAACCCAGAAAAGATACGTAAGAATTTCATATATCTGGAAATTCACCAATTTAACTCTCAAGTTTAAATAACTATTTAAAGTAATATCATCCATCAGTGAAAACTGAGAAAGAACCTCCTTGAAGCTCATAAGGAAAAAACCCTTGAGTTTGTACCTAATTTTACCTCCTGAAGGCCCTGATATTTAAAATAATCTAATTCTCAGGTGGCAATTGGATGATGTAAGTTTTAGGTCTTTATCACTGACTCAGAGCTGTCCAATAGAACATTCCATGATGATAGAAATGCTCTATATCTGTGCTGTCCCACAGTGGTAGCCACCTGTCACACCAAGTTATTGAGTCTGGCAATGTGTCCAGTATGACTGGTGAACTAATTTTTAAATTTCATTTCGTTTTAATTAACTTAAATAGCCATATGCGGCTAATGGCTACCATGAGAGACACAGAAAGACTAGAAGAAGATATGCAAAGGGCTGCCCTAAAAATAAAGCAAATAATGTTTCAGCCTTTGTGACTCTACCCCAGTTATATGGCCTTAGTTAAGTCATGTTTTGCCTTAACTCATTTTTTTTTCCCAAAACTCATGTGACCTTCAGTTGTTATGGGTTTTCTTTAAATTCTGTTTTACTTTAACTAATTATTTTCATGTTGGACATTTGGAACCCACAATCCATTTCATCTTAAAGTGTAGTGGCATGTGGTTAGTTAAGTCATGGTATAGCTGAAACATTATATATATTGTGAAAAGATCTTTCGAGCTCTGGAGTTATAAGACTGACTTTCAAATATGAAATATTAGAAAAGTATGTATAAACTTCTCATTCTCATGCGTTCATACAAGCCTAGTACCGAAATAACTGACAAAGCAAAGGCAGACGAAGTCAGCGTAACTGAAGGAAGCACTAATTGAGTGTGGTGGTGATCATGTCTCAGCAAGACTGAGTCTCCACTTTCTGCACTCATGCAATGCTGACCAGGAAGAATGAGGTCTCCTTGAGTTTGTGGTGCCTGTTCTGTGGGATGACCCAACTCTCCCTCCACTCTTGTCTTCTTCTTCTTTTTTTGTTTTTTTGAGACGAAGTTTCGCTCTTGTTGCCCAGGCTGGAGTGCAATGGTGCAATCTTGGCTCACTACAACCTCGGCCTCCCGGGTTCAAGCGATTCTCCTGCTTCAGCCTCCTGAGTAGCTGGGATTACAGGGGTGTGCCACCACACCAGGCTAATTTTTTGTATTTTTAATAGAGATGGGGTTTCACCATATTGGCCAGGCTGGTCTTGAACTTCTGACCTCAGGTGATCCACCCCCACCCCACCCCCACCCCTCGGCCTCCCAAAGTGCTGGGATTACAGGCTTGTTTTCTTTTTTTTTTGAGACAGAGTCTCACTCTGCCACCCAGGCTGGAGTGCAGTGGCGTGACCATAGCTCACTGCAGCCTCGAACTCCTAGGCTCAAGTGATCTCTCGCCTCAGCCACCCAAGTAGCTAGGACCACAGGCACAAACTACCACCCCTGGCTAATATTCTGATTTTTTTTATTTTTACTTTTTGTAGAGATAGGGTCTCACTGTGTTGCCCACCTAGGCTGGTCTCAAACTCCTGGACTCAAGCAATCCTCTGGTGCCTGGCCTTCACTGCTCTTTTTAAGCTGCTAAGAAACCTTCATTTATACACTGCATTGTGATGGCATTTGGCTCTTTCTTAGGTTGACCGCATCGTTTATTCCCTCATTTGACTACGCCTGTGGGTCTTATTCAGCTATTTGCAAATCAAAGCCAAGCGTTTTTCAACTGACTTTTGTTGTTTATCTTTCAGAATCATCCAGAAGTGCTGAATATTCGACTACAACGGGAAAGCAAAGAACTGATCATAAATCTGGAAAGAAATGAGTAAGTTAATTCTTGTTTATTGCATGATAGGAGAAAGTTAAGACACCATGGACAGAAAAGTGCTCTGTGATTTATGTTGGGGTTTAGAAACAAAGAACGAAATGCATGGATTTGTAATCCAAATTTGGATTTGAGGTGAGAATTAACTTTAAAAAATTATCTAATGGAAAAATAAAGAATTTTATCACTCTATTAAGGAACTTTATAACTCAACACTATTTTTTCATAGTTCTGATGTTTTATTTTTTCAGTGCCTGGTTGTTCAAAGATTTGATTTAAGCATCCCTGTACTGTTCAAATAACAGAGTTTCATAATTAGTTGACTTTTGACAACTCCTGGATTATATTAGGGGAAACAGCTTCAAACTGATAGAAATTATCTTCTCCCTGAGAAATACCAAGAGTTTATTTTATCTTTCAAAGCTTATCTCCAGTGATTTGGACTATTTCTGTCATCTTCTTATTTTTAAAAATTGGTCCTTTTGTGGAAAAATTATATAAATTTCCAGAAAATGGCATTATGGCTTTTTCTGGGCCGCTTGGATACTATTATACATTTTGTGTGCCTTACTAGCAGAAAACTTTGTCTGCCTCCAACCGTAAGACAAACAACTCGTTTTCTTATTCTTTGCACCCTGGCTATCCCCACAGATTCCTCAGATCTAAAGGACTCCTTAATATTCTATTTCATTAGTACCATAAAAGAAGAGCTTATTAGTTCTTCTAATAAGCAATCTGTATGTAAAGATAGAACTCAATTTTCCAAGTCCTGCTTGGTCAAAATAGCAGTTTCTCTCTTCCAAAAGTACTGGTTCCTGTTCCTCACCCATCAGCAGGATGGTGATTTTTTCTGAAACAAGAGTAGAGGTCGCAGGCCCTCACTGGGATGAGTTCTGTCAGGGATGTGGAGTCCCAGAACCTGACTCAACATCTCCCTGTAAACAACTCAGATCATTTACTTGTGTTGGTGCTTTGATTTGAGCATTTTAAGCAAGACAGACGAAAGACAGTCAATCAACAGCCAGCCCGAAAGTTCGGTATCTAATGCTGCAATATATAAAAATGTATACAAAAATCACACTACCTGCTCCCTGGGATCTGCAACCTGCCTCTTTTGTGTTTTTTTTCTTACATTCTTACTGCTCACCATTAAATAGATCAGAAGCTTTGGAAACAAGAAATGAGGTGTTTTTAGCTTTTCTTGTGACTTGCTCTTAAAATAGAGATTCAGACACATGTATTATATAATCAGGAATCTGAAGAGAAAACTGTATATTGCTTTTGATCCGTCTCCCTTAGCAAAGTACATATTTTCATACTCTATTTCTTTACATAAGAATATCGAGGGGCACACATTTTTGTACATTTTTAGGTATGGTTTTGAAAATATCTCAATGGAAGAAGCTAGGCATTCCCTGAAAGATCAAAAGCATCTAAGGCTGCTGGTGGTGATGCATTTTCTCGATGGGGTTGTTGTGGTGGGCAGCTGGATTTAGGAGTGTTCTTTATTGCACCTGCTCCCATTGTTAGGCTGTTGGAAGAAACGTGGTGCACAGCATGAGGGGAGGCTAATCCTGAATGTTTTATGGAGCATTACGACTGCAGGTAGAGAAGCAAAAATCGACCTCATAAAAACCTTAAGTTGTTTTTACTATGAAAACAATATACATACCCAGTGAAGAAAACTGAACATTATAGGGGGGAAGGGAACAAATAACCCTAACATTTTTTAAAAAGTACTTTTACCACCAAACACAATCCTGTTTAAGATTCTGGTGAATTATATAGATGGATTTTTTTTCTTATAAATAAGCCTTTGTTTCTTTTGTCTTCTTAGTTGATATCACAGTCTGTATGCAATTTTATACCCTGCTACTTCATTTAGCTTCATAATGGACACACATTTCCATAGATAAATAATTTCTTAGAGCCCGTCTGGTTGTCTGAGTTTGTAATGTGACTTAATAGCCTTGTCCATGGTTCCCCCTGAAAATGATGTACCTTCCATTACTGCAGATACTATAATACACGTTGACTGCTAGAGAGTAGCTAATTTGTATAAATATCGTTTTAAAAGGTGACTTAATTTGTTCCCTTTCAATTCTGAGTCTTTCATGAGATAATCTCAAAATTATAAAAGTTGAAAACAAAACTATCTTTTTAATTTATTTCTCTCTTTGCAACCTCACTGTCAGACTGCATTTTCAAAAATACATAGAAAATGTTTCATATGTTCCTATGATATGCTATAATTTTAATTGTATTACTTGTACCAATTTTAGAAATTCCATTATATGAAAAGTAACATTTTCATAATAAGAGGATGCCAATATTACTATTTTAATGATGCATTACCAAAAATACTTCAGTATAACAATTTTTTTGCAAAAGGTTACATACCTATTCCAAATTAACTATACCTTTGACGCAATGAATACTAAAAACAAAAAAAATCAAGTAGAGTGAAATGCTTGTGCACTACTAGCATGTAATGCTGTTAGACACCAAAGGCAATCAATCATTTAGTATATAATAGAATTTTAAATTTGCATAGCCATTGGCCCAATAGAGTCAAGTCCGAGAGTTTTTACAAGTGAAACTATAAGAACCCAGAGATAAAAATATAAGCAGAGACCATTTACATGTTTAACAATGAGTACAATAAAGGGCCTGATCAATCAGGATGAACAGCTGACCAATCAGAAGGCAAGCTGGTTAGTATACCGCTCCAACACCTTCAGCCCCAGAGTCAGCCCTGTGCTTAAAGATGTTTTACCTAAAAGTACATCAATAGGAGACTGATTCAATAATCAGCTATGAAACAGGATACCATACAACAATTTAAAATGATGAGACTTTTATTATAAAAAATTCATGGTATAATCAATGTAACTAGCATGTTAGAAAATAGTTGTTTCCTGCTAGTGTTTGTTTTCTAAAAAATGAAAATAGTTTACATAGTATTCAATTTTTATTTTAAAATTATACACATGACATGTATCTCTGAGTAGGAAGATTATAGAGGATATTTACTTTCTTTATTGTATTAATGTTTCGCAAAAATAAAATATTACTTTTAAAATTAGGAAAAAACATTTTCTTTTGAAGGAAAAAAACTATTGTAAAAACTTGATAATGGTTGAAAAGAAGATTGCTAACGTATTTATTATTCCTAAAAAGAAAATGATAAAAGTTATTTTGAGAGGCCTCTGGAAGGCCTCTGGTGACTTTTAAAGAGCAAAAAATATCTACTCATTGAATATTGGGTCTTTAAATATCCAGAAGTTTACTGTAATTGAAAAACCTGCTTAGAAACCACAACCTAAATTAAAGCGGTCCCAGTCTCTTAAGTCTATAGCTAATGCTGAGAGTCATCTAATTAATCCTACTCAAAATGCTTCTGTGGTGAACCGATTCTTCATGGCACAGGGCTGAATTTTTATTAAATAGTTTTTCAGGGAATCTCTTTTATTTACCTTCTAACATCCCTAATTTATGAAAAGATTGGATGCTGTTCACTTAAAATCTGTATTTGTATAGCCCCTGAGAAGCATTTTGCACAATATTGCTGTCTGCCTATGGACCTGTAGAAACCAGGTTGATAACTTTCATACTTCTACTAGATCCCTGTGGACTCTCAGGCCATCCCTTACATAGGTATTCTGTGAAATTGTATCTTTGATCAAAATGTTTTATTGGACAGGCTGGCCAGCTTTGGCATCAGCTTTTCCAGTTTAGGATAATGAAGAGTGATGGCAGTAGATCACGTTCCTTACATCTCTCAATCCCAGCATGCCTTCAAGTTCTGTTCCCATCACTGATTGAAGGCACTTGCCATGGGAAGTCCATAGCCCATTGAATTTATGTTTGGGGTATCTCTGGGATAGAATAACTTCAGCACTGACTTATTTTGCCTAGAACGATTCCAGACATCTCTTACAGGGCAACTTTAATTAGTATTCACTCTAGAACAATAACAGAAAGGGCATTTTAAAATGGCTAAACATGGGTATAAATATTTGGAAAGGCATTTATCTTAGATCATCTCTCAGAATATCATGGTACAGAATGGAGAAATGTAACCAGTGTGGAGATGGCATTAGATGGTTTAGTTGGCTGAATCACCATCCAGAGGATATCAAGCCATTGTTCCCCTTGACCCAACCCATGTTGAAGAGGGCGACTGAGGTTGCTGCCGGTGGCCTTAGGGCTGTGTGCATGGCCTTGTCCTGGCCCACAGTTTCATGGACCATCTCGATGAAGATATAAAAAGTGCTCTCATCACATTTCCTGGCAATGCAGAGCTAGGGGGAATAATTGTGCTTGGCACGGCAAAATCTGGATTATGAAGATTTCAGCAGTTCGGATCAATGGGCCAAAACTAACAAGGTGAGATTTAATGGGGATAAATGTAAAATCCTGTGCTTGGGTTAACAAAAAAATAAATGTTGCAAGTTCAGAAGGAAATTTGTTAGTAGTTCTTGTGAATGAGACCTGCATACTCAAGCCCCTGAGGCAATGTGGCTGCTAAAAAGGTGACTGCCACCTGAGCGTGTGGGGGTATATGTGGTGGGTCCTAGGCAGGGGAGGTCATTCTTCTGCTACACAGGGTGGGGCACAGCCAAAACCCTGCATCCTTCGCCGTTGCAAGCCTGACATCAGAGAGCCACCTGCCACTTCATTCTCATTTCCACCATTGGATGCTTCTTTCCTTTCCTCTTCCGCCAACCATGACATCCTTACGGTCAGGGGTAGGACAGCGTGGCTCATCATAGGCATCGATGAGCACTCCTCAAATGAGTGGATGATGGAGTCTGGACAACCTGGACCAAGCCAGAAGTGAGTTCCCAGGAGGTCGAAGGTCACTTGGGTGGGGTGAGAAACAATTCAAGGAGAAAACCTTCCAGAAAGGAACACAGGATTTGGAGTTAGGAGCCCAGGCTTTGAAAGCAGCATTGCTCCCAACAGCAAGTTACTGATATTCTCTCCACTTCCTTCATGGCCTCCAGCGATCTGCCCACCTTGGCCTCCTTGTCTGCAAAATGGAATAAGCATCTGTGTCCAGTCAATGCAGGAAGATTATAGCTCATGTTAATTTTGATGATCAGGTTTGAATGACTCAATAACATTTCTCTGTGGATCCAGCAATCTTAATTATTTTACCGAATTATATTATGTTCTGTTTCAGCGTTTCTAAATTAATGGAAATCAGGTTATGCCTACTCTTTACCTCTAATTCTTGGTGATGGCCAAACATCTCAATGCTCACAAGACCTGGAACAGACACGCCAGGCTGGTCCTTCGGGATCCAGCTGCTGTAGGGTTCTTACCTTTACAATCTTGACATGCCCAGGGATTGGACTTTTAAAATCTTTGAGTGTAGAGTGCTATTCCCTTTTACTTCTTCTCTTGCAGAAGAAGCCTAGACTGTTTACCCCCTCCCCACCCACCATCTTTTTTTTTTAAGAAGTTAAACTTTTATTTTCACTGCCCAACCATCAGTCAATATACTGGGCAAACCAGCAGAAGCCCTTGCCATAGCCCTGTTGTTGTACACACTGAACGTGAACGATTCCTTGGAAAAGGCATTTGGCTCCTTCAGGGTCACAAGTTCCCTTTCCTGTGGTCTGTCCATAAAGACCAAATGGCAGACAGAGTTTTTCTTCACTGATTGTGCCTGTTCTGTCCAATGTTTGCTAATCAAGATAAGGACTGGCACATGGGATATTCTTTCATCAGTCATTAAAGCATTGAGCTCCTCTTTGGATTCCAGGATCTGAGGACAATCTGCACAGTAACCCAGAAAGGCAATCCCATTTGTTGCTGGGAGATCACTGTTCCAAAACCAACGTGTTTGCTTATGCCCCAGAAGATCAAAAGTCGTAAAAGCCAGGCTAGCAGTTGTCAGCTCTGCTGATGGCAGAGGTCGTGTTGGAGCCTGTTGGCCCAATCCACCATCTTTGAGCATATGAGGAAGAATGGTTTCATCCACATTGTCCCAACCCAAGAGAACAAGTTTTCTAGATTTCTTGTAGAGTCCTAGAAACTGGAGCACACTGTAGAAGCCATTGTAGATCCACTCACAGATGAAAGACATTATTAATGCTGACCATAGCCTGAGGGGCTCCCCTGGAGGCAGCACATGGCCTGGACCCTCCCTCAGAGCACACAGACCAGCAGCACCCGGACCAACAGTGACTCACCAGGTGGACATCACACCCCCTCCCTGAAGCCTGCCCTTAGGAATGGGGAGTTCTAAACTGGCTGGTGATTCTAATTAGTGACTAAACAAATGTCGATGGAACCATATCTCAGAAATTATAGTCTCATGTTTCCAGCTCTCAGCTTCCCTTCTACTATTAACTGATCTTTATCAGAATCTTTATTAATATCTTATTAATAATTATCTTTACTAAACATTAATAATTAATAAAGCTAATTAAGACAATGTGCTTGCTCATGCCTCCCAAGATCAAAAGTTATAAAAGTCATGTCAACAATTGTCAGCTCTTCTGATGTCAGAGGTCATGTTGGAAAACATTGGCCTAATCTGCCATCTTTAATGATTATCATCTGTCATATTAATTATCTTTATTAATTAATCTTTATTGATGTGTTAAATCACTTGCTCATTCACTTCTTCACCTGGTTATTTATTCACAAATATGTGTTTAATACCAGACAGTATAATTGACCCTGGAGGGAGAGTAGTGAATAAGATAAAGTTCCTGTCCTCTTAGAATTTAGTCAAGGAGCCCAACACTAAGCAGATCATTACAAAAACAGTAACTGGATGACTGCATTGCTCAGTGCTCAGGAGGGGAAGGTATGGGGCCAATGCCTGGTCTGGGGAGGGAAAATGTAGAATGAAGCAGCTCTTAAGCTGTGCACACAGAGGGAAGAGCCCAGTCAAGGAGGGCAGGAGGTAGAGAGAGAAAGAAGAGCAGAAGTAAATGTCCAGCTTCTCAGATTCTAGAAGGTCTTTGTACTGATGACCAAGAAGGAGAGAGACAGAGGAAGCCAGGCCATACAGGGGTTGTGTGTCCTGATAAGGATCTTGACTTTATTCCTAAATACAGTGGCATGCCATAGAAGAAAAGGCCTGTAGGCAGAACAATGACATGATAAGATTCTGCTTTTCATTTGTTTGAGACAGGGTCTCACTCTGTTGCCTAGGCTGGAGTGCATTTGTGGAATCACAGCTCACTGCAGCCTTGACTGCTCTGGGCTCAGGTGATCCTCCCACCTCAGCCTCCCTAGTAGCTGGGACTACAGGCATGCGCTGCAATATCCAGCTAGTTTTTCTATTTTTTGTAGAGACCGGGTTTCACCATGTTGCCCAGACCAGTCTTGAGCTCCTGGCCTCAAGCAATTTGCCTACCTCGGCCTCCCAAAGGCATGAGCTACTGCTCTCCACCAAAATTCAGTCTTTTAAAGTCCATCTGGCTGCCTGTGAAGACTAGCTGGGAGGGTAGAGCGGGTGTGGTCAAGGGACTGCATATTGCTGCTGTCCAGGGAGAGCTGATGATGGCTTGAGCCAAGAGAGTATTGGTGGGAAGGAGTAAGTAGTTAAGAAATGTTAAGTAGGCAGAATGGACAGAACATGATGAATGATGGAATGTGTGGGATCATGGAAAGGAAGGCATACAATTCTTACCTGAGATGCCAGGAGAACAGTGATGCCTTCGATGAGAATAGAGAACCCTGGAAAAGGACCAAGAACTTGTCCTTTGAGCAGTGGCCAGAGACACAAAGATGTGGGTCATGGTAGGCATGGTCCTGAGAGTCTGGGAGGGGCTGAATATTGGGTTTCACAGAATTCACTCTGGAGGTGACCTGTGGAGGGCCCTTGTAGAACTGGGCATGGCATTTTTGAAGGGGGTGTTCATGGATGTTTGCCGCTGACCAGTGGCTGGCAGCTATGAGCTGGAGATCAGGAGCCGGCAGTGGGCAGAACATGGAGAGGCATCAGCTGTGGCCCTGACGGTATCTAAATAGCTGTCACAACCCAAGGCAATGTCAGTGCTCCACTGAATTCTAAGCTGGAGCCTAGTGGGTGAGCCTCTGGCCTCTAGGATCGCTCCCAGGCCCTATTCCATATCCTTCCTATAGTCTGTCTCCATGCAGTGGGTGTTCCCCACTACCAGGAGCTCACACATGGACTCCTGCCCTCCTTGAAGTCTAGAGCATTGCTTCAAGACCACCAGCATCAGGACCACCTGGAGCGCTTGTTAAAAGGGGCAATGCCTGGCGCCACCGCTATTTAACCAGAATCCCCAGCCATAGGGCCTGAGGGTCTATATTTTTAACACATTCTGCTAGGAGTTATATTCACACTTTACTTAGAGAGCCACTAGCCACATGTGGCTATTTAAATTAAGTTTAATTTAAATAAAATTGAAATTTTAGTTCCTTGCTCAAACTAGCCACAGTTCAAGTATTCAATAGCCACGTGTGGCTAGACGGACATTTCCATCATCATAGAAATTTCTGTTGGACAGCACTGGGGCTAGCAGGGAAATTCCAGCCCATTGGATCCTTCTGTGAGAATTTGGGATATCTGTCTTAGCTGATGCATCGCCCACAGGAATGTTCTTTCCTACAGGGAGTGACCACACCTCTTCAGCTTGCCTAATGCCTGCAGTGTAAAAAGCCCCATCCCCTGCCTTGGAGAATCCGGTGCTACCAGAGGGGTCATCTCTGCCCACTTTGATGAAAGGGTGATGGTGCAGTCAAAAATTCTCTAAGCATGACTATAGACTCAGGGAATTAACTCAAGCTACATGCACTTCGGCAATCTAACTAGACCAAACTCCTTCAGATTTAAGTTAAAATCTCTCAACCTTAACATTTAAGATCTTTTTAATTGAGCTAAATTTTGTTTCCTGAGTAAGAGCTAAATTCCCTTGAGCTTCTCCCCTCATTTCATTCTTTGAAGTTGTATAGACGTTGAAGAAGGTCAGAACACCATTTTTAGAGCTTTTTGTTCCTCAACCCGAGTTAACTTGAAAGTGCCTAAACTGGTTAAGATCAACCTTTTTAAAACAGGCCCCTCTGGGTTGTGATTTGAGAGTGTGGCGTCCTTGAGTGAACTCTTTGAAGCTGGAAGAATGAGAGAGGGCATTTGAGATGGAGATGGAGTTCCACATTTCATTACATCCCTTGCACTCCTTCCCTTCTGACACTGCAGACTCAGGGTTTTCTGACGAAAATCCTCCTGCAGCCTTAAGCTCCTTTCCCCAACTCTGTATCCCAAGAGGACAGTAATGGCTGTCCTGGCTCTTCCCAGGAGGTCTCTAGCAGTGGAGAGGCTGATGCCATCTTAGTGGCTGTCATTGCACCTTCCCTCTCCTGGTGCGACCGGGATGGTTACGTGCAGATACTGTGCAGGCTGGGGTCGTTATGGCCTGTCTCTTCTGGATTTTTTCTAGTTGTTGTGTCCTCAAAAGAAAGACCATGATGCTTTCATTGATTGCTTATGACAATAAAACTAACTCTCTGGAAAGCTTGAAAGTTTTGTTAGAGGCGTTTGAACCAGAGCAACTCCATCTTGAATAGGAGCTGGGTAAAATGAGGCTGAAACCTACTGGGCTGCCTTCCTAGACAGTTAAGGCATTCTAAGTCACAGGATGAGAAGGATGTTGGCACAAAATACAGGTCATAAAGACCTTGCTGGTAAAACAGCTTGCAGTAAAGAAGCTGGCTAAAACCCACCAAAACTAAAATGGTCACGAGAGTGACCCCTAGTCATCCTCACTGCTACCCTCCCACCAGCACCATGACAGTTTACAAATGCCGTGGCAACGTCAGGAAGTTACCCTATATGGTCTAAAAAGGGGAGGCATGAATAATCCACCCCTTGTTTAGCATATCATCAAGAAATAACCATAAAAATGGATAACCAGCGGTTCTCGGGGCTGCTGTGTCTATGGAGTAGCCATTCTTATTCCTTTACTTTCTTAATAAACTTGCTTTTGCCTTGAACTGTGGACTTACCCTGAATTCTTTCTTGTGTAAGATCCAAGAACCCTCTTTTGGGGTCTGGATCGGGAACCTTTCCTGTAACTCTTTGACATAATTTTGCTGAGTTCATAAACACAGATTCTGCTACATTCTTACAGTATCATGCCCCAGGAGGCCAAAATCCTAGATTACTGTTTTCAGAAGTGTTTACTTCAAACTCGTTATCTTGAGTGGAGTTGAGCCCTGTCTGTGATTGGCCATGTTTCATAACATGCATGGGAAAACTGCAACTGATAGTCACAGCTCTGTTTTCTTGAGGCCTTCTTACTGGTTTCTTACTTCTATTGTTTTCACAGTTCATTAGTGATGACAAAGAGCTGCAACGTAACTGTATTTACCATTAGCTCATTTGTTGCATGCTGACAGTATGTGGCATATCTTTATTCCTCATCATAGGTAGCATCATCATTACAAAGCTGGGCTTCATCAGGGACTTACAGAGAGATTTGTACACCCACATTCGTGGCAGCGGCATTCACAATGGCCAAAAGGTGGGAACAACCCAAGTGTTCATCGACAGATGAATCAGTCCACAAAATGTGGCATACGTAAAATGAAATTTTATTCAGCCTTCAAAAGGAATGACATTCTGACACATGCCATCACATGAACTTTGAAGACATTATGCTAAGTGAAATGACTCAGACACTAAAGGACAAATATTATGCGATTCTATTTACATGAGGTGTACTTTGAATAGGCAAAATTCGAATAGGCAAAATCATAGAAACAGAAAGTAGAATGGTGGTTACCGGGGCCTGGAGGGTTAGGGAGTGAGGCGTTTGGTGGGCAAAGTTTCTGTTTGGGATGATGAAAGACTTATGGAGATGGATGTCAGTGATGGTTGTACAAAATTGTGAATGTGCTTAACGCCACTGAATTATGCAATTGCAAATGGTTAAAATTATAAATTTTATGTTATGTGTATTTTGCCCCAGTTAAAAAACAAAGCTGGGCTCCTGGTTTGTTTTTATTATCTAACAAAAGGTCTCCCTCCCTGTCCTCCTCCATGAAGGTACATAGTGTAGAGGAAGACGGTGATAGTTTCTTCTAAATCCACCCCCACCGCCCCCCACCTCTCTTTTTTGTAACTCTAAGAAAATCACAATCCTCCAGCTCCATTTAGGCTAGGGGTCCCCAATACCTTCTCTGACGTGCTCTCCCCAACCCTTAGGAACTGGGCCACACAGCAGGGGATGAGTATCTGATGAGTGAGTGAAGCTTCATCTGTATTTACGGCTGCTCCCCATCACTCAGATTACTGCCTGAGCTCCGCCCCCTGTCAGATCAGTGGCGGCATTAGATTCTCATAGGAGAATGAACCCTCTTGTGAACTGTGCATGGGAGGGATCTAGGCTGCCTGCTCCTTATGAGAATCTAATGCCTGATGATCTGTCGCTGTCTCCCATCACCCCCAGATGGGATCGTCTAGTTGCAGAAAAAGCAGCTCAGGGTTCCCACTGATTCTACATGATGGTGAGTTGTATAATTATTTCATTATATATTACAATGTAATAATAGAAATAAAGTACACAATAAATGCAATGTGCTGGAATCATCCTGAAAGCATCCCCTGCCCCCACCCCTGGTCCATGGAAAAATTGTCTTCCATGAAACCGGTCTCAGGTGCCAAAAAGTTTGGGGACCACTGATTGAGGTGACTCTTCTGAGCTAATGAATAAGGGTGTAACTGTGATTCAACAGCAAAACCCAATCTGACTTCCCTGGACTCTTTCTAGAGCTGCTTCCGTATCCCTATCAGAGGAGATGATTGACAGTGTTAGGATTTGGATTTGGATTTGGGTATCAGGCTGCTTGGAGACAAGCCACGTCAGCTCCTCCATTCTAAAATGGAGAGTAAGACCTTCCTCCCAGGTTGTTAGGACAACACAGTGATATGGTTTGGATCTGTGTCCCATCAAATCTCCTGTTCGGTTGTAATCCCCAGTGTTGGAGGTGGAGCCTGGTGGGAGGTGATTGGATCATGGAAGAGGTTTCTTCTGCGTGGTTTAGCGGCATCCCCCTAGTGCTGTTCTCGTGGTGGACTTCTCGTGAAATCGGGTTGTTTAGAAGTGTGTGGAACCTCCCACCTTTCTCTCTTCCTCCTGCTCTGACCATGTGAGATGCTTGCTCCCACTCTGCCATCCACCATGATTGAAAGCTCCCTGAGGCCTCCTCAGAAGCCGAGCAGAAGCTGTCATGCTTCTTGTACAGCTTGCAGAACCATGAGCCAATTAAACCTCTTTTCTTCTTAAATTACCCAGACTCAGGCATTTCTTTGTAACAGTGCGAGAACGGACTAATACATAAGGGATATGGTATTCAGTGTGCTTGACACTGCACTGCCATTCACAGCATGAGTGCTGTTCTGCTGCCATTGCTCTTGCATTATCTCCCTCCTCACCCTGGCCGCTTCTGTCTGCAGGAAAAGGAATCACATGCTCAGGTCTCATCATCTTCCTTCCTGCAAGCAGCTTCCTGTGACTGCCCCTATTCCTGCTTTCCTCACCCATCTTTCTCTTCCTCCTTCATTTTGATGGTCAGACCAGGTCAATCCCAGTACCCTGCCTCGTCCCACCCTGCACCTGCTGCTCTTGTCACCTGAAGGTTTAGATACCCCCATTTCCATTCTCCCCAGCATCAGCAATGGGAGGGCCCCCAAGTCACCTGTGTGCTGTGGGTGGAGGTGGGCCAGGAGGTGCAGTGCAATTCTGTAGGCCTGTGGAGCCCAGGGACCACCTGTTTGGCTGGCCTGGCTACAGATTAGGTGAGGTGCATGCAACAGTTAATTGCTATGTACCCATCGCCTGTGTGCAACAATTACCATGCAATTATCAGACTCCCCCACCCCCAGACATCACGTCATTTCACCTGCAAATTCTGACATATGTATTGCTAAAAAAAGAATTATTTTTATCACACCTAAAAGATAAAAATTTTATAGTACTATCAAATGTCCAGCCAGTATTCATGTTTCCCAGATTTTATATCTCTCCATTTTTTTCTTGGCAGTTGGATTGCTTGAACTTGGTTATAAACACAGTCCCCACGTTGTATGTGTCTGCTACATTTTTAATGTGTCTTTTAATATATAGGTTCCCTATCCTTCCTTTTAATTCTTGCAATTAAAATCTTGCAGTCCTTACAAATGAAACCAGATTTTTATACTCAGTAGAATTTTCCACACTCTCAATTTGCTGATTTCATCCTCTTGGTGCTGTCTAGCCTGTTCCTCTGGGCCCTGTGTTTTCTGTTTACTGGTAGGTAATTCAGTGTACAGGCTTGTGCAGATTGAGGTACTGGTTTTAGGCAGGATGACATTGCAGGTGGTCCTCGTTCTTCTCTTGTGCCATGTCAATAGTTCTGTGACCTCTGATTGTCTTGTTTTGTGATGACAGGTTGACCACTGAGTTTGGGGTCACTCTGATGCTTCCATTAGAAAAGTCTGCCTGAGACTTCACCCACCAGGTTCAGTGGCCATTAACAATCAGTGCCTAGATCTGTTCTTTCCTTGGGTCCTGCAAAATGGCAGTGTTCTATCATTCTTTCTTCTTTTATTAGCTGAAATGCTCCTATAGAGAAGAACTTTCCCTCATCAATTATTGGTTTCCCTGAGATATGAGATAAAAAGCAAGATAAATTTTTCTTAGAGACCACCTCTACTTATCACTCTGCCTTTGCCAGTGGGTAGCCACTGTATTCCCCAAATTTAGCATCTCACATTTGGTGATATGCTGCACAGCCCCCTGCTGAGGGTCCACATTTGTAAAAGGTTCTGTGGGGATAACGAGGTGCACCACAGCCTGTCCTGGAGTAGCTTCTTATACTCTGTAAACACTTCTTGATCCAAAAGCCTTGTATTTTCACATTGAACCATAAATTACCCATATAGATATTACACAAATCTTTTTATTTAGAGTGCTGGATAAAAGGCTGACTTTGAAACTGCTCTACAGAGACCTAATTTTCTTGCTGTTTTTAAAGACAAAGGCATCCTCACATCTGGCACGGAGGTAGATGCTGGGGTGAGAACAGGGAAGCAGGAACTGGTTCCAGTGTTGCTAGTAGGAAAAGCAGGGGTCTGGATTGCGTCTAGACATAGCCTGTCCCTTGGAGGACTGTTTCCATTCCAATGGCAATGGCAAGTTAAAAAAAACAAAAAACAAAAAAACAACGTTTCATTCACAAGCAGGCTTAGTCCCACTGAAGGAAAATCGCCGTAATTGGCAAAGACCAAAGCCAGAGAAGACACAGAGGCTAACCCTACTTCTTCAGGGACCCGCGAGAAAAACAAAACGAGGGCGTTTGTCTAAAAATGTTATGAAATACTCACTTCTTTCTTCTCAGTATGCTGGTGGATTTCACTGTGGGATGAGGTAGATTCAACATAAGTGGAGAACAAGGCTTTCTTTATTTTCTTCTATGATTTTCTTCCTTATGAAAAACATGTGGTCAGATAGAAGATGATACAAAACCAAGCCCCCACAGGAGGGTTATCTGGGGAGACGATTTATTTAGAAAGAGTTATTTTCACAGCCCTTCTAAGGCCACTTCTTCAGCTTCAACTGGCCTAGAGGATTTTGTTGGTCAGTTTCGTGGTTTTCTTTGAAAATCTGACAGGCTCCAGTGGAGAAGCCTCTCGTGCTGTGTCCACAGCCGGCCAGCACCCATTAAGCAAATATCAGCATCACAGAAGTTCCTTGGGAGTTGTGGGAAATGGTTTTTACATGTGGTTTTCGTAAAATGAAAACAATTATTCATTAATATTTTCACTAAAGTTTTGATGGTATTGTACATTCATATCAACAAAATATATAGAATGTTAGGTTGGTTAAATGAAAAAATATGAAGTGACATTAAAAACTTACTAAAAATACTAGCCCTACAATTCAATAAATATGTTTAAAATTCATTTATATTTTGGAGCAAATTCATTATCTTACCAAATAGGGTAATGATTATGACTGGATAACATCACTTCTTATATTCTGTAAGTACTTCCTGATCCAAAAGCCTTGTATTTTTATATTGGACCATAAATTACCTGTATAGATATTACATAAATCTCTTTTTATCTAGAAAATTATTTAAGACAGCTGCTTTTTCCAAAGTAATTTTACATGTAGGAACTGAAATCACTGATGTAGATGGAAATATGTTATTCAATCAGTTAATTGGTTTTTACCCTATCATATTATAGAAAAGATTCAAGGTTACTGAAGGACACATAAATTAATTAGTAAACTTTTTCCAGATGTGTAAAATACACCCCCCTCCCCGCCCACCAACAAACTAACATGTCTGCATTTTACTGTTTTCAGAGCAGCAGTTCTAGTTCATATTGAATAAAAATGATGAAGACCATTTGAGGAAGTATGATGCATGCCTGTTACTGCTTTACTTAAAACAAACAAAAAAACAGCAAAGAGGATCTAGTGTGATATAGGGGAGAAGCACTGAGCCAAGGGAAAGGAAACATGAAATCTCTGGTATTTGTAAGCTCTGTGACTTTAGGCAAATTAAGTAACCTCTCTGGTCCTGAGTTCTCTCATCTATAATCTGAAGTTAAGCCTCCTCAGCTTGGAGACTGGATCAGATGGTTTTCTGGGGCTCCATTTCCACTCTAAGATGTTCGGCCTCAGTAATTTTCTGCATTCAAGTATGTTCTCACTTTAACCAGAGGAATGCTTAAACTGATCCTACTGGCAGAAATCATGCTTACAACACTAGATGAGGAATCATGCAGGGCATGTGGCATTCAAGCATCAAAACAAATTAAACAATTCCTACGAGAGCCAAGGTTTCTTATCTCATTGTATTTCAGTGAACCAGGAAACCCTGAGCGAGTGGCTCCTTCCACATGGTGCTGAGTGCTGTTCCTTGGAAACCTGAGAATCCCAGGATGCATCTCAGTGCCCAGAGCAGTCCATTTTGTTGGGAGATTTAAATGTCTGAGATTCCTCATCTGGGGGAAGTGTGTGCTCTAGGGACATCCCTCGCCAACATGATGAAGCCAGCATGGAGTACCCCACCTGTGGGTTGGAGGCAGGGTGGGAAGTGCCCTTGGCCTGAGGAGTGGGTGGCATTTGATAAAAGCTAGATGCCTTCATGATACTCTTATATATAATGGCAACCTTGACTTCCTTAAAGGCTTTTAAAACAATTTTTAAAGCAGTTATGATAGAAGAAAGGCACTGGGAAGCCTCTGGGACTCTAGTTATGTCCTATTTTTTAAGCCAAGTGATGAGGACATGGGTGTTTATTTTAGTGTTCATTTTTCCACATTCTTTTATGTGTTCACTGTAGGTCACAAAAATAAAACATTATTTTTTGGTAGCAAAACCTGGCAAATATTTTTGTCCAAAAAGGGGTAATCATACTGCTCTTTTTGAACACATTTGTTTTCTTCTTCCCCTCTGACCTGCTTGGCTAGGAATCCTGACTGATTTGCAGATTTGCAGAGGACATTGTCATTGGAATGAGTTTAAGGAAAGTGGCCACTCTTTGTTGCCAAAGACAAAACTTGGCTAAATATTTTGATGAATCGGCATCTTTTTTTCCTATAATCATTGGCATGGAATTCCTATAAGTGGAAATAGTGAAAACCAACACAAATACTATATAAAAAGTAGGATTTCTCAGAATGTATTTGTAATTAAATTTCAGTACTGATATGAAGATACATAAATATATGTACATACTCTACATATACTATATATTATATGATATTACAAAATACAGGTCATTATGCTTAGAATGCAATGACTCATTTTATTAGGTTGAGCCAATAACAAATATATTATGTTTAGAAAAATATGTTAGTTCAACCTATACTATTGATGACTTTTCAAAGATTCTACTGCAGTACAAACATGGCTTATGCCCTAAAAATAATCTATAGGTTTTGATTTAGAAGTAGAATTCCTTCCAACATTTAAATGTTGGGTATTAAAAATACTATCCTGGGAGGCTGAGGCAGGAGAATGACATGAACCCGGGAGGCAGAGCTTGCAGTGAGCGGAGATCGCGCCGCTGCACTCCAGCCTGGGTGACACAGCGAGACTCCATCTCAAAAAAAAAAAAAAAAATACTATCCATCCATCCTTATTAAGAGAGAAAAGGCCTTTTAATCTGTGGGGTGTTTTTGCCGTTTTCGTTTTTTACATTTGGACATTGAAGTGCTTGATGCCATACTGCATATTCTGTTCATCTATTCATGTTTGTTCATTTGCTTATTCATTTAACAAACTGTGTTCCAGATAGTGTATTGGGGTTTGAGACACAGAGATGAATAACACACGGTTCCTGCCCTTCACAAGGCCTAAATCCACCACCGTTTTACACAGTCGCAAAGGATAGGCTTGTCTGAATTGATTTATAACAAATACTCACTATAGGGTATCACTGAACTAGATTGCCAATTAATAGGAAAATTAGATAATATACTGCTCTTCCTATCCCAATCTTTGCCATGTCTTTACTCCCAAAAAATTCAGTAATTTTTGCTTTTTTCTAAGTATAGTCTTAATTGCTAAGTGTTTTCTCAATTTTTCAAAATGAGAACCAGATGAAATGCAGCCCGTTCGTTGTTTCAATCTCCTGTCCTCAGATGAAGCATTCTTGGTTCCCATATAGAATTTTTAAACATACCAGTGTGTGTGTGTGTGCACAGTCGTGCCTTGGTATCTGAAGGAGATTAGCTCCAGAACCCCTCATGGGTACCAAAATTCAAATATGCTCATGTCCCTAATATAAAATGGCATAGTATTTGCATATAACCTACTGTATACTTTAAATCCTCCTGTATACTTTAAATCATCTCTAGATTGCTTATAATACCTAATACAATGTAAATGCTATGTAAATAGTTGTTATCCTGTATATTTTTAAATTTGTATCATTTTTATTGCTGCATTATTATTTTTTGTTTTCTCCCCCAATTATTTTCAATCTGCAATTGGTTGAAACTGAGAGTAGGGAACCCCAGGATGCGGAGGGCCAATTGTATGGACATAAATATAAAGCTCAATATATATGTCACATCATACAAGTATATTTTTTGGTGTAATCTATGGGTGGTCTGTTTCTGTCACAGTGCTTTGGGGTGGACATGATAGACACACATGTCATTACGGTGGCACTGCCACGGCACACCCCTTCTGTCTTAAGATTGATGGTCTCTGGTTTTCAGTGGCAATGTTTCTCTTAAGTGCCGTGGCTGTCATCACTCACCCTCTGTCCACTTTTCACATTACCTTCTTCACAGCCTGACAAGTTATCTGAACAATTAACTGGCCTTAAGGAAAGTTTCAACCTCTGTATGTTCAGAATGAGGGACCTGCTTGCCTGTAAACATTTATTTTGCTTCCTATTTTTGTTTTTACTCTTTTCCCCAGTAGTCCAATTTTTCTAAATAAGAAGCAGATGAAGAGCAGCCCATTGGTTCCTCCAATCTCTTGTCCTCAGATGAAGGTTTCTGGGTTCCCATATAGAAATTTTAAGTGTTTGGGGCTGGCTCAACAGCTTTCCCTTTGGACCCTGTTGTAAACATCGACCACTTTTGATTTATGAGAATCCCAGCCAGGAACAGAGGGCAGCTTTTAAATTGCTAATTTGTATCCATGTTTGCCTGTGAGTATGGATAGTCTAGCAGGCAGCGTGAAGCGCTGGCTCCCGGTCATTTGTCCTGTTGTCCCAGGACAGATCTGAAGAACCAAGTGAAGACTACTTGGCACCAGCCATGGGTAGGTAGGTAATGTGTATGGTAATGTGTATGGTAATGTGTATGGAAGAAATGCTGGGGCCCTTGTAGGCAGGTGGGACCCAGGTGTCACTTGAGGTGGTGGCTGACCTTGCAGGCAGTACTGTCACCTCTGGGAGATCATCCCAGCTTTGCACATCCACAAATCATTCTTGACGGAACTCAAGAGGTCTGACTCACAATGACCAAACTCCCATGTGACAGACACCTAAACCAGACTCATCACTGTCATATATGCATCATTTCCCTATCACCATCCATGAGCTGACTCGATTTCCCTCAGTTTTCTTTAAAGAAAGAATTTCAGTGTTAGATGTTTGGCCCACCAAACCTTACTGAGCGTTTTGGAACTTTTTTTAGGAGTGATCATCAGTTGGGTTGATTGCCCCGGTTTAGTTCTCAGAGAGTGACTTTATTCCCTCATGTGTGGAGAAGATGTACTTTCTCTCTCTAACCCATGCATGGATGATGAATGATAGCTCAAAGCGTTTGTAGTAGAGAACAAAGGAAATCAGGACATCAAATTCCCACCTAAGTATCAAATATTAGAATTGCATTTTCCCATAGTAAAATATTTTGCTGTGTCAGACCAGATCAGGTGCCTGAGACCTTTTGAGTGAACAAAGAAATGAGTGGCCTTTATTTTTGTTAGTAAGAAAGCATGTGATCGCTCTTTTCAGTAAACAAACTTTGCAAAAATATTGAAAAGAGACTTTTTTAAGCCACAAGGGCTATAGCTCATATTGTAAACGTATTATAACTTTGCAGAGCTTGACTTTCCTCTCAAAGCTCCTTGAAGCTTTTTTAAGAAGGGTTTTTCGTCTGTATCACATTTGCTTGGATATCTAAGAAGGTTATTTATTTCACTAGGTAAATTGAGAGCACTGAGCTGGGAATCTGATAATCCCAGGTGAAAGCTGCACTCTGCCGTGTGAATTTAGGAACTGAGCTGTGTAAGCCTCAGTTTGACGTCTGTTAGATACAGACCACCAAGATCCTACTGTTGTTTTAGGAATTAAATACAAAAATCCATAAAACCATTTACTACAGAGTCTAAGGCATAGGAAATATCCCACAAAGGTTAGCTGGTGCTGCTGTTATAAATTCAACCATTATTTTTGACCTCCTGGTATATAACAAGCATTGAACAACACACTGGGGACACGGTAGGGAACAGGGGGGAAACAGCCCTTGACCTCAAAGAGCTTGCAGGCTAGTGGAGCTGTGAGATGCCAAAGAGATGATCTTACAAATAATGGATTATGCTGTTACGTGCACTGGAAGTGCTTACGGGCATGGGCAATGAGGGAAAGAAAGGTGTCTTGGTGTGGCAGCCAGGGAAGGCCCACAGGCTAGAAGTACTGTCACCTGTGGGAGTCAGCCAGGTGCAGAGAGGAGGAAGAGTTTCAGGCCAAGCAAGCAGTGCAAGTAAAGGCCCAGGTGGGTGAGGAGCTTGTGGCATGGAGGCTCTGGCCGAATGCCAGGGCATGGGCTGAGAGAGTAATAAAAAAGGGAGACCAAGGGGCTACCAAAGACCAGACTAGATCTGGCCAGGTTTCAGACGCCACCCTGCACCAGGGGAAGCCACTGAAGGTTGGTAAGTAGGGCATGGATGGATTGAAATGGGTGTTTTAAGAATGGCTTCCTGAATGAAACAAAAAGTATCAAGAGCAGAGGTCGGAGGCCACTGGGAGACCATTACACTGGTGGGGCGTGTGGGGCACGGGTGGGGCGTGTGGGGCACGGAGGCAGTGGGGATGAGTGAGGTGGAGGAATTTAAGAAATAATTAGGGAAAAATCCTGAATCCAGAGACATTTAGATGCAGGTGAAAGTGATAGTCTAGAAAACTGTGAGATGACTCAGACTCTAATGAGGACAAAGACAGATTGCAAATAAAAGTGTTTTTGTAAGATATGAGAGTGCAGAAAGCAATCTGAATAAACTTATGCTTACATTATTTTAAATGTGTGCCTGAATTGGCCAATTAAATATTGTCAGTAGACAGTGGATTGTTCCCCACTGTGTCCCTAGCATATTATTCTATGCTTGATATATAGCAGGAGGTGAAAATTGAATATAAATATAGGGACACAGATATAAAATGGCCAAAAATCCTTTTGGTATCTTCTCATTGTGAAAATTGAGAGGCCAATTCTATTTGAGGTTGCCAAATAGAGTAGGCACCTATCTTACTAGTTATTTCCAGGCATGGTGCCTGTAAAGACACCACCGTTGTCCAGAAATCCATGACCTCTGGTTAGGAACTCACCTGCTTCTAAGTGCCTGGAGTCATTTGCGCTGCTGAGCCTTTCCTGAGCCCTTGGCAAGGCTGACTGGTTTTATAATTCTAACCTCTGCTTTTATATATTCTTATCTTTATCTTTGTTCTTACCTCTATAAAATGAGGATGGTTATATTTCCTTGCCCATCTCCACGGTTGATGGATGCAAGTTATTTCATGAAGCGATTGTAGTATTTTATCTGCGATGTAAATTTTTATGCGATTGTGTGACAGGTCATATTTCCCCATTTTCCTTTATAGTTGTGGATAGAGTTTTATTTAAAGAGTCAATAAAATGTTTTTCTTTTAAATACAGCGTAGAAATGCATGACCACTTTCGTGCACCTGAGAAAGTTGGTGAAAAGAATAGATTATCACATGCTTGAGAAGTTCCTCTTTGTTCTAAGTTGTATTGAGTCAGATCGAGTTCCTTTGCTAAACTCAGTGCAATTCCTGCATTCTCTCAGCAGCGAAGAGGCCATCTCAATACAAATGGAACATTTTGATCGCAGAACAGAAGACCATGTGCACGTTCCAGGGCTACTTAGGTGTTTTGGTGAGGATTGGGCATACCTGGTGTCTGGGCTTTAGGACATCACTGCCTGACATCATTCCTTCCCGGTACTGTCTTTGGAGGGTAACTGTGTGTGTCATTGTGTTTTGCAGAGCACATGTAGGGTTAGGTGGTTGCTGTCAAGTGAAAGGGAATCCAGGCTGGCAGTACACATACAGGTGGTGTCAGTGTTCAGGGAGGAAGGGGCTGAGAGTGGGCACTGCAGGCCTTATGCAGGATGCAGAAGTGGACTGGGGAGCCCCCAGGTGGCCAGTGGGTGGGCTACTGCTAAGAGTGGATGGTCAAATGCTCTGCAAAATATGAAAAGCTGCAAAACCACAGAAGTCCCTCCATCATCATCATCATCATCATCATTATTATTATTATTCCCATCCAAAGGTGCAGGAACAGTATTTCTTAGGAATATATATGCAATATAGTACTTAAAGAACCAGCCTTTGCAATGTTGGTGTTAATATAAAAGAGATTTCTGGATAAACCTACTATCTCCCCATCCTCTAGGGCTCCTATCTCATCTGTCTCCATTCTTTTGAAGCCCTCCAGAGTGATTCAGGGAAAATTTTCTCCAGTTCCTCTGCTTTTTAGTTGGTATAGTCTCTGCTTCTCTGCACTGGGCTATTGTCCAGATAAATGAAGTAGACTCCTGGATTTGTAGACTTTCTAAGTGGAAGTAGATGGAAGTGAGGATGTCTGCTGGAAGGTAAGCTCCTGAAGGCCCCAGGGCTGAATCCCCACCTCCCAGACCAGAGTCTGACACACAGCGACGGCTCAAGGTAGTAGAACCTCTATCAATGCAGAGGGAATGAAGGGACCTCAGAGATCACTGTGGCCACGTCACCCATTTTACAGATGGAGACTGGAAGAGCAGGGAGGTTTAGACACTTGCCCAAGATCCCGTAGTTGTTGGTAGAGTTAGAAACTAAAACAAAGGGTCCAGGTCATAAACCCAGAGTTGTTTCCTAATACATTGGCCTTCTACTGTTACAGAGCCATAGGACTCTGCATTCATGTTTACCCATTCATTCACAAACTAAGCGTTCATTCATACAATGTGATTGGTAGATCTTAGACCAATGGCTTTCGTTCTGCTTGGACATTAGAATCACCTGGAGCAAAAACCAAAGTTGCCAGGTAGGGGGGTGATTTGATTTACTTTTACCTGGACATAAGTATTTTTCTTAAGTGTCCCAGGTGATCTGCAGAAGCAACAGGGTTGAGCACCACCGTGGCAGACTTGGCTGGTCCTAACTACCAGCCGTGGTGGGCGAGTGAAGATATTCCTTTGGCTGGGTGGTAAGTGCCCTGACGAGATGCCCATGGGCACCCACCTCCTTCCCTGCACCGTTCCTGATGCCGAAGGCCCTTGGACAGCCTGCACTAGCTGGATCTGGCTCCGGTAGAGGCGAGGGAAGGATAACACCATAATGACCAGGCGTGTGCCTCGGCTGTCTGCTGCCTCTGTGCAGACATCTCTGAGACTAGCTGCAATGGGGCCAGTTAGCTTTGCCATCCCCCCTTCAGAGTATCATTCAGTTGTCCTGGAGACAACCCTCATGGAGCCAGGTGCTTTGTTGGGGATTCAAAGAAAGGTAAGACGAAGTCCCCATCAGGAGGGACCCTCCGTGGGCAGGAGGAAGTGTGTTTTGATATTAGTATAAAGCGAGGTTGTACTATTTTGTTTAATGCTAGGATTTAAAAATCAGTTTTCCTGGAAACCTTTGCTGTTTGCTTTTTACAAAATTTAATAGTATGGCCATGATGACATCATCAATGTTTAAACTGCCTTATTGGACCCTCCTAGTCCTCCTGCCATGAAGGGGCTGCGTTCTAAGGGTGAGTGTGTGAGGTGGAGCCGTGGGGAGGAAGCTGGGACTGAATGCGAACGAGAGCTGGACTCGGGACACCATCTGAGATTGCCACACACCTGAGGCTTCTTTTTGAGGTACAAAAGGAGCAGTTTCTTACTTCCCAAAGTAAGTCAAAACCTGAGTCTGTTCAGTTCTCAGGCCTCACAAACTTTCATTGAGTGTAGCAAAAGGAAGACAGGAAGAAACCTGTACTTATCACCACCTGACATCAGCCTGAGTGCCAGCTGGCCGGCGACACCACTGGGAGCTGGGACTGCTAGTGTGGAACCCACAGAGGGTGGCATTGCAGGACAAGTCAGCAGATGGGCTCACGACAGGAATGCCCCAAAGCTGTCCAAGCTGACCCCACTTCGGGTGCAGGAAAGCCGTGCTCCGAGGGTGGCCCCTGTCCAAATGCCACCGGGGGCTGGTGACCGGGGCGAACTATGGCCAGAACATGAGACTTCTGTGGTTTGTAAAGGGGGACTGATGTCAGGGAAGAGAGATGGTGCCCTAATTGTCTTAATTATGGTTTATGTCAAGAGAGATGACGTTTTAATGGTTCTAATGACAGTTCCAGGCTGTCAGTACACTCTTAAGTCCTATTGTCTTGAAGCAATTTCTGAACAGGTGAAGAAACCCCTGCAAAACAGAGGGGCCTCCCCAGCGATGGCGACTGTTGCACAGTTCAGAGGAGGCCTGGGAGCATGTGAGCAGAGCGGTCAGTGGCCTTTGTCCTCACTACGGTGGTGGCTCCATGGATGCTCTGGATCCTAGGGAAGGAAGGAAGGAAGAACAGCAGTTCAGGAGGGCCAAGGAAAGGGCCTCCCGCCTGGACCGGGTGTGGAATTGACGCTGAGTAACACACCTGTGCAGGTGGACTCTGTGAGCAAGGCAAGAGGAGATGAGGAGAGCATCCGCAGGGGAAGAGGCCAAGACTGCATCCTGAGAAGGAAGTGTTGTCAGTTGCTCTTGCTGGGGTGAAGCTGACCAGACCGCAGGTTCTTCCTGGAGCCAGTGACAATGCCGACAGCTGACACAGAGGGAGCACATGACTTGCGCTTGGCATTTTCACCTGCATTATCTTGTTTATTCCTCACATCAACCCTATAAGGTATGTGCCATTACTGTCCTTGTCTTCCAGCCAAGGAAACTGAGGCACAGCCCTATCAAATGACTCCCACCAGGTCACGCAGCTGATAGGTGCCAGAGCTGGCTGCAGACCCAGGGAGGCTGCCTGCAGACCCCAAGCTACAAACCTGTTCTAATGGCTGAGAGCTGAACACACCTCCGGAGCCTCCCAAGGGAAAGGAAGGGATGAGCTGGGAAGATGGACAGTGCTGCCCAGGAGGGGACTGGGGAAGGGTAGCAGAGGGGCCATAGGACCTTGGAGGATGGCCACTGAATGGCTCTGACTGAAGATAGCACTGGGCTGGGTGAGCCGGCAGAGACATAGCGCCCTGGAAGTCTGGCCTTCAGCATCCTGTGCTGTAATTGCTCAACTCCAGGTACAGGATGGGGCATGGCAGGCCTGCCAGTGAAGAGAAACGGGGAGGGCTTAGGGCTCACCTCACTCATCCTTGAGGCTTCTCTCATGGAGCCTGTGCCAGCTCAGGCCAGGCAAGAACCGCATCTCATTCCCTGCTTATCCCAGGCTCTGCCCTGGTCCCTACAAGCCCTCTGGGAGGAAGAGTGGGACAGTATGAGGAGGAGAGCAGAAGCCCTCCCCCCACCCAACCCACAAAGATCTGCTCAAGCAAAGTGAGTCCAGGAGCTGTCAGAGGAGCAGGGTTTTCTCTGGGGGGTGGGTGTTCCCCCTCTTAGCCCAAGCTCTGCCACACGAGAAGCAGATGTCTTGTTCTAATCTTCAAGTGGGATGATTCGTGGACACTGCCATTAGCTAGTTTTCTTAACATGAAGAGACAGCTGCTTAGTGGCTATTTCTATGTGGGCTGAGCTCATTCAGTAGAGCAGCTTTCCCCTCTGGAGAACAAGAGAATGATAAGCGAGCATAAATCATGCTAAAAGGAACGACTCCTCATCATGAGTCATTAGGACACATGCCACATTGGCGAGCAGATGAAAAACCTTTGATGAAGACCAGTTGTAAAAGCACAAGCTAATGCTGGAGAAATGCATCATGGTGACTTGAAAGTGTAATATATGCATGCTCACGCTTTCGGTCTTAAAAAAAAAAATTGCAGTAAATGTCAAGAGTGGTCAGAAACCATTTCCTGTGCTGGACCCTGCAGGGAGAGGTTCAGGGAAGGGTGGGTTTGGAAGAATACTTCAAATCAGTGAGTGCTAAGCATATTTTGGCACAGTCCTTCTGGAATGGCATCAGGAATGTGAACCACAGTCCTAAACAGGTATGTCCTGTTATGTGACAGTAGCTATAATAGAACGTCACTTCAGGGTTTCGAGAGCACATATCAGAGCATGGTTGAAAAATCATCCAGAGAAATTCCAAAGAAGACCATGAAGTTGCAAGTGCCACCTTTGTCCCTTTCTACAAGGAGCAGGAGGCAGTATGCCAGGGCTAAGGCATCAGCTCTGCACCCAGGCAACCTGCTCAGTGTCCCTGTTCTACCACTTCATAGCTGTGTGACTGTGGTGGTTAATTTAGGTGTCAACTTGACTGGGTTAACAGACACCGAGAAAGCGGGTAAAGCATTATGTATGGATGTATCCATGAGGAGGGTGTTTCTGGAAGAGATCAGCATTTGAATTGGTGAACTGAGTAAGAAAGATCCCCCGTAACCCAATGTGGGTGGGCACCATCCAGTCAGTTGAGGGCCTGGATAGAACAAAAATAGAGGAAAAGTGAATTTGCCCACTTTCTCTTCTGGAGCTGGGACACTCATCTTCTCCTGCCCTTGGTTGAACATCAGAACTCCAGGTCTCCAGCCTTTAGACTCTGGCCTCCCAGGTCCTCAGACCTTTGGCCTTAGACAGAGTTACATCATCAGCTCCCTTGGTGTTCGGGCCTTTGAACTTGGACTGAGATATGCCACCAACTTCCCCAGTTTTCCAGCTTGCAGACAGCGTATCATGGGCCTTCTTATTCTTCATAACTGCATGAGCCAATTCCCATAATTAATCCTCTCCCATCCATCCATCCATCCCATCCATTCCATCCATCTATCTAATCCATTCTCCAATACATCCATCCCATCCATCAGTCCAATCCATCCATCTAATCCATCCATCCATCTAATCCATCCATCTCATCCATCCCATCCATTGAGTCCATCCATCATCCATCCATCCCATCCATCCACCCATCCATCCTGTCCATCCATCCATCCATCCCATCCATCCATCCAATCCATCCCATCCATCTAATCCATTCATCCCATCCATCATCCATCTCATCCATCCATCCAATCTATCCATCCCACCCAATCCATCCATCCATTTATCCATCCCATCCATCCATCAATCCTGTTCATCCAACCATCTATCCATTCTATCCATCCCATCATCCCATCCATCCATCCTATCCATCCCATCCATCCATCCTATCCATCCCATCCATCCATTGCATCCATCCCATCCATCCATCTGTCCTATCCATCCCACCCATTCATCCATCTATCCTATCCATCCCATCAATTCATGTATCCATCCCATCCATCCATCCAATCCATTCATCCCATCATCCCATCCATCCATCCAATCTATCCATCATATCCATCCATCCCATCCTATCCATCCATCCTATCCATCCATCCCATCCATCCTCTCCATCCCATCCATCCATCCTTCCTATCCATCCCATCCATCCCATCATCCCATCCATTCATCTATCCATGCATCCATCCATCCTATCCATCCTGTCCGTTCATCCATCCATCCCATCCATCCCACCCATCTATCCTATCCATCCATCTATCCATCCTGTCCATCCCATCCATTCATCCCATCCATCGCATCGATTCCATCTGTCCATCCCATCCATCCCATCCATCCATCCATCTATCCTATTGGTTCTGTTTCTCTGGAGAATTTTGACCAAGACAGTGACCTTGGGCAAGTTCTTTAACTTCTTTAAGCCTGCTTCCTCATCTAAATAAAGAATAATAACATGCTACCCACTCTCTGGACAGGTTTCTTTGATTGCAGGCAAGACAAATGCACACTGCTGACTTAAGCAGAGAGGAAATGTTTAGGAAGGAACTGGAGGAAAGCACAACGAACCAGGTCTCAGAAAGGTCGAGGACCAGACCACTTGGGGATCTTGGAAAAAGAACCGATGGACACGCTCAGCAGGGTCTGCCAAGGACTGTCCTTGTGTCATCTGGTCATGTTCCTACCCCTTGGCCAGAGGAGAACAAGCCACTTTGATGTGAGCCAGTGAGAGAGGCAGAGTTTCTATTCCCAGAAGAAAGAAGCAAGAATCTTATGGGGATTGATTAACATCATGTGTGTCAAGTTCTTAGCACCATGCCTAGTACATCATAAGAGCTGAAAAATCAGCCGTTGCATATTAACAATTATAAATTGGAATGGCTGATAGCAGATCAATAATGTAAACTATTCCAAATAAAAAGCTAATGATGCATACACATAAATGAGTGTAATAAAAATTAGAAATACGAATAAGATTGTTGGACTGTATCAGTGTCAATATCCTGGTTGTGAAATTACACTAGAGGCTTGCAAAATCTTTCCACTGGAGGAAATTGGGCAAGGTGGACAGAGATTTTCCCTGTATTATTTCTTAATAAACACATGTGAATCTACAATGGTCTCAACAAAAATTTCGGTTAACAATGTAAAGCTAATGATGGCTTCAGAATCCCAAGAAGTGTTTTGTCCCCATTGCGGTTCCTTGTTTTAATTCCCCAAGCCACAAAAAAATAATCAGAAAAATGTTGTTTACATGTAAGAGTCTTGATGGATTAAAAATTATTTTTAAAGGCTTGAGAGAAACTTAAGATACGATAAACGAGCAGGGCCAGGTCAGAATATTCCCTGCCTAAAAATGTTCATTATTAGGCATATGGTAAACTTGACTACACACACACACGCTCACACACTCCTTCCCTCCCAATAAACATGTGAACAAAATGTCAGCCTGGTTTGTCCCCAGTGGTTTATCTTAGAGAGCACTGTTTGTTCTCAAATCTTATCTATAAATGTTAGTTTATTTAAGTAAAGGTGGGCCCCAGTGAGTGTCAGCTCTGGAGGGATATTTGTTGGGTTTATTGAGTCCTTGAGTCCCTGTTTATATACTCTGGGATTATGCTGGGGGAAGAAACCTCATGCGAGGACTTTGAAGGGCCTTGCGGTCGGTATGCCCTGGCTTGCAGCTTTCTGTGGTAGTCCCGGATGGGTTGGAGTCTTGCTTTGGTGGAAGGGGAATCTAGCCATGCACCAGATTTTTGCTTACTCCTTTTCTTTCCCCTTTCTTTTTCTTCTAGCCAGTGTTTATCAGTGGCCTACTTATTGTGTATGAGTCCCTGTGCTAAGTAGTGAGGATACTAAGACCCAGTTCTCCCTTTAAGGAATTTGCAGCTTGACAGAGGACCATGGTGTGTGCTCCAATAATGAGCAGTCAGGGAAGTGGGTCTGTATGTCTTATGCATGTAACAAAGTGCTAGATGAACTCAAGAAAAGAAGAAAAGCAAATTCAGCCATGAATTCTAAATCAGAATTCCTGCAATTTAAATTACATTGCAGGCAAGGGCTGCATGTTGGTGTCAGTTTTCTTTTTGTTTTTCTTTTTTTTGAGACGGAGTCTGGCAGACTGGAGTGCAGTGGCGTGATCTCGGCTCACTGCAAGCTCCGCCTCCCGGGTTGACGCCATTCTCCTGCCTCAGCCTCCCAAGTAGCTGAGACTACAGGCACAGGCGCCCGCCACCACACGCGGCTAATTTTTTGTATTTTTACTAGAGACGGGTTTCACGGTGTTAGCCAGGATGGTCTTGATCTCCTGACCTCGTGATCCTCCCGCCTCGGCCTCCCGAAGTGCTGGGATTACAGGCATGAGCCATGGCGCCCCGCCTGGTGTTGGTTTTCTAAGGCACTTTGGCTAATTTGTAAGGCGTCTGCTTCCCCTCACAGACATAAATGCACTCCCCATCACCACCAACCCCCACCTAGACTGCCCTCTTTGTGGTCTAGAGGTAGTGGAGAGTAGAGTGTTTGCATTGGATTCTATTGGCCATTAGCTGTGTGGCTACATTTTAGTAGGGGAAATTGATTACAGAATAAAAAATATCTTCCAGAGTTAATTAGAAAGAGAGGATGAGAACATTTTAGCCTAGAGGAGGCAAGACTTAGGAGAAACATAAGCTGTGTGGCCTCAGGTAGAGTACTTAATTTCTCTGTGCCTCAGTTTCCTCCAACTGTAAAGTAAGGATAATAATTTTACTCTATAGTTGGTTCTGGAAATGAAATAGGTAAATACTTGCGAAGGCCAGACATGGTGGCTCATGCCTGTAATCCCAGCACTTCAGGAGGCCGAACGGGGCAGATCACTTGAGGTCAGGAGTTCGAGACCAGCCTGACCAACATCATGAAAACCCATCTCTACTAAAAATACAAAAATTAGCCAGGTACGATGGCGCCTGTCTGTAGTCCCAGCTACTCGGGAGGCTGAGGCAGGAGAATCACTTGAACCCAGGAGGCGGAGGTTACAGTGAGCCAAGGTCGCACCACTGCACTTCAGCCTGGGCGACAGAGACTCTGTCTCAAAATAAATAAATAAATAAATAAATAAATAAATAAATAAATACATACATACATACATACATACATACATACATACATACCTGTGAGGCTCCTAAAACAATACCTAGCTCATGGTATGCATTCGATAATTGTCAAGAGTACTGAAATGTGTTTGCTTGTTGATGAACCTGTCACATGGCAGAGACATCTGTTTGGCCACCAAGGACGAGAACAGACCAGTGAGAAGCCAAAGCAGCACAATCAGCTCTAAAACAAAAGTCACGTTGCCTCGAGGGGTGGCAAGGCCTGTGTTTGGGAGGGCCCAGCCATGACTTAGTGGCAGTTGTGTGTCCTGGTTGAGAGTCAGAAGCCTAAGGAGAGACAAAAATGGTTGTTTGTTATATGCCAGGCTCTGTGCTAAGTGCTCTCATATCAGGGGCGGGGGCCTTGCAAGTTTTGCTCATTTCCGAGTTCATTTGTTCATTCCGAGTACCTAGACAAATTCCTGACATGTGAAGTCGGCATCACCCTGGAAAGAATACGTGAATTATGGCCTTTAATTCTTCCCACTACCCAGTGATGCATAGGGGGTATGACTGCCACACTCAATCTGCAGATGAGGACACTGAGGCCTAGAGAAGGAAGTCATGTCACCCGAGTAATTTCAGCAATGAGCTGTGCCACCAGCAGGTGCAGGGCCAGAGACTTGAACCCACATCTGATACCTTCTCCAGCAATCTTCCAACAGCACTACTGCCTTCACGGCCCACAGACACCATTCTGATTCTCCAGTCTTTGGTTTGAAGAAATTACGAAATTCAAAGAGCATCTTACTCCGTCATTGGCTCGTGGAGCCACAGGATCCCAGGAGGCAGGCTTTGTTTTTATTTCTTGGCGTTTTAGTGAGTGGCTTGACAGAGGAGGAGGTGAAGTTATGGCCACTGTGTGCTGACTGTATTATCTGTTTGTTGCCACCATGCTGATTTGAGAGGTATTTTTAGAGTCATACGTTCATTATTCATGGCTGACATTTTTACTATTACCAAAAACTAGATAACAGCGAAGAATTCCTGGTTGGTGACTTAGTCTCAAGATTGACGCCAAGCCCTGTTTTAAATGATTCACTCTTTTCTTTGGCTGTGGAATGCCATCGGGTCCTTATGACTCAGGGCCAGAAAGCACATGAGTTTCTCAGGACTGAGCCGGGCGCTGGGATTGCCCATACGTCACAGATGGCAGGCTCTCTCCTAAATATCTAACAATAATTGTTGAGTGGACAAGGGTTTCCAAGTTCCTGCTACTACTGTGATACATGAGTGAAATTTGGTTAGTGGCTCTGTTGCTGGGAAGTTTGCCTCGTTGCTGGTTTTGTTGACATTGCACTTGAGTGGAATCGAAACTATTTTGTCTAGGAAAAGGGTGAGAAGAGTTAATATTATACATAAACATTTTATGCAGTGATATTTTCAGACTCTCTCTAAAGGCAGCAATGTTTAAGTAAAGGACGCATTTGATTCTCCTTCAATTTTCTAGCAATGGCCTTCATGTTTTAGCAAAGTTGATTTGAGATAGATACACTAAGGTTGACATGGAAAGGATTTTCTTAGAAACCACTCTCAGATACTTTACAGGATAATTGGAATTATTTTCCAACAAGAAGTAATTTTATACAATTTTGAAACCATTTGTATTTAAATAACAAGTTACATTTCTTCTTTTAGAGAAATAAAAGTTTAAGCAACTTTTGGGCTGAAACTATGGGGTTTGCTAGAAATAGATATAGAATCATGTTGTCTGCTAACGGGAATAGTTTGATTTCTGCTCTTCGTATTTGGATGCCCTTTAATACTTTCTCTTGCCTGATTGCCCTGCCCAGAACTTCCAATACTATGCTGAATAGGAGTGGTGAGAGAGGGCATCCTTGTCTTGTGCTAGTTTTCAAAGGGAATGCTTCCAGCTTTTGCCCATTCATTATGTTGGCTGTGGGTTTGTCATAGATGGCTCTTATTATTTTGAGGTGTGTTCCTTCAATACCTAGTTTATTGAAAGTTTTTAACATGAGGGGGTGTTGAATTTTATCAAAAGCCTTTTCTGCGTCTTTTGAAATGATCATGTGGTTTTTGTCCTCAGTTCTGTTTATGTGATGAATCACATCTATTGTTTTGCATATGTTGAACCAACTTTGCATCCCAGGGATGAAGCCTACTTGATTGTGGTGGATAAGCTTTTCAATGTGCTGCTGGATTCTGTTTGCCAGTATTTTCTTGAGGATTTTTGCATTGATGTTCATCAAGGATAT
This sequence comes from Homo sapiens, assembly GCF_000001405.40. Classification (NCBI taxonomy): domain Eukaryota; kingdom Metazoa; phylum Chordata; class Mammalia; order Primates; family Hominidae; genus Homo; species Homo sapiens. The sequence goes on along the minus strand of NC_000010.11, from coordinate 126,246,450 downwards.
TGGCCTGAAGTTTTCTTTTTTTGTTGTGTCTCTGCCAGGTTTTGGTATATACCTTGTGGATGGCTGGATATTCGCAGTTTACCTTAGGTTGTCTATGGCTATTTTCCTGAGGATAAAACTATAAAATCTGGGGCATTTTACAACAGGTTCAAAATAAATTGGAGAGTCAAGTAATTACTCATAACTTTACATCCACAGATCAATATCTCAGTCTTTTCATCCTTCTCCCAGTTTCTGAGAAAGAGGGTTATCTTTTTGTCCCCAAAGCCATTTGTTCACCTGTATCTTAGGCCCTATTTATTCCTGCCTTTCTCCTCCAGAATGCAAGGGTTTTGTGTCCCTCATTATTTTCTTTGTCTTTACCATTTTTCCTAGGCCCTTCCCTGTGTACTCCTTCCTTTCCACCTCTCAATATGCTCTGATGTCTCCACCATTTTTTAAAAGGTCAATCCAACTATTTTCTCTGTCTTTCTAGCTATCTGTTCATCCATCCATTCCCAGTCAAATTTTCTCCTTTATCTTGCAGCCAAACCGTACACACCTGTAGGCTCTGCTACCCTCTCACTTCTTCATCCATTCCTCTCTCCTGTCACCCCATCCTCTCCGTGACCTTTGCTTTCAGACAACCCAAAGAAAGGGCCACTTTCTTGCCAAATCCAATGCTTTCTTCTCAATCTACTTCCTCCTTGTCATCTGACGCTGCCGTTCATGCTCCCCTTGAGGAGCCCCCTGCCCTGACTCCCATGATAACTTTTTCCTGGTGCTCCCAACCTCTCCAATGGCAAATCCCCTTCACTGCCTTTCCTTCCTCCTAAGTGTGGGTGGATGCCAGGGTGCCTGGTCCTTGGCCCTGGGGTCTGGATTCTTTAGGCTTCCTCTGGGACCTATCTCCCACTCCCATTGATTCCAAAGGCAGTGCCTCTAGCCCCGACCTCCTGCCCACTGCCCAGTCCTTCAGGATGGTCCCCCTATCTTCTAAAGCCATCCTCTCCAACTGGGAGCTCCTGGTGTCCCCCATGCCTCCATAGTGGGCTGCAGTTCCCAATTGTGCGCATTCCTTTCTCAAGCTGGCAGGACTCTCTCCTTTCACCATCTAGGTTTAGTCTAAGTTCCATGTTCTTCAGCGTCTCTGGGGGATGTGTCCTTCCTCTTCCTTGCCTGGCTGCAGGTTCACGTCAGGTCCCACCTGGATTATTTGTCTCCTCAATGACCTTTCAGAAACACCCTGCCACCAGTTTGTCTTACAGAGACAAGTGCCCTTTCCAAAGCACAGACTGGAGCATGCCAATGTGATGCTCACTCTCCCTTGAGGGTTCCCCGAGGCTGGCGAGGGGATGTCCTGGTGCCTTCAGGTGACTCCAACATCTCTGTGTCATGCCCCAGCCTTGCTGTTTGCATTTGCTCCTGCTTACCATCTTCCTTCTCCTTGGTGCAAGCCCCTCCCCTGATCATGTACCCTACTCCCCATCTTCAAACATAGCTGGATGTTGACATCTCTATGTCTTGGCTTCTCCTGTTCTCTTGTGTGGAATGCCATTTTCTCCTTTGCTTGGTGAATGTCTACTCATTTGCTAATGTACAACTCCAATATCATCTTCTCTTAAAGCTTTTGCTGTTCAATTTCTAGTCCCCCATTCCTGTCCCCACTCAAGTAGCATTTTCCTTCCTCTTTCATTCCATACAACTTTACATCTCTCTTTATCATAGCATGTACACTTTATTAGATCTATTAATAGGTCTGCTTATACTAATGGTGCATGAGCTCCCTGAGATATGACATTTAGTGTCCTCTCTCTGTCTCCCCAGCACCACACCTGTGAATTAATAGCTGTCAGTATATACTGATTGAATTAGATTTTAAGTGACACTTTCCTGCTGAAGGAAGAGGATACGATCTTGTTAATTGGCATCTCTAGTCTAAACTTCCCACCATGTCTACCATGATCCCCCAACAGTCAGTCAGTCAGTCAGAGTTTTCTGGAAATGCCTAAACCCCATTCTCACATTTCTCATCCTGAGCCCTCCCTTCTCTGCTGCTCCAGAGTCTGTCTCCCCTTTCTCACCATCTGTACCTTCTCCTCTCTTCCATGCAGGCTGTGGTTGCCTTCAAATACCGGCAGTGCACTGTGTGGTCACGGACCCAAGCATGAACCCTCGGCTGGTTTTCCCCGATTGTCTGATCTCTCAGAGTTCTGTATGAGCCAGATGAAGGCAGAGGCTGGCCATTCGCTTCCTTTGAATACAACTCATGTTGGATTCATACTTTGCCCATAGTTGTACATCAGAAACTTGATGAGTTGTTTAGATATCTTAGATTTCATTGCCAAGTATTCAAGACCATCAAACCCACAGTTTTATGGCTAAATCCATGTGCTCTAATCACAGAGTTGCCAAAACATGAGTAGGCAGTCTGGAAATGACTAGAATTTGAGAAACAGAAACCTTTCTCCCCCAGTCTGATCCAGTTGGTGCAATGTCATCCCCCGGATTTTGATAGAGATGCAAATCTTTTCCGAACTGATTTATTCTAGAATTGTTAAAAGCGTATAGAGGACAGTCACTGAGGTTAAGCCTCACATTCCCCGTTGTCAATGTCTGTGCCATCCCACGACAATCAGAAGCCCTCCTACCTCTGAAAAATAGCCATGGTCTAGTTCCATTGTGAAAGACATCAGAAGCTGCTTCCATTTGGCTGGTTCTCTAAAATGTCTAGATAGTTGCGTATAAACACCTACAAAGCAGGGTATGCTGTCTCATTAGTATTCTACTCAGAAAGCAGCTATCTGCAAGAATACCACTTTTATCCCCCTAAAAGAAGTCAATAAAAATGTATTCACCCTGAAAGTGAAAAACACATCCCATAAGTGTTTTAACTTGTCCTGAATGGCCTACACACACACCCATAAGTGTTTTAACTTGTCCTGAATGACCTACACACACACACACACACACACACACACATACACTCACACACACAGAGTTGCTCCCCACTGGTCTACACAGAAGATAATGTTAGTCCCTGCCTCCTGGGGAACTGAGAGAATTAAGTAAGATGCATGAGAAGGCCTGAGAACAGAGTAAGAGATCAATAAAGGTTTGCTCTGGTTAAAATTACACACTCAAAATTGATATCCATAGTTATTATCAATTTCACTGTTATGCTGCCTAAACACCCAAGAGTCAGACATAAGACATCTGGCAAGGGCTGGCTGTTGGCATCAGCAACTTGGGGCAGGATCCTCAGGCTAAGGGTCCCCTGCAGCCAGGGCGGCCTCCATGCTGCCTGCTCAGCAGCTGCACGCCCAGGAACATGGTAACACTGGCCTGCTTCCAGCAACACGATGCAGCCATCACAGCTGCTCTGCACGCGCTGACAGGGTGAATGTGTCTAGAGGGAAAAAGAAAAAGGATGAAGTCATTGCTAGTTCCATATGGGTGGATGGGTGGCCACCCCTTGGGCTTGTATTCACATGTCTCTTGTGTCACAGCCTTGGCTAGATCATATCCCTTTCAGGGGACAGTTTTAATGCGGAGAATGGAAGAATCTCTTATACGAGATCATAAAAGTCCACAGCCCTTTGTGATGTCAAAACCAGACACTGGAAAGAGCCAGCAAGAGCTCTGTCTCACCATGTGAACCCAGAGCTGGGAGGCAGACCTGTGTCCACTTCTTTCTCCCCAGATGTGGACATCTTGAAATCCTGAGGAGCCTGGGACCCTGGCCATGGCTTTGTTTGTTATTTGTGTCAGAAACTCAGAGAGAGCACTTCCGTACCTATTCCAACTCAAATAAAGCACAATTGGTCTTCATTAAAAGGGTTTGCTCAGCCTGTGTCAGGGGCGTTGTGGAGGACCCACTGTGGACGGGCCAGGAGACGCCCACGCTCTGTGAAGTGCTGCCTTCGCACAATCTCATGGAAGGGAAGTAACCCTCAGACACCACCTCCCTACTCCTGTCTTGGGCCAGAATTGCTTACATGTTCTTAATTTTCCATCATTTTGCCTTGATTTTGAAAGTCTTTGGGGAATTTCAATGGAAAATGAGCAAGCCTGTTTAGTGTTTACTGCTGAACCATAAATACAATTCTATTCCCTGCTGGTAGAAAAGCCTTAGGAATAAACGTCTGATTTTACAAAATAGTAAGTTAGGAGTTCCTTAAAATGTCAAGGGGGTTTTAAAGTATGTTTTTACAACTTGACAGAGTCTGGGGAGAAAACAGTCTTAAAACTAAAGTGTTAGGATCTGCTGCCAACTGAAAATCAATCACAAATGAAGATAAATCACCCCTGAACATATAATATGGAACAATGGGAAAATATTATCAGAATTGTAAAAATTTGATTTGCATGCAATTTTTCAGAAACATAGCTTTGCAAGCATAAATTGAAACAAGCAGAGTGATTCATATAATGGGGGGAAAATCAGTCTAAGATTCCAAACATGTATGTCAGGAGATGATTATTTGATGTGTTAAAAAAAAAAAAAAAGCTCTGTTTTACAAAGTGTACCCCACTAGCTCTTTCTTTGCCATGGAGAATTCCAAATAGCATTTATAAAATGGACTAACTACAAATGTACTAATTTATAAAATATACTGTCAAGACCCTGTAAAGTATTGATAGCACTATTAATAACACCATTTATTAAGCATCTGCTGCTTATATTTATCCCATGCACATGTCATTTCTAATACTTACAGTGATGTCCTTGCAAACATTCTTGTCCCCGTTTTATACGTGAGGACACTGTGCAGAGCATTCACACAGCTTGCTGCAGGCCACAAAGCTATTAAGTGGCAAATCAGCGTTCAGGCTCAGTTTGCCCTGGCCTTAAACACACCTGCTTTGTCATGGCCTCAACATGTCTTATAAACAGAAAATTGAACATTGGCCCAATAGAGGCATAAGGCTTGTTGGAAGGCAGAGACCTCATCCAGAGAGAAATTCTGCCAGTTTGAGCGCAAGTCAGGATTTCTGAGACTGAAGGAAACAATTTACTGAATGACATATTTTTTTAGAAGTCAATTTTATTTTTCTGGTTACGATTCTTCTAATTGAGATGTGATTCACATAACATAAAATTCACCATTTTAAAGGGTACAGTTTCAGTGGGTTCTGCTATATTCACAATGTTGTACAGCTGTCACCACTATCTAATTCCAGAACATTTCCATCCTCTCCAAAAACAACCCCCAAACCTGTTAAAGTCACTTCCTATTCTCCGTTTGCCCATCTCTCTGAAGCTTCTGGCAAATGCTCACCTTTAGGTCTCTATGGATTGGCCTATTTTAGACATCTGGTGTCCGTGCAGTTATATAGTACATGTCCCCTTGTGTCAGCTCCTTTCACTTAGCATGAGGTTTTCAGGTTCATCCATGTTGTTTGTAGCATGTACCAGAACTTCCTTGCTTTTTATGGCTGGAACACATTCCATTAAGACATTATGGACATGCCCCATTCATCTGTTACTGAATGACATTTCAATGACACTCTAGATTTTATTTCAAGGAGTTTGGCCTATGCCATAGCAAGCTACAGAAGGAAGGTCTTTCGCTGCAGGGTAGATACCTGATAGTGATACAGCAAAAAGTGGAGCTCCCGGGGGGCTCTGTGTTGTTCTCAGAAGGACCCGGCGTCTCCTGACTGTGACCTTCCAGGCCGGCGTGCCCTGCTATCGGCCTGCATCTCTGACCTCAGTCAGATCACTCTTTCACTGAGTTCCAGCTGCTGTTTGTTCAATTCTCAAGCACGTGGTCTCTTTCACCGCAGGATCACTTGTGTTCTGTTCTCTGCCTGGAAGTCTCTGCCTCCAGCTCCAGCCTGCCTGGTAGCTCCTTCTCAGCCTTCAGGTCTCAGCCCAGATACTCAGAGCACAGCTGACTGCCTGTGTGAAATAGGCCTGCCTAACCCTCAGTCTTTCCTAGCATTTTCTTTCTTTCCCTTTAAACTGCATCTCCTCATTTATGATTCTGCACTTGTCGTGTGTTTACTCGTTTTATGTAGGTCTCCTCCACTATGCTTAATGCCATTGACAGGGACTGATTCTGCTCCTGTTGCTTTGTCTCCAAGGCCCAGCTGAAGCACAGATTAGCACAGGTGCAACTTCTGTCACGCTCTTAGGGGCTGATGCCCCCCAGAGCATCGCCTGTGCCACAATGCCCAGAGCTTAATGAGTGCTGTGGAATGAATATTTTAAAGGGTGTGCCTGTCTTGGTTGTATAGTTCCCCTTCGGCTGGTGAAGAGTCCTCAGCTATGTACACACTGAGTGGGAGGCAAGGACAGTGCTCAGCCAGGTCTCTGCCCTCGGGCTGGTCATCACACAATGGATACAGCACTTCACTGCTGAGCACTGCGTGCACCAATGGGCAGTGTAGACGCAATGCTACAGCAAGCCAGGAGGGAGCTGAGTCGACTCCGGGCAGAGCAGGACAGATGTGCTGCCTGAGCTTGGCACGGAAGGATGGAGGAGGAGGGCAGGGGGCACGGCAGTGGACACCCAGTGATTGGGTGTAAGACCCCAGTTTGGAAGCCACACCAACCAGAGCTCACCTAGGACCTACTATATGGATTCCACCTGCCCATCATGGGGCAAGATGCTGGCCTTCCTTTAGAAAGGGGCCAAATTTCAATTCCCACCAGAAAATCAAGAATACATAATCAGATAGTTCTGAATGACGTGAATGGTTCTCTTTCAACCTCACAAGATTTTGAGAGTCTAATATTAGGATTTGTGATCAAAAAGTTGCAAACGTGCACTATGTCATAATTCCTTAGATCCGACAATAAAGGATTCTGTTGTAATTCTCCATCTTAAGATGATTTTTTTTTCTCTTGGAGGAAATAACGACCTAAATAAATGTCATGTGCTTGAATTTCTGAAAGGAAAATGTTACCCCATACCCATTTATTTTAGAAAGGTCGGATTTGTTCCCCTGTCAACAAAAGCTTTGAGCTGTACATTGGTCTAGACACCCCCAAGTACTCCAGAAAGTTGAGGGTTAAAAATCCAAGACAGATTTTATAAATGTAGGACTGACGAAATTTTCAACAAAAAATTCACTGTTATGTCATATCCTATAGGAAAGGCTTTATCCACACATGCCTTCTTGATATTCTATGCTATGGTTTCATCCAGTAGTACATTGGTTCTTATAGATACATGGAAACAATGAGGTTCTTTTTCCTATATAATTTTTATTTCTGTAGGTTACATATCCCACCTGTTATCTAGAAAACATTGTTCAGTTATATGTACATGTGGTGTTACTTGAATTAGTTCAGAATCAAAAGCTAATCTTTAACACTGGCATTATTGCTGGAAGTGGTTCTCCCTTACTGCATGCTAAAAAACTTGTTGACATCATTTTTACTTCTTAATTTTGGTTTATTTCAGCTCCCAAGATGCCTACTTAGTAGTCAATGTGATCAAACTCATAGAACCTGAGGCCTAACTATTTTAGTCCCTGAAACCTTCTCTCTTTTATCTCTTTCTCTATGAATAATTCATTTGTCTGCATTGCCTCTGAAGCAAATCCTCTTTATAAAAAAGAAAGACAGGGAAAAATGTAGCAGAGCAGAATGAGTGCCCATGAAATCTCAGGTTTACCCTCAGAAACAGGCTAAGATTTTGAGGGAGTTTCTGTTTCCTGTGACTTCTTAGCTGGCAGAGAACTATGGATTTATTTTATGAGCTGTTGCCTGGAAGAAGTAATGACATCAATATTTAAGCATAATATTGTACGTGTTCTTGGTCTGGGTATTACATTCCATGTTCTTGTGTTAATTTCTAGAATGGTCTATATGTTTTTTGACATACAACTTTTAAAAATAAATTTTATTTTGTATATTGAAAGTACGCAACATGCAGTTTTGGGATGCATATAGATAGTAAAATGGTTACACATAGGTTTAGAACTTGAACTCTCAGGATTTAATTAATTAATTAATTAAATTTTGTTTGTTTGTTTGTTTGAGATGGAGTTTTGCTCTTATCTCCCAGGCTGAGTACAATGGCACAATCTCGGCTCACTGCAATCTCCGCCTCCTGGGTTCAAGCGATTCTCCTGCCCCAGCCTGTCACTAGCTAGGATAACAGGTGTGCATCACCACGCCCGGCTAATTTTTGTATTTTTAGTAGAGATGGGGTTTCCCCATGTTGGCCAGGCTGGTCTTGAACTCCTCACCTCAGGTGATCCACCTGCCTTGGCCTCACAATGTGGTGAGATTACAGGCGTGAGCCACCCTGCCCGGCCAGGATTTAATTTAAAATACAATTGTAGGAAGCGTTTTGAAGGACCTTATTTTACGCAATGTATGTACTCCTAAAACAGAATGAAAGTTGCACTTTTACAAATAAAACCATTTTAATGATCTTTTTTTAAAGAAATGCTTTGGATAATATTTTGCGTAGCTAACAATTGTCGTTGCTTTGTTTTCTTCCGTACCATCGCAGGGCCAACACTTTCACCCATTCTTTTATCATTCATCCCTAAATTCAACAAACGGTGTGTCACTCCTGAGTTCAGTGCACTGTGCTGGGCACTGTTGAGAGCACAGAATGACACACCTTGATCTTTATGTCATCCTAGCTTGTCCCAAGCTCTTTATACCCCATCACTCTAGGGCTGGAGAGAGGATTTGCATTAGAGTTCTTTCCAGTGGGGGCCTCTGAAGCTGTGCAGTGCTTAACCTGGGCCATCATATGCAATGGGCTGATTGTCAGCGTGTGATTGGGAACGTTTTGCTACAAACGTATGATTTTCATTTAGGCTCTACCTATAACCAAATATTATTTGAAGTGGCACAGCCAAAATAATAAGGATCACAGCCCAGTATAAAGATGAAAACCAAGTAGAAAGAAAAAGGGAAGGAGGAGGACAAAAATATATGAAGATATTGTAGATAAGAAATGTTTTGAAAGCAGAACTTTTGCTGAAGTGTTTCCAGTGAAGATATCTGGGATTTGCTTCAAAATAATTCAGTGAGAGGAAGGGGGAGCGGGTGCTGCCATAGATGAAATGAGGTCGGCCCCAAGTTAATGATAGTTGAATTGGGGTGATGGGTATAGGGGAGTCCCCTCTATTTTTCTGAGAATAATAGAATAGAATAGAATAGAATAATAGAAGTCCTCTCTATTTCCCTATTATTTGAAAATTTTCAAATTAATTTTAAGTTGCCAGGCCAACAAACACACAAAAGATTCCCATAGAGTTCTAACAGGCAAGGCAAAGAATAAAATAAGGGGTTACGTATCTCATAGTCCAGAAAAGGGAACACAGCAGTTTTAAAGAAAATATCTGAATTAGATGTGTCATGAGGGTATTTATTTGAAGAGTGCTAGAAAACATGTTAATTAACGTAGACGCATCTGGGGAAATGGGGGGAGGGGTTGTGGGCGAGGCTGGCCCAGGCAGGGAGGAGAGCATTATCACTGATGTTGTTTAGAATGGGCAATGCATGGTGATAATAAAAAGCAGGAGGCTTCTGGTCAGCTCTGTATTGTTTTACATTCTCTGCAGGCAATGTCATGCTGCCTGCCCATGCCCAGGGTGGATGGCTCCTGTCACCCCTTCCTCCAGGAGGCGGCCCTGCCCCTTGGCTTTGGGGGTGCTGTCCCCAGGGGTTTCTCCATCCTCAGAGATCTGTTGGTTCCTTCATGGGCTCCTTCCTGCGGGTGCTCCTTCCTGTGATGCTCCTTCCTGTAGGTGCTCCTTCCTGTGAGTACTCCTTCCTGCAGGTGCTCCTTCCTGTGAGTGCTCTTTCCTACAGGTGCTCCTTCCTATGAGTGCTCCTTCCTATGGGTGTTCCTTCCTGTGAGTGCTCCTTCCTGTGGGTGCTCCTTCCTGTGAGTGCTCCTTCCTGTGAGTGCTCATTCAGCTCCCCCCGCAGAGCCGTGCTTGCTTTCCTTTCCACACTCTCCCATGCAGTATCCACCTCTGTGGCCCAGGCTGTGATTTATCTGGAGTTCCAGATGAGTCTGACAATTTCCAGAAACCAGGCTGTCCATATTCAGCTGTCCTATAGGCATCTGAGACTCAGCAAATCCCAGCCTGAGCTCGCAGGTTTGCTCTCCTGCTCCCCACTTATCCCGGGGGCTTCCCCATCGCAGGCCCTGGCATCTCCATCTGACCAGTGGCCCCAGCCAGACACTCGAGAGTTGCAGGGTCTGCCCCAGCCTTCCCCCAGGGCACCAGGCCTGTTGATGCCACCTGGGCATAGCTCTGGATAACCTTGGATAACCTTCCTTTTCTTGTCTCCACGGACACTCTCTGGGCTGAGCTCCAGCATCCCCTGGCTTCTTTGCTCCCAAGTGAGGGCATTCCCTTCTAACTCGCAAATGTGTTCTTCCTCCTTCCGCGCTGGTGGCCTGTCCTTTTCAGGTTGGAACCCAAAGCCCTGGCAGAGCCTCAGCGCCTGCCCAAGATGCCCTCTCCAGCCCAGCTCTGTCTCCCTGTCTGCCAGGCCCTGGGCTGCCCTCGCCTCTGCTCCCCCAGCCCCTTGGTCCAACCAGGTCCTGCGCAGCCCATGGTACAGCCACCCCCTCCTCCGTGTGTTCCCCTTGACCCAGATCCCTGTGTACCCCACACCCTGCTTCTTGCTTACCCAGCCAGTTGCCAGGCCCTGCGATTTGGCCCTTTTGTTCCTAACACTGCCACTCTCCTCGAACACGACCATTATTTTTCTTGGAAACCAATGGTTTGTAAGCAGATTTGTAAACAATGGAGCCCTTTCTTCCCTTGAAATCTGGAGCAGAAAGTGGGAGGAGAGCAGAAAGGGATGAGGAGGCTGGAGAAGGAGACACGCATCCTGGTGGCATCTTCTGAGTGTGGCTGGGCTGGACGGTGTGCCGCTGCTGCCTTTCCAACAGCCCCGTGAGATAGCTCGAGCCCGCCTCACAGATGCAGGCACGCTCCTGCAGCAAGTTCAAGTCCCTCGAGGAAGGCCAGAAGGCCAGTGAGGGCAGAGCCAGGACTCACACCCAGGGGCCCGACTTGGAGCCCAGCGGTCCGCGCTCCCTGGTTCTCATCTCTCCCAGAGCCTCTTCCTGTCGTCCTCCAGATGTGTCCTCTCTTGCTCTGGAGTAGCCAGGTTTGTGCTTTTGTTGTGTTGCTGCCTGGAGGCAATGGAGCCTCCTCCGACACACCCAGGCCTGAGGTTCATCCGGTGACTAAGCCCACTCTCCCTCAAGGCCGTGGTCACCGGTCAGTCAGGCCAGGTCCCTCCCTGGGGGGTGGCTTCCTGATGGGTCACCTGAGGCAGATGCCACAGAGCAGCAGGTGCCTGGGCTTCCAGGGTGGCCCCAACCTGCGGTGGCCTGGCCTGGACTCATCGACCTGTGAGGAGTCTGGCCTTGTGTGCCACGTGGAGACGACCCTTTCCACCCCTCTGCCAGCTTCCCCAACTCTTCCATCTCCTCCCATGTCCATCCAGTCCTAGTCCCAGGAGGCCTGTCTCAACTCCCCACCTGCAGCATCAGACCTGGGAGACCTGCCTTGGTTTCTGCCTGCAGTGTGATGCCTTGTTCATGCCACCTTACGATTTGTAGGTCTCTCCACGTGCCCCTTTGACCCTGAGATGGGGAACTGCTTGGCACCTCAGCCATCACTGGTAGCAGTTGGGCTTTCCTTGGTTATTGCCTGGTGTGAGCGTTGGCCTGATCCATCCTCCCTCCATTTGGAGTTATTCCTGTTTTCCGGATCACTGGCTCAGCACCATTCTTGCCTCTCCAACTCCTCACACAGATGGAAGCAAATACAGATCTGCATTTTCAAGGCTGAGCATCCACATAGGTGGACACTGTCAGGATGCGTGTGTGTTTCTGTTTCTCGCCAGGCAAGTTCTGAGTTTGATACTACACTGCACCTCTCTCCATATCCTCCTCCATACCCAACTCATTACTGGGCAGAGCAGGCACATGGGAAGTAAGAAAGGAGTCGTCTTGTTGAACTAGAAACGTTGTAACTGATCTGTTTTCTAAGCCTGTGTTTGGATATTAGATGCAGCGTTAATCTGCATTTGTATATTTGAGATTTGGCAACAGGAATCTAACTGGCTTTCAAACAAACAAACAGTACTGAACTGCTTTGTGTCTGCTTAAAGAATACTTATGAGTTTTTATTAACATATGCAGTTTTAATTGTAACTATTATTGCTTTTCTTATTACAAATGCAGCCCATGATAATTACATAAAAATTAAGCACAAGTAAGCCAAGAGAAAAAAAAAGAAGAAATGACGCAGAATCTCATTCCATTTTGATAGCCTTCCTTCCCATCTTTTTTCTTTGACATGCTCGAACTCCTCCCTGGTGGTTTTCTTTGTATAGGAGTGGTGTGCCTGTCCATGAGCTTGGGAATTTCTGTACTCCGCCTGCTGTGTATTTTCAGCCTCTTCATTACTTTCCTCGGGAGGCCCGGCTACAGCCAGCTTATGCTATCTTTACTGTAAAATAGGTGCCTGTTTATTTTCCCATCATACACACGCAAAGATAACAATGATATATTGCCGGTTCCTTAATCTCTTCTCTTTTCCTTTATAGAACCTTAGGGGATACAAAATTATGCATACAAAGGATCATAAAATACCAAGTGCAATGTAAACACAGTTGCCACTTACTTCATCTGTTATCATAGATCAAAGACTGCTTCTACAGTAAGAGAAGCGCATTTCCAATTCAGGTGGGACTCACCTTAAAATATGCGAGTGGAGGGAGTCCCCTTATTAGAAACATTTGGTTCACAAGTGTCCAGTAATTGCAGAGCACTCCCACGAGTGCAGAAAGCTCCCACGAGATGGTTGAGGCTTATGGAGAGCCAGGCTCAATCCTCCTATCTCCTGCAGAACATGTCTGTCTCCAGCCTCTCCCTCCTTCCTAGCTCCCATGCAGCCCACAACATATACCAGCCTTAAAACTATGCCTCCTTTCCCCAACCGCCCACCCAAACCATGTGGGCCCTGCGGTGCCTCTCTACTTTTCTCTCTTTCTCCACTCCTGGTCCCCGCTGGTTCTTATCCCCATCACTGCTACTTGCACACCCTCCTCCCCCAGCAGGACCTTGTCTGAGGCTGACTTGATGTGGACTCCACTGTATCCGGCACAGTCCCTCAGGTTCTCCTTCTTTAACACTCTCCTTACCTGGTTCTGTGACGAGGCTCTTCTAGCATCCTCTCTGTCACTCCTCAGGGGTCCTCTCCCACCTCTTCCAGACTGCTCCTTCTCCACTCAGGTCTGAAATGCTGGTGCCCTCCGGGTTCTGCCCTTGGCTGTTCTTCTCCCGCACACCCTGCATCATGGGGACCCATCCTTGAACTCCCACCTCTTCACTGATGAAGCCCAAGTGTACATCTCCCACATACATCTGTCCCCAAAGCCCAGCCCCAGGCCCCTTGAATTGACTGTGGTAGGGGATGCTCTTCTGCCTGGACGTCTTCCACGCACACCCCAAATGCAATAGAAACATATCGAGATGCCACATCTTTCCCCACCGACTCTCCCTACTGCCCCCGTCCTTCCTTCCTCTGCCTCCATCAGTGACCCCACCTACCTACTCACTCCTCTTTGTCCCCATCCTGTGGAATTTCTGTTCTAAATATTTTTAATATTCCTTATCTTCCTCCCTAGTCCTACCACTATTTGTCTAGTTCTAACCCTCATCATTTTCACCTGGGCTCCAGTCATGGCTGCCTAACTATATAATATGTCATCTTCACAAGTCACTCGTTTTGCTGCACATGTGCCAGCTGAGCATGTATTTATTGGATATCTAAGAGAAAAAGACTGATGAAAGGTTGATATCTAAGATGCTGGCCTGAGAAGATGAGGGGACAGTGCAGGTGTCAGTTGAGAAGGAGGAGAACAAAGAGAGAGCAGATTGCTTGGCTCCATGTGGGGTTTTCTGGTGGTGCTGGTGAACGTGTCATTTTCCTATTTTGCTGCTCTAAAAAAATCACTACAAACTTCATGGCTTCAAACAACATCAACTTATTGTCATACCATTCTGGAGGTCAGAAGTCCAAAAGAATCCTAGTGTCTCACTAGGATACAACCAAGGTGTGGGTGGGGCTGTGTTCCTTCTGGAGCCTCTCAGGAAAATCCTATTTCTTTGACTTTTTTAGCTTTTAGAAGCTGCCTGCATACCCTGGTTCTTGACCTCATCCTCCGTTTTCAAAGCCAGCAGTGTGGCATCTTCTAATTTCTCTCTCTGACTCTGACCCTCCTGCTTGTCTCTTATAAGGACCTTTGTGGTTACGTTGGGCCCACCCAGATCATCCCCTTCATCTCCAGCTCCTTCATGTAATCACATCAGCAAAGTCCTTTTGGTAAATGAAGTAACAGATTCACAGGTTCCAGGAATTAGAATGTGTACATCTTTGGGGAGGCCAGTATTCAGCCCATTACAGGAAACAATGGGGTGAGGGACACTCATGTCCAGAATTCCTTTCAGTTATATAAAGTTTGCAGTGTCTGCTGGACATTCAAGTAGAAATGTCAGAAAGGCAATTGGTTATGTCTAGAATTCAGGCTGAGAAAGAACAGTTGGGGATCAAAAGAATCTACACTGAGGCTAGACCGAGTCACCTAAAGAGAGAAGACATGGAAGACAAGTGGGTCAAGGACCAATCCCGTTCATCCCTTTGTATCTCCTCCACAGCCCAACACACTGAGGTTGGGAAGAGGAGGAGGCGCCAACAGAGAGCAGCCGCCCCGAGGCAGGAGGCAGTTCAGGACCTAAGGCATTGCCAGGAGGAGAGAGTGGTGGGCTGGCCTTGTGCTAATGTGGGGAGAATAAGATCAGGAAAAGAACTGGTCTTTCCATGTGACCAGAGCAGGTAATGGGTGACCTTGGTGACATCCCTATTAGAGACAGGAGTCCTGCGCCAGGGCAAGGAGAGGATGGAAGGTAAGAAAAGCAGCACATCACGACCACTCATGGGAGGGAGTTGCTATAGATGGCGCAGTAGCTAGAATTAGGGAGGGTGGCAGTTTTGCTTTAAGGGTAGATATTATTAAGACATTCGTATGGTATAAAGGACCCAATAGCTGGTGCTTTTTTTTTTTTCCTACTAATCTTCTATTTCTGTTGCCTTATTTCCTCCCTCCTAAGATTTCAAAGTTCCTAAGAAGACATCGTTGTTATAAAAACCCTGGAAAAAGAAAGCCAAATGTTCCAACACAGAGAAGAAAAAAATATAGTAAATAAGTTTCTCGCAAACTTTAAATAATCTTAATGGGCTGTACTATTCTGGCAAACCTCGGCCTCTAGTAGATTGAAGAAATCATTTTTAAAACTAAAGCTATTAAAGTACAAGAATATATAGATTTACAGTATATGGCAGGCAAAAGTCAATAGGGGCCTCAGAAGATGCTTCCATTTACAGGACAATGCAATGAAGAAGTCCCTTTAAGTTGATGTCTTACGTTCTTAATAAAATGTTTTTGGTTGCTAAAATTGAACTTATAACCTTCTAAAGCACAAGTTTTATAATTTACATAGGACACAATTCCCTTAGATTTAATGCATGTCCTAGCTTAACGTAAAGGTAAAGGGAAAAAACTCTAAGGGATAAGACTGCAATAGTTAATAGTTAATCTGTAAGTTAAAAATGTTTGTTTTTATTAAAATATCCAAATCAAGGACAAGGAGCACATGATACAATGGAAAAAATATTGGCAGCATAAATATAGTGAATATATCATGAGCTTTTACAAATCAGGAAGCAAAAGACGTTCACACTGAATTTAAAAAGGGCTTAAGACAATCACAAAGAAAGTACAAATGACTAATGAATATGTGGGAAAACATTCCAATTGATTTATACTTAAATGAAAATTCAAATGAGGTCATATTTTTCATCTATCAGATTGGCAAAGCTTTTAAAAACTACAATTCGGTGTTGATGGAGTTTCAGGAGAGTGGGTGGGTTCTTACACAGTTTGGAAGAGTGGAAATGGATACACCCTTTGGTAGAGCAGTTTAGAAATACATATTAAGAATATTAAACATACAGCATTCGACTCAGCAGTTTCACATCAGGGATTTATCCTCAGGAAAGTATAGTGTATCCCAAGGCATATGCAAAAGTATATTCATTGCAGTGTGGTCATGATAGGCATTGAAGATGTTGTATTGAACGTCAGATAAATGCCAGGAGCAGTGTTAGCTGCAGGAAATATAAGGTGTGAGGGGCGGGTAGAAACAGATCCAGTCCCTGACCCCTCTACGAGTGTACCCTGCATCTGAGGTACAGATAAGTAATTTGGCCATAAGAGCCCAATGCCATGAGTGCTTTGGGGGCTGGAAGATCACACAGAAAAGGAACCTTCCCTGGGCTTGGTAAGACAGGAAAGGAGAGTACCACAAGAAGGCTTCCTGGAGGAAGTTGCAGCTCAGCCAAAATGGAAGGATCAGTAAGAATTAGCCACATATAAAGGGCAGGTAGGAATTGGCCAAGCCAAGGATGTGGACTGACACCTTAAGGGCCAAACACTGCTGGAGAAGCACAACTCGTTGAGCACCTGCATGTGGGATACTAGAGTGCGGCAGCGGCCAGGTCACAAGGGCCTTGAGAGTCTTCAATAGAAAGCGCAGAAGCATGACATCAGTAAGAGATTAACAATCATGCCTTCGAGCATTTACTGGAATACGGGGCAGAGCTCCATCTGAACAGCAGGCATGAACAGAGCACGAAGGGGGTTCCCAAAGGAAAAGTGAGGTTTGCAACTGGAGGAAGGAGAAAGAGTGAGTGGAAGGTAGGGAAGGAGGCGGGAGAGATAAAGAGAATAGGACTGGAGGGAGACAGTGGGGGGGAAGAGGAAGAGAGGGGGAGAGGGAGGGGGAGGGAGAGGGAGAGAATGCACATGTATAGGGAAAGAATGGAAGGAAATAGATACATTCAATGCTAATTAATATTTTCTAATGTGTTTTATTGGAGACTTGAAATTTATTCTTTATAATTTTCTCAAGTTAATATATATAACTTTTTTATTCTACAAACAATTTTAAAAGGCTCTTACAATTATGCAGCCATTAAAATGAATGAAAGTCTTCAAATGCATCAAACATAATTTATCCTCAGAACTGCCATGCCCAGACAAACCCAGAATTGAGGCTGAGAAGTCACAGGAGTCAAACAGGATTGGAATTTGGTTCCTACAGGCTTTTTCTCAAAAGGCAAATTAAGAACTTTCAGGCCAATTGATAATATTTCCCCTCCTAGATTCCCCTCCCTCCACCGGAAGCCCCTGCCCACCTCCTGGTTCCTCTCCCTCCACCGGAAGCCCCTGCCCGCCTCCTGGGAAGGGGAGGCTCTGAGGGCATCTGCACATGTGATCACTTGGGTAAAGAAATCCCCAGGCTCCCTGCAGAAGTGTTTCCATTAGCGTGGTCATCTCAGGTTTTTCTCTTTTGTTTTGTTCTTTTCCTGGTAAACAGGGGAACCACAAAAAGGTATTGGATTTTCTTTCTTTCCATACCAATTGATTTTATATTGTCTGACAACCCTCTGTACACACTGCCAGTAAGAATTTTTTTTAACCTTAATCTATAAAATCTTACTGCATTTAATCACTGGATTTACATTTGGTTTATTTTATACTTGCAAAGAAAACAGCCACTTTTATTTAAAGAAAAGAGGAGGCTTGAACATATCAGAAGCTTCAGCTACATGGGTGGGAGGCCTGGCCCATGTCTACTGCAGAGCATGGTTTGGGGGCAGAAGGATGAATTTAAAGTCCACCCCTTCCTCCTGATAATCAGAACTTAAAAGCTCCAGGAGGAAGGACAAAAATGTGCAACAAAGTGTTTCATTTAGTAGGAAATTGTCTTATATTTCCAGAGTGTAAAAATACCCTACTAGAAACATGATTTCTAATTATCTGATTTCATTCTGGTATGAAATAGACTTATGAGTAGGATGTTTTCTATTTAAGTATTTCAAAAAACATATGTTTAAAAATACAACTAAACCTTCTTAGGGTTTTATAAAAATTAAATCCTTCTATCTGAGCCCAACATTGTACATTTGAAGTTACTTTTTGAAAATCTGTTTCACTTCTGTTCTTTCAGCACCCAGTTCTTGGTCTTATATGAAACGATCTCTTGGAATCATGCATTTAATGGAAGTTGAATGGGGAAAAAATATCTTAGGATGCACTTTATGGATCAAAAACTCTTACATTCCAAGTGTTAAGCCTTTGTTAATACCAATCGTTTGTTGGCATATTGGGGGGTACAGTTACGACTTTGTGAACTTTCAGAAAATGTTGATTTGCTTTTGTCAATGGGACTTGATTTTCATTCCAGAACCCAAGCATTGTTAGGGGTGCAGGCTTCCCCATCAGATGTCCTATCTGCTTTCAAGTGAGGACTGGCAGTGTCTGGGGCCGTCCTTGACCCCTTTTCCCTCCCCTGGCTTCTGGAAGCTCGTCTCCACCCAGACATACCCTGATCCAGGGGAATCATCACAGGAAGGTCCCCACTGTCTCCTCCCTAGGGACTCCAGGATATGAATGGTATGAAAGGCATGGCTCTGGGGGGTGCTGCCAGCTCACCATCTGTCATGACTCAGCTCCCTCCTCACTGTCCTCTCCACTCCCAGCTCTCTCTCTGCCTCACAAAAATATTGCCATTTTTTTCTGCCTCTTTGTTTTCTTGGCCTAGTGAGGTTGTCAGAAGGATTGTTCAGTGGGGTCCCTGGGAAGGAAAAGGAGGGGAAAGAGAAAGGTGATGGGGGTACTCTCTCCAAAGCAGTCACTTTCTGCTGAGACACGGTGCCTTCCTGAATGCCATCTTCTTATCTGGGCCAGGGCTTCTCAAACGTGAGCATGCCTGCAAAGCACTGGGGATAATGCTGACATGCAGATTCTGAATCGGTGGGTCTGGTGCGGACTGAGAATTTATGTTTCTAACAAGCTCCTGTGTGTCGTACCTGCTGCTGGCCCATGCTGTCATGAAAAAAGTGTGCTACTTGAACATCAATGAGATCGTCTATGTAGGGGGCTTAACAAAGGGCCTGGCAAATACTAAGTGCCTCACAATGTGCGTGAAGTTGATGATGAAGAGAAAATGATGATGGTGGCAATAGTGAAGATGATGATGATAACAGCGGTGATGTGGTTATGATGACAGGTGGTGATGGCAATGATGATGGTGATAATAGTGATGATGGTGACGATGATGATGGTAATGATGGCGATGGTGATGATGTGGTAATCATGGTAATAGTGGTGGGCATGATGGTGATGGTGGTGGTGTTAGTGATAATGGTGATATGGTGATTATGATCATGGTGATGGTAGTGACAATGGTGATAATGATGGTGATGGTAATGGTGGTGGTGATGTTGGTGATAATGATAGTGATGGTGGTGGTGACAGGGCAAGTATTGATGATAGTGATGGTGGTAATGCTGGTGGTAGCAGGAAACACTTATCTTCATAGAAATGTTATTGTTGAATCTGCTGTACGATAAGCAGTTATTTTCAGAGAACAAGCATCAAGGAGAACAGAGAGCAAAACAGGAATTGGTTCACTTGGCCAGTATATATGTTCATATTTCCACCCAGAAATTTAGTGCAGTTTGCAAAACAGCCTTAGTCCTTCAGGCCATAAGCTCTGAGGGCATAACTGAGTCAGTCATCATTGTCCTGTGTCCTGGCACCCGGTAAAGTGCCTGGCACATAGTAATCGCTCAGTAAATGTTGGCTCCTGTCCTCAATTACTGAACATTTACTATTTCTGTCCTCAATTACTGAACACTTACTACAAGCCAAGCTCTCTACATGCATTTTTCTCATTTAGCCTTCACAACAAACTTGAATGGGAGGTATAATTATTAACCTTAATTTGCAGGTATGAAAAACTAAGTCTTGCCTAAGGTCCCTCAGCTGGCCGGAGGCAGAGCCAGAATTCAGGCTCAGGCCCGTCAGAGTCGACAGCCCAATCCCAGTCCTCTTGTGATGACATGTGATTCTGGAGCAGCGCCACCATTGCATGCATGTCAGCTGTGCCCATGTTGCCTTCACACCCCTTGCCAACGCAGGGCTGCACACGCATCCCCTCCACACAGAAGCTCCTCACCAGGCAAGGCATGTGCCCACCAGCCACGCCCATGCCCACCCGGCTTCTCCTCTTATTCCTGCTCCTGAACTCGTGCATTCTTTCCACATGGTTCTGATTCTGTCCTGGAGAGATTTGCTCAGGCTGACATCCAGTGGCTGAAAGAACAGCACTCCCACCCCACTCCCCCCGCCCCCTCCCCCCACCACCACCTTTCCCCAGGGATTATGCAGAGCACCCGGTTTCATTGCTGGGCCGTCACCTTTAACCCATCTGTACCATGTGCCTAGAGCACCATCCTGGCTTGCACGGGTGGTCTGTGCCAGACATCTTAGGTCTGCAGCTGTTCCCCCATAAGATGCCTGTCCCTGCTGCCCTTTGAGGGTACTCAAGTTGAACCCCAGATGCCCATTTCATGTTTGATAAACTTTGCTCCGCACTCCCATTTCTGTTAAAGCTGCGAAAGGCTTCGACTTTGTTCCATTTGGAAGGGAGGCTGGAGTTACCACGCTCTGGGCTCTTACATCCTGTCGTAACATCGTTGTAAGGGTTGCGTTGTGACTGCAGGAATTCCCAGTTGCAGTTCCAGGAAGGTCAGAGAGGAGCAACGTTCCCAGCCACAGTTCTGTGAGCTATGGTTCAGACTGAAGTCTTTTGCTTATTTTGGTGATAAAAGCTGAACATGGTTTGTGCTGAAGTTCCAGCTGGTTATCGGAGTGGCTGACCAGGTCAGTCTGCTTTGTGAAGGGGAATCCAGGCCCCTCTTGCCCTCATTTTGCAGCCTGAACACATGCTCACTTTCCACTCCCACGTGTGAAGCATGAACACACGCACACCTCCGCCCAGTTATGCAGTCGGGCTCACGGCTAAAAACCGATTTTCCAAATGATCGGGCAGGATCACGCATGGATGACGGAAGCTCTGGCTCTGCCCCCACACTAATTGCCGTGCGATCCCGTGCAGGTTTCTTTACTTCTCTGGGCGTGTTTCCTCACCGGCAAAATGGGAACACTTAACGAGGAAACTTTGCAGAGAGCATTCAGCTTTCAAACTCTGACTCCCCAAGTGTGTGACATATTTTTTAATAACTCCTTTCTCATTATTTCCCTTTTACCTCCTTGCTTTGAATCTTGAGACACAACAGAAAACATATACATGGTGCTTTAGCAAAGGCAGCCAGCTCCTGGCCACCCTTTCCAGGGGTCGGGCAGAGGTGTATGTGGTACAAATGGTCAGGAATGTTTTTCATCCTTGAAAAAAGCCTTCTTGCCCTTCTGCCACCAGCACAGCCTCCTCTGAAAGCAGTCGAAACAGTGGGCTCAGAGGATCCCGCCCTCTTCGGGGGTGCCCCCTTTCTAAAGAGTTGCTTCTCACTCCCAAACCTGACTCAGAGGCGGCAGGAGCAGTATCTGTGACTGACAACAAAAGCCGTTCACGTAGAGGAGGAGGGTGGCGGGACTGGCTTGGCTCTGATGCTTCCCTGATGTCCACTTTTCCCGAGTAATTGCTCCCTCGTCTCCTGCTGCAGCACCTGCCTGGGATCCTCCATGAAACAGCTGGCTGGGGCTGCAGAGTGCCTCCAGACACGCCCCTCTCCTGTGTCCCTTCCTGCTCACTTGTAGGTGGCAACAGACGTTTGACCTGACATCGTGACAGTGGCTCTTTGGCAGTCCAGGGCCAAGGTGAGCCAGGGAAGGCAGGAAGCAGAGGGGCTCTGGAGCTGGTATGTTGTGATTCAGGTGAAGCCACGGGCTAAAGACTGCAGTATTATGGGAAGATGCCCTTGGAACCTCCCTTCGTGACAAGGGCCGTGCAACGCCCCCACCGCCACCCAGGCACCTCCCCAGGCCCCTCCCCAAGAGTCCATCCCCTAGAGCCTTCTAAGAGCCAGAAGAGCCACTGTCCATCCTTCCTGTGCTTGTTTCTCCCTCTCCTGCCTGGGGGACCTCTTCTCCAGAAAGGCCCTGGGGAAAGAGTCCAGCAGCTGCAAGCTCCCAGCTCCAGGAAGGCAAGACAGGGCCCTGGTGGAAGGAGATGCCCAGAGCTGGAGGTGTGTCCAGCTGGAGCTCTTCTTTCTCCTGGGACTCCCCTCACCAGCATGGCCCCAGCTTGGAGCCTGCAGGACCTGTCTAAGAATGGAGGAGCTGAACATGAGGGTGGCTCTAACCCCGGAGACAGGGAAGGACAGGAGGAGGGGCCCCAAGTCAGGCCCTCTCTGGGCTCCCCTGAGGGCAGTCAGCTCCATATCACACCAGAGACCCACCTGGAAGCTGCCTTTCCCGCATCTCTCCCCAGGCCCCCTCCCCAGGAGTCCAGATGTCTGGAGCCCCACAGCCTTAGCTGGTGGGGGTCATGAGTTCCACTCTGAGAGGACAGTGCCGGGTTCAAATCCAAGTCCCACGTTTTATGGGCCGTACTATCCTGGTCAGTCATCCAGCATCTCTTAGGTAGCAGTTTCCTCATCTATAAGTCTGGGCACGAACCCCCAGGGATGCTGGGATGGCTCTAGCTGGTGTAGTACCAGCATTGGCCTCACATAAAGCACAGGTCCAGGCATGAAAGCACTCATGCCCAATGCACAGCTTTCCCCTCCCTCTGGCAACTGGAGTGTTGCTGCTGAGGCTCAGTAATTGTGACCAAAGACCGTGGAGAATTTTCTTTCATGCCACAGTGCTTCTGTCCTGCATGTGTCTGTCCCTGAGCCTGGCATCGGCCCACGTCCTACACCATGAAGTGGTGAGGAAGGGCCACGCGGGCTGCTCTTCTCGTACTATAGAGGCATGTGCTGGGAGGTGCTGCTGAGGATGTTCTCCTAACATTGCTTGCTTATAATTCCTTCTCAATTTTGAGTGGTGGCCTTTTAAAAATTTTATATAGATGCCTATTAGGCTCTCAGCTCAAGCATTCAAGGGCATTCAAAATAGAAGGTTGTTCTTCATTTTATTGTGTGTGTTATGTATGGCAAAGGCAGACAGCAGAATCATTTCCTTGGAGAAATGGCTCCCATCCACAAATAGTGTTCATCTCCTTGGTGCTTAGAACCTCAGCTGATTTGAGGGAGCAGAAGAATGTGACAGGCAGAAGCTGAAATATGAGAAATACTTCTTTGAAATCAACTTCGAATCTATGTCAGAGCATTATACTTTAGACTTATTAAGGAAGCAAAAACAACTAGATTGAATAACACAAGTTTATTTAGAATTGTGCTTATTATAAGCAAAAGTCTTCCCCCAAATTGTATCCTAAGTAGAAGGACTTGTGAAAACTTACAGGCTATAAATTGATAGGAAAAACGATAGGCAAAATGAAGACTATTTTTCATGTTTGAATAAAGCATTTTCAGTAGATTTGGCAGAGCTGTGCTTTCTAAATCTCCAAAGAACGCAGGAACAATTAGTAAGTATGATGAATCAGCTGACATAGGCTTTTTTCCCTTGGCCCTGTGTGAAACAATGGAAAATTTTCTATTGCAAGTCTAATTTCCCAAGAAATTGGACTACGCATTGGATAAAGGCTGAGATCTCTAAGGAGAGTCAGAAAGCAGCTTGGGATGAGAGAGTATATGGAGCCAGGAAGACTAGATGCTTTTTATCTACTGACTCTGGATCTATAAAAGTGTGAAATTGCAGATTCTCAGCAGCCTCTGCTATCACCAACTATTCCTGAAAATTGAAATCAGTACCATGATGCCTGTCTTCTTTACGGTTAGAAAACACCCCGGAAACGCAGGATGAGAGCCCCAAATGGAAGCTTTAGGCAACTCTCTGGATCAGCATGCTGATCAGAGCCACCAAAGGACCCCCAGTGAGTCTGTTGTATACCAGCTGGCGTGCTCGGTTCTGGGGCCACCAGGAAGCCAGGGATGCCACTTTGCAAGAAGAGATGATATCTGGTATGCCGAGCACTCACTGGGAGTCAGAGACTGTGCCGGGCTCTTCCTCCAACCACCCCGTGGGATAAGTGAGACTTGTCCCTGTTTTTCAGATGAGAAAACTGACTCACAGAGAGGCTAACAGATTTTCCCAAAGATACACAGTGAGGAATGGCACCATGCTTTATGAACCTGCCAATTCAATTTCACGTGAGACCTCAAAGGCGAATTGCCCTGAATGAGGTGCTTTTTTTTTATAGAAATAAATGTTCTAACCCAGCGTCCTCTCTGCAAACAAAAGCTTTATGCAGAAACCCAGAATATGCCATCAGTAATCCTAAAGGCTAGCCACCTATGAGCAGTCCCTGTAACTGAGTACCTTCCAGAGAAGAACGGTGCCCATGGTTCCGTGTAATGCCTATGTTCACGTGTGACGTGTAGGTAGCATCATAGTTCAAAGTGGGCCAAACTCAGCTGCTGAGGACCTCAGGAGACAGCCATCTGGAGAGGGGGACTTCTGATGGACAGCCAGTGGGTGGTCTAGAACAAGATGACTTCTTGTGACCTAACCTGGCACTCTGGTTCTGAGGGTCTATGACAGTTTGGTGGTTTAGAGGGAAGCATTGGCCTCAAGATGCCACCATTGGGCACGTTTAATGAGTGACAGCTTTGGTTACTCTTTTAACATAGTAGAGTTTCGTAGCACCTGGTTCAGCCCTGTCATTCTTTGGGGAGAATGAGAAGGATCTAATCTCCTGGGAGAAGGAGGATTCCAGCTCCTTTGAATTTCAGACCTGCTTCTTGCCCCCTGTGACAGATTTCAGCACCTCTGTCTCCTCGGTGTTGGATGCGAACAATGAATGAGTAGCAACTTGCTGGCCAAATTCCTATTCCTTAAGTGAGAGAGAAGACAGATGGTGAAGAGATTTTTAAGCATTTTAACCTTGTCCACATGTTATAATATAAAAAAAGTAGAAGCTCGCTATGTTAAAATCACCCACAAGTCAATAACCTGAGAATAATAATTGTTAGTTTATCTTTTGTATGCATGTTACATCCAAATGTCAACAGTACTTTGCCTCTTTTTCTTTTTCTTCTCTTTCTTTCTTTCTTTCTTTTTTTTTTTTTTTTTTGAGACAGAGTCTTGCTCTGTTGCCCAGGCTGGAGTCCAGTGACACAATCTCAGCTCACTGCAACCTCCGCCTCCACCTCTCAGGTTCAAGTGATTCTGCTGCCTCAGACTGCCAAGTAGCTGGGATTACAGGCATGTGCCACCACACCTGACTAATTTTTGTATTTTTAGTAGAGACGGGGTTTCACCATATTGGCCAGGCTGGTCTCGAACTCCTGACCTCAAGTGACCTGCCTGCCTCAGCTTCCCAAAGTGCTGGGATTACAAGTGTGAGCCACCGCACCCAGCCTCCTTCTCTTCTAAATCTACCTCATACATTTCCTGTGTTGTTCCATCATCTTCAAAACTGAAGTCTTCCATGACTGAGAACTGCCCATCAAGTGCCCCAATGATGTGGAGAGGCTTTGTTTCGTCCCCTAACGGGGTGGGATCAGAATGTGTTCTGGAAGCCTCTGGGCCTCCATGTGGCCTGCTGGAGATGCGGGTTTCCCTGCCCCAAGGCACTGATCCCAGGAACCCACAGGTGCCCCAGAGAAAGGACCTGAAGTTGCTAAGAGGGACACAGATGCTGCCAGATTTGTGTCTGGGAGGAGCGGCTCCTAATAGGTGACAATTATTCCTAGACTTTCCAACTGCTCACATTGGGTAAGACTTTCAAAGCCAATTATTTTATAAGCAAAGCATTCATAACTTTGGAACCCATCATTAGCATCACAGAGAAGGGAGGACACTAAGGATTGCGATGTCTAGCAAATGCAAATATGGGATGCCCATTGAAACCTGAATTTCAGATTAAAAAATCATTTTTATAAGTATGTTCCAAATGGTACACAAGACATACTTCAGCAACAACAACAAAAATCATTTTAGAATGAATTGATTTTGGGGTGAATTTTGACTTGTATTTCCTCATTTGAAATTCAAATTTAACTAGGCATCCTGTGTTTTATCCAGCTCTCCTCTCCAGGCACAACAAACATGACACAGCACCCTCATTAAGGGTGAGGGCTAATAAGCCTTGAGCCAGTTCCTTGCATTCCCTGACCTCTGTTTCCCAGCTATACACAGGACTGTAGTATCAGCACCTACTTCAGAAAGTGCTGTGTGGTGCTCGGCACCTCGTGAGTACTCAACAAATATTTACCGTCACTATTGTTATCGTGAATCAAGAATCCAGCTCTTCAGAGAGTTAACTAAGCCCTAGTCACGTTTCACATTGCCACGCACAGACACACATGTCTCTGAAGAGTGGAGGCTTCCGAATGGCTGGCTGGCCCTGTGGGCATGTGTCATCCTTGAAGGAGACCTCTCAGCCTCCTCCTACAGGGGCTGAGTCTCTGCTGAGATTCAGAGACGTCCTACTTGGTACGGCGAGGAGCTGCTTTATGACCACTGCAAAATCCAGAATTTTCCAGCTCCTGTCTCCCCATTGGTTCCATCTCATTTCCAATTCCCAGTGGCCTTGTTTGGACAAATATGATTCAGGTAGATTCCCATTGATTGTCTAGTTCAATGAAGAAAGCCCATTTCCTATTTTGCCTACAAACTGACAATAATTTTTTTTACTTGCCCAGAATTGTCTGATAATAAGAGGAAAGTCTATCCAAAAACAAATGTTTCTTTAAATAGGTGGCATTAATTAATGTACCCGTTAAATGGATGGTTTAACTAACAGCATCTAAATTTACTCATTGTCTCACAGAACCTAAACTTTGTGAGAAAAGTTGGCTTCTAGACAATTGCAACATATCTATGTCAATTATAAACTATTATATTCAACTAAGGTTGTTCAACTATAAGGATTTTCACCAGAAACCTCTGAGTTGTTAAAATATAATAGCGTAGTAACACTTACAATTGGATTTATGGACATTCCTTTTCTCTATAAAATGTGGACATTTTATAGCTCTGCCAATCTTAAAAGAAAAAGACCACTGATGTCTGTGTCGCACATAGCTAAAGAGATTAATGTAAGTCCTGATTAGCAAAGGTTCCCTGCTGGCCCACGGGGAGAAAAGGCATGGGGGCCTGAGGTGATGTGGCTGTCACACCAATGGTTCAATCTGAGCAGAGCCTCCCGAAGCAGGTCACCAGGACCTCTGTTCGAGGCGCTAAGGACGACTGCAACAGGCCCTCATCTCAGAGGTCACACGTCGTCAGGCATGACATCTGGGGTAATAAATCCTTTGGAAGTTGTAGCAATGGATTTTTGTTTTTGTTATTTTTTATCCAAGAGCAAACCCCAAATAGCCTGAGCCATGAGAGTTGTACAACTACAGAGCAAAGCATGGGACCTGTGAAGTTCTCCAGGCCTGGCACCACATTCTGGCCCTGTTAGTTACTGCCTGCAATCTCTGTCTCATTTGCTTCACCTGTAAATTGAGGGTAACATTACCTTGCAGGCCTGGGAGGCTTCAACGTGATGTCTGTAAAGCATCAAGCACGAGGTCAGGCGTGATGCAGCTGTGCAGTTGATGGGAGGGAGGCATTGGCATCAATATTTATCACAAATATCTAAATGTCTCACTTTTATCATAACCCCGGACATCTCTACAGATCCTAATTTGGCAGCTGCCCTTCTTATCCTAATGCCACATGAGAACTGGGGTAGAACAGTACATTCTGCCTCTGGAGGGTTTGTTTCTGGGGTTCACTTTTGTGTCCAGACATTGGATATCCTTTGAACATGGATAAAGCAAATATGAAGCCAGTGTTGTGGGATGGGTGTGTGAGGCCCTGGCAAGGCAGACCCATTGCCCAGCACCTTTGTGCTCCCCTTCCCACAGTACCTGTTCTCAGGCCCTTTCACAGAGAATGAAGGTTTTGCCATCTGTTCTGCCTCGGGTACCTCACAGACCCAAGCACCTGCAGGGAGGAAGTACCAAGATGCCCTCAGTATGTCTCTTGTTGGCTGAGTCTGCCCAGAAAAGTCAATGCATAGCAGTCAGTTCCAAGCCCAGCTGTTCTGTTCACCAGCTGTGTGACCTTGAACAAGCCTTGGTTTCCCCCTCTGCAAAATGGGCATAAGAATACCTACCTTGGTGAGTTGATGTGGAGTTAGGTGAACAACATAGTTAGAAGGAATACGTGTCCATGTTTACCTGTGATGGCCCAAGTTACGCCTGTTGTCGGGGCACGTGTATTATAGTGTCCCTTCTCACTCCAAATGTATCTCAGTGTGGATGATAGTTACCACCCCCTGCCCCCCCACACACACACTCAACAACTGTATTTTGCTTTTGTTGCTGATAATGATTAATGATTATAATCACAATCATGTCACTGTTATTCCTAGCAGCTCAGTGTGACTGAAGTACCTAGTACCAAAAAATCCTTATTTACGTTATACTTCCATGTAATTAAAAGCTTCTTGTATTTCCAATTAGAAAATAGTGTAATCTTTTTTTTTTTTTTGAGAGACAGAGTCTTGCTCTGTTACCCAGGCTGGAGTGCAGTGACGTGATCTTGGCTCACTACAACCTCTACCTCCCGGGTTCAAGCAATTCTCCTGCCTCAGCTTCCCAAGTAGCTGGGACTACAGGCCTGTGCCACCACGCTCAGCTAATTTTCATATTTTTTAGTAGAGATGAGGTTTCGCTATATGTTGGCCAGGCTGGTCTCGAACTCCTGACTCAGGTGATCCACCTGCCTTGGCCTCCCAAAGTGCTGGGATTACAGGCGTGAGCCACCATGCCTGGCCAAAATATTGTAATTTACATGGAGCAAAAATGTGCAGTGGCTCACGCCTGTAATCCCAGCACTTTGGGAGGCCAAGGCAGGCAGATTATCTGAGGTCAGGAGTTCGAGACCAGCCTGACCAACATGGAGAAACCCTGTCTCTACTAAAAATACAAAATTAGCTGGGCATGGTGGTGCATTCCTGTAATCCCAGCTACTAAGGAGGCTGAGGCAGGAGGATCACTTGAACCCTGGAGGCAGAAGTTGTGGTGAGCCAAGATCGCGCCATTGCACTCCAGCCTGGTCAACAAGAGCGAAACTCCGTTTCAAAAAAAAAAAAAAAGTTCCAAATGCACAGGCTTTTCTGTTTTCCTATGATAACTTCATAAATTTGAGGTATTTATTTTTCTTCCTTGTAGAAAGCTATGGGACTGATTATTTTTTCTCAGTAACCTTTGCTCTCTTCTGGGTAAACTTTAGTTCATCTTTTCAAAGATCACAATGTATTTAGGACATTCATTAGGTAACTAATGGTTAGCCTTTTATAGTGATTATTATAAAAGTGCATTCATCTTAATCAGTTTTCTTATAAAAAATATTCTCACTCTCATGGTTTTACTAATTAAACATTGTTTTATTAATGTACCAGGATTTGTTTGCTGACATCCCTGATTCTTGAGCTCAGAGTTGGAAAGATGAGCACCAAGAAAACAGGAGAAACAGAAAAATATTCTCCTTAATTGTCATGTGGGATTTCAGGCAAAACCACAGTGCATGGGAAGTTATAGGGAAAAGGCCTCAAGAACTGAAGATTCAGGGTGTGCATGTGGATGAGAAGCCCTTTGGGGGTACCTCATGGATCATCTTTCAAAATCTGGAATTTTCTGTTTGGCCCCAAGGCAATGTCCTCTGGCCTTCTGCCGGGGTCACCCTGGTGGCCTGGCTAAGTTCCAGGCAGGGAGGGAGGCCACCTCCCTGACCTACGAAGCCCCCTGGGCTTTTGATATACATTCAACATTCCAAATGGTCAAAACCAAAGGCATCATTAATAAAGGATGCGTCGGAAGGAACATTTGAAGCAGTGTGATGCGTTTCACATGACGGTCAGGAGAGAAGATTTATGATCCCGGAGGATAAGCCCTTTTCCTGGAGTTACTCAGACCTAACAGTTTCTTGAGGCTGAAACAACAGATCTATCACAAGCTGTGATTTATGTAGAAGGCTCTGATGGAATACATCTTGGCAGGGGCGAAATTGAGAGCTTTCGAGCTCTGTAACAGTTGGGAAACAAATGGCCAAGCCTCAGCAGGCTGACTTGTGCCTGCCTGGAGTTTGCTTTTTAATCTTTATGGGAATTCTTTGAAGTTCGAAGTGGGCTTTGCTGTTGTAGGAAAGGCTGTAGCTCATCCTCATTGGCTAGGGCGAAGTTTTATCTTCCCAATTTCATTACAGTGTTTTGCACAAAGTAGTCACTTAAATACTGCTGGGATGGAGTGAGGATTGGGACCCTTAGCAGGAACAACTAAGACATGTCTACAGAGGGCACATCAGTGTGTGATTTAGGGAGTTTCACTATCTTCTCTGTAATCTCTCAGACTGTTTTAAAAGAAGCAAGCTGTGAGCAAAAGCTTTTTAACACCAAATGGCAAAGCAAACCCTCGAAAGGGGAAAACAAAAGGCCACAGTCATATGACTTGGGGAAAGGGAATATTGCTGCCTCCCTGGGGTGGGTTCATGGCTATGACAATAATACAGATGTCTTCAAGGAATGCAAGCATAAAGCCTTTAGCCAGAAAACAAGGGCAACTCGTGAGCTCTCACTAGTCAAAATATTGATGCCATTTGCGAATACCATGAACCTTGGCTAACACCCCTGATTTTTTTGTGCTGTTTACACAAGTCCTTAAAGCTGTTGTTGTGCCGGGGGTGACAAATACACAATTTACTGTCACTGGTACACATTCTGCTTTTGAAAAATGGCTTATTTTTCATTGCAGGCTTCAGTTTTGCATTTGAACTGAGTCTTTGTCTTCCTCATTGAGTTCTGCCCTCCACCTTCCAATGGATGTGCCTGCTCTCTTCTCCTGCACCTTTCCAGTTTCCTCCTGGCCTCAGTTTACCTATCATGTATCACTTTTTATATAAAGGTTTTCCTAATGGCCTAGTCCTTGGTTAGCACACTTCCCTCACAGATTCCCACACAGAACCTAAGCCCTTGATTACTCTATTAAGGGCTGTGATTTCGGGGGGGCCCTGAGCTGAACTACAAATTCCTCAAGGGGAAGGCCCTGTCCTGTGGCCTCCCCCAGATATTTAACATGGATTGAAACCCTGAGTTATGGAAGGGCAGCCAGAGCCAGGGAGAGGCCACAGGAAAGAGGAAGGCACCATGGGATTGTCCCTGTGCCGAGGATGTACCTCCTTCCCCCACCACCCCTGTCAGTAGTGCTGGTGGGGAGTGTTATCCCTGCATGCCAGAAAGGGAAAGGCCATCCAGGCCGTACAGCCAGTACCTTCAGGAGCAGAGCTGGTTTGGACCCAGGTAGACCAGAACCACAGCTGAGTGCCCCTCACAGAAGTCACAGATGTGAGCAGGAAGTGTGGGTATGGGGAGGCTGGCCTGGACAGATGGGTGTGGTCAGACAAGCTAGAGGACCTCCAAAGCCAGCCCCAGGGGCTTGGACCAGGTGCCATGGGAAAATGGGTGTCAGAGAAGGCTTTGGGACAGGAAAATGGCCCAGCGAGGGGCTGACTCTCCCAGGTGGATGAGAGTCACCAAGGTGAGGGTAAGGGATGAGGCGTGGAGGCCTGGGAGGCGAGCAGCCGAGTGGCATCCTAATCCAGCCAGCGGGCGTGAGAGGTGGGCTGGGCCGAGGGTCCCATTCCAGAAAGCTGCTATTCTAGAGTCAAAAATGGTCTGTGCATAGCCACCTGTGATTAACTAGGACTCCAAGCTGAGTCATAATGAACATCATAGATACTCTTCTCAAAAACGTTTGCTCTCATTAGTGGCCCAATTTCTTCATTTTCTAAAAATTTGGTGCTTTTTCCCATGAAACAAATGCACACAGAAACTCAATCACTGCAAAAGGGTACTGTCAATCAGTGAATCTTCCTCTGACCATCTACTCCCACACCCTCCAGAATCTTCTTTTAGAGGCAGCCACTGCTTCCAGTCTCTCATATACATTTCCAGAGACAGCCCATGCATATATTAACACGGCTGTGTTCTGCTACTGCTTATAATGATGGTGATGAGAATAGTAGCAAATATTTATATAATAGGTACTATATGTCAGGCACCATTCTAAGTGCTTTATAAATGTTATCTCAGAGGAGCACCTTGTAGCAACCCTACAGGGTAGAAACTCTTACCCTCCCCCACGTTACAGATAGAGAAACAGAGGGAGGGGAGGGACTTGACTAACTCACGTGGCTAATGAAGGGTCGAGCCAGGATGTGACCACATAATCCTTGTCATTCTGCATCTGGTGTTCTGCGCATACGACCACGGCCAACAATCATTCCTTAGTAGCTGTAAGCTTCTTCCTTCTTGTTTTAATGCTCACACAGAATGCCACATGTTCAATGAACCCTCATTCATCTAACCAGCTTCTTATTGATGCTTCTTGTTGCATTATAGTGGTTTCCAGTGTCCTGATTTTAGCCATATTTTTGAAGTGATTTATTGGGTCACGTTATAAAATTGTACTTTTGTAATCAGTATGTTATTTTCTACAGAGTGGTAGCAAAACCTTTGCTAAGCCTGGAATTCATCTCAGTTTGGAAAGCTGCTTTCTAATAGAAGGAACTTGCTTTAATTTGCTTTTGCTATGTCTATGGAAGGTCAAGTCAGCAGATGGTCCCTGCTTTAAGGGGTAAACCAAACAAGAGTTCGTTCTAGCATTTTGGCAGGGAAATTTTCAAGGACATTGTTAAAACACCTGCTTGGTGCTTCAGTCTGAATGCTTTTGGCATCACTGGGAGCTTTTTGAAATATGTATTTTCACTTATAACAGTAATTAGTTTTAGTCACATGGAGATTTAAGGATAAGAATATTCAGTTTTGTGTTGATGGGTAATTTAGCCTGTGCATATTTTTATACCCCAAAATTGTTCTGCAAGCCTCATAGAGAAAGTGGTTTGGGTATATTCAGTGGGTGGCTTAGTTATTTCAACAAGTTGGCAAATTCTAGCATATAATTTCAAAGAGTTCCATTTGAAACAAATGTTTGATCAATTATTAGCTTCTTGTTTTCCTGCTTGTC
Source organism: Homo sapiens (assembly GCF_000001405.40). Classification (NCBI taxonomy): domain Eukaryota; kingdom Metazoa; phylum Chordata; class Mammalia; order Primates; family Hominidae; genus Homo; species Homo sapiens. The sequence goes on along the minus strand of NC_000010.11, from coordinate 126,213,444 downwards.
TTGCTAAAACACTCAATTAAAAATTGTTCAACAGATTCCTTCTGGCATATAATCTGGGGATCATCTCTCAAATTTCTTAGGCTGAAATTAGATAAAACGAGTGTGTTCTATCTAAAGAACGAACCATATGCACATCCCCTCATGGATGATCTAAATTTATGTTGTCAAGTGAAAACGAAAACCTATAGCATTTTATTGTTTATAAAATTCTGGTTTATGATGCTTTTGCCAGAACACAAATAAGGTTACTATATTTAGTAGATCTTGGAGCTAAGCCCTCTCCTAAAAGAATGGGTACATTCCTTCTACAGGTATTTATTGAGCACTTATTATCTGCTCAACACTGTGCTGGATACGACAGGAAAGAAATTGTGAACCAAATGTGAGTCTTGTAGAGCTCTTGGAAGGCTTCGAAGGGTGGGGGTGCACTTACTAAAGATCCCTCCCACAATTCTATGAATGTAGTAAAAACCACCAAATTATGTGCATTCAAAGGCTGTGTTTTATGGTATGTGAAGCATATCTCAATAATGCTGTTATTTAGAAAAAAAAAGTTACTCTGACTGCATGAGAGAGAATACACAAAAGGCAGGTGGTAGGACCAAGCTCAGGAGTCCAGACACATTCTTAAGCATTTAATCATAACAAGGGAGAAAAGCCTTTGCTTACTGTGATAGCAAAATTGAAGAGAATCCATCTCTCCATAATCAAAGCTGCTCTTTTAATTAAATTCAGAAGAATTCAAATGCTCATGCTTAAGAGATACCTGTATCAGTGGCTAAAGATGATAAAATTAGATTAGCAAGGCAAGACTGAGAAACCAAGATAGCCCAGTTTTCTTCATATATGTAGGAATAGAAGGGATTGACCCAAATAAAATAAAATAAAATAAAATAAAGAGGAATGAAGAGCTGCTGCTTAACTCTCTATCAAGTTTTATTTGCATTTCAAGATAGTTACCAAAAGATAAACCAATGTTTAATCAAGATAAGTACATCTTAATTTTTTCACAAAGCTGAGGGGCAGGATACATTTAGAATATACCTTTTATTCCTTGGTTCAAGATAAAATTAGTAGATTTTGGTCACTTGGAAAATGACAGCATCATGATCATTATTAGAACAAATCATTCTTGTTTCCAAATTCTAATTAACCCCAGCTGTGTTGATTCAATATGGGCACCATACTCAGATTGAATTTTCACATCTATAGATGAAACTTTTTTTGGAGTTTGTGGATGAGTATGCATAAAAGAGGAGAAAATCCTCATTTGGAAAGTGGGAGTCTGCCCCTGAATCTTAATCACCAGTGCGGTACCTGGCATGGCAATGTACAGCCAGGCTGGTGAGCTGCGCAGCAGTCACGCCTGGGAGTGAACAAGACCCAAATTCACAACCTTTCCAGGCAATGATGAAACCCCAGGTAAGTCCTTATTCCCTCCCCATCACCCACATTCTGCCTCCCACTCTGGACTTCACAACTGCTCCAGTCTAAGCATATTATTTGGACAGATTTGTTTCAAGTAACAGAAAACCCAACTCAAAATAACTGAAGCACAGAGGGTGTTTATCGACTCACGCGGTCTCCCTCACTCTACTGAACTTTCCTCTGCATAGTTTTCATTATCCATCTGGATCTGTCCACAGGAAGCAGAGATGACTATTGGCAGGTCCAGCATCACATGGTTCAGGAGGCAGAGATGACTATTTGCGGATTCAGCATCACATGGTCCAGGAGGCAGAGATAACTATTGGCAGGTCCAGGATCACATGGTTCAGGAAGCAGAGAAGGCTATTAGTGGGTTCAGACTCACATGGTTCAAGAGGTAGAGATGACTACTGGAGGGTCCAGGATCACATGATCCAGAAGGCAGAGATGACTACTAGCGGGTCCAGGATGACATGGTCCAGGACCCAGAGATGGCTACTGGCAGGTCGAGGATCACGTGGTCCAGGAGGCAGAGATGGCTACTGGCAGGTCCAGGATCCCATGGTTCTTAAGTTCTTTCTCCTTTGAGAATATGTGAACTCTCTTTTCCAATGTCCTTGGCAACCACTGAAAGAAGAACTTAAGTGAAGCACCCAGCTCTTGAGGACCAATTGCTGAGCCCGGGAGGGTGGGGTATGCCGCCTGCCTAGCTCCATTTGGCAAAAGAACAGGGGAACAAACACACTTCAGGCAAGTTTTGATGCAGCTATTTGATATCTCAATGATGGGTTCTGTATACCTGGACAGGGAGTGCCCTGAAGGGAAGCTCCACCTTCATTCTTTCTATGGCATCACCTCCAGCCACCCCTGTGCACACCCTGTGGTTGCAAATGGCGAGAGCAGCTCCCATAACTCACATTCTAATGCCACAGCCCCAAACAGAGGAAGAGAGAGGCAGCTCCTTACACCACAGTGTAAGGTGCCTGAGTGGCACCAAGACCCCACCCTTGGTGGAGTCAACTCCACCAAAGGACAAAGATTGAAAATAGGAAAAAGGCAATTACTCAGAGGAAAATATGGAGGATATTGGCAGAAAACAGGGACCAAAGTGCCACCTACCTGGAAGCCACCCATAAATGACCCTCGTAACCTTTCCATGATTTCCTAGTCTGCCAGACTTCTCACAGCCTTGCTCCTGCCCTATCAGCCTCCCTTAATGTCCAGAAAAGCCCCACTTCTGGGTCAACCCAGCCCTCTGCTCTCCTGCTCTGTCTCCTCCAGTGCAGGTTTCACTGGTGGAAGGAACCTTTCCCTAGGCATATGGCTGAATCTCATCCTGGGCTCTCTGGTGACCTTCCTCGTGGCCCAGTCATCATCGTCCATATCCATGTTCATCTCCTCCACCACCTTCTTCACTGGACTTCTTTTATTCAACAGTCAGGAGGACTCACTCACGTCCTGTCAGCCAGGAAGCCATCCACGACATTCTCTCTGTGGCCCTGCCCCTACCCCACTTGTTCCACCTTGCTCTTTCCACCTAGCATCTGACATGCTGTGTGGTCATTGCCTCCTCCTGGATTGGGACCTGCCAGGGTCGGGTGCTAGGTGACTCACACGGGGCTGATGTCCAGAGCAGTGAGGAAGAAATTGCTGTAGGGGCTGTCTCTCTCTCAGGCTGAGGACCTGGGGAGGAGTAGATGCAATAACATTTATAACATTTATAGAATGACCAGCACGGCGCCTGACACAGAGGAAAGCATTGGTCAACAGGAGCTGCTGCTAGTCCAGCTTTGTCACGTGCTATTTCTGGAAGAATGAAATGGAGTTCACCACGCAGAGATGAAAGGAAGGACCTTCCCCATAGAGGGTCAGCCCAGGAGGAAGGGAGCAGGCATGAATGTACCTGGCAGTTGGGGAAAGATGGGAGATTCAGTCATCGAGTTGAGTGTTGCATCTGGAAAGTCCAAAAACCAAGCCTGAGAGTTAACGTAGTACCCGGAGGATCCCGAGATGTAGTTATGTGAGTCTGCATTAATAAAATGATTAAGGAGAATAAGTTACACATGAGGAGTGATCAGCAGTCGCCTGTTCCCAGTGAAGTTGTGTGCTAGCTAGGATAATCAGCTGTATCTTGAGCTTTTCATGGGTCCAGACCTCTAAATCTATTGAGTCGTGTTCTGCTGTCGAACTTAGTGCTCATAGGCTTGGGAGTTACGGTAAAGGAAAAGTAAAGAACTTCTTGTTTTACAAAATCTTTTTCTTGGATCCTCTGTGGTTTGAAACCTGCATTCAATATAACAATATAGGCCTTGTTTTGTCACCCTCTTTCTGAAAACTTTTTATATCTAAAAATAGCTGCTGACAGAATGCAGCTAAAATATTTGGATTATTTCAATCATCATGTGATCATTGCCCTAAACTCAACAGAGTTTGTAAAATCTGACTCCTGTGTTTGTCGCCAGCAAAGCTGTGACAAATCATCATATTATGGTTATTAGGACAAATTCTAATAAATTCTGTGTGACAATAGGACACCCCAGTGATTTATTTTTCTCACCATCAATTATCCTTATAAATTCTAAAGAATAATCTCTGCTTAAGACAGTTTTGTCTTTCCTGCCAAGACAAGAAAGGAACAGCACTATGGATCAGGTAATTGTTAGGCATTTTTATCAGTTTGAAACAATTTACATATCTAACAGAATTTTATAGAGGTGTCTAAAAAATTTATACTCAGGGATGCTACAATAATAAAGTTTTCAGAAGCAGCATTAGCTTTTTACCCCTTTTCATCAAGATGTGAACAGTCTACATTTTCTGGAAGTAGCCATAAGAAGCAATTAGAAGATGAAAATATCCCTCCTATGTTGATAGGATTTTGGCTTGCTGCCAAGATTCCCAACAGTGAATTGACAGCGTTCTTCTTTCCTTTGGAATTCTGATTTTCATTGCTCTCTTGCTGGTCTCAATTTTGACAGCAGAATAATGAGTAATAGAAAAGTTTCATTAATTCTGAAAAGAGATGTCTTGTCATTTGACAATTCTCAGAGAACATTCTTACGATAAGAAGTTGGCACGTAACTGAGGAAAAAGCTCAATTTGTATAGGCTAGGGGATGTGATCACCAGAAAGATGTGGGTGGTAACAGGAAAAAAAAAAAAAAACTTTCTTTTTTCTCCTTTCTATCCCGCAGTGTAAGAGTTTCTGATGGATATGATTTAAAGAAGTGTGCTTACTCCATTGGGCTTCATAGCATTTTCCTGCAAGTGTCAAATGATCATTTTAATCAGGTTACCAGATGGTTCTGTTTCTGCTCAGTCTTCCTGTCTTGTGAGTTTCCATTCTCTTCTACCTGAATTTTGGAGTGTAGATTTTATCCCCCAATAAACATGAAATAGATTTCCTGATGGCCAGTCAGCTGCCGTTGAAAAGTAAAGATAAATCCTACTTTTATTTATTTTTCTTTACCTTTACTTCATTAAGAAATCTATGTGTGGTGTGCTTATCCTGTGCCTCCCACATTTATTTGTGCTTGTGTACAATTGCATATGAATTTTTAAGAGCTCTGAAAGCCATCTGACCAACCAAGAACCAGTGTCTGATGAAGCTTGAACAGGTTTCTTACCCTCAGCCCTATTGACTCTTGCAGAGGAGGGGATAATTCTTTGTTGCTGGGGGCTGCACTGGGCATTGTAGGATGTTTGGCAGCATCCCTGTCGTCTGCCCACAGTCTGCTCCCCTGATTGTGACAACCAAAAGTATCTGCAGATATTGCCAGTGTCCCCTGGGGTGGGGCACAAAATCACCCTACGCTCCATTAAGAACCACTGATTTAAAATTAAGAACCTTTTATGGTGGCTTCTTTAAATCTCCCAGGGAATTCTTTCCCTTATCTCAGTCAGCTGATAGAAGTATTTCCTTTATCAGAGCAGCATAAATCCCACATCAAGAAACAGAGTTTGAAAATGGATATAATCCCCTACATAAAATCTAATTCTGTGAATAATAACTTTCTTTATTTAAAATGTACATTATCAGAAAAAAATTACAGAAATCATTGAAATATGTTGTTCCTTGCAAGGCTGGCTGTCTACTATTTTTCCTTTTAGTGTTTTTCATATTGAAACATGTAAGGGTTTCTGTATATTTTTGTAATCTTATCAACAATATATCCTGGAATTGAATCTCTAATTCCTGAGAGATGATGATAAAGAGATGAGTGAAACAAGAATCTGGAAGAATATTGGTGTTCGAGCAACCATTTAAATAAATAACAGCAGCTGTAATCTTCTTAGTATCAGTAAGTAATCTCAAATAATATAAACTTTGAAAGTTTTACAAAAATGTTAGCCACAAAAGCAATTATATCTTAGTAACCAATTGCTATATGAGTCAGTATAATTGGAGCAGAAGCAATCGTATTTTATATTGAGCTTATTAGTAACAGACAAGGTCCTGGGCAGAGTCTTCAATACCAATAGCATTTCAAAACTGAGAAAATAACATTGGAATTGCACAGATGTATCATGAGCACTCTTTGAGAATGTTCTCTTAAATCATTTTAATGTGCTTTCACATAAAATATCAGACCTTAATTATAATAGCTTGCGTAATTTGCACTATAACTTAGCTAAGATTATAAGAAAAGATCCCAATGCATGATCATTTCTTAGTGATGAAATCAAAAGTGTGGCAACTCTACCAATATGTTGGGAGCCATTGCATTCTGCCAATGAGGCACAGTAAACCCCTTTCCCTTTTCTGTGTCCTGTCTCCCCATTCCATTGTTTCCCCCAAGCTTTCTCATCTGTGATCTCAAGATGCTCATCTGAGGTGACTTCTAGTTTATGTTCTTTATCCTTGCTTTCTGTGTTAGTCCGTTTTCATGCTGCTAATAAAGACATACCCAAGACTGGACAATTTACAAAAGAAAGAGGTTTAATAGACTCAGTTCCACATGGCTGGGGAGGCCACACAATCATGGCGGACGGTGAAAGGCACATCTCACATGGCAGCAGACGAGAGAAAAGAGAGCTTGTGCAGGGAAACTCCCCTTTATAAAACCATCAGATCTTGTGAGACTTATTCACTATCAGGAGAACAGAAAGGGAAAGATCTGCCCCCATGATTCAATTACCTCCCACTGGCTCCCCCCCGCCCCCACAACACATGGGAATTCAGGGAGCTACAACTCAAGATGACATTTGGGTGGGGACACAGCCAAACCGTATCACTTTCCTTCCTCCCTGCCTGCAGAGAACTGCAAAGCCTTCAGGAGAAAGAAGACCCTCCTACTGCAACATACTTAGAACTCAGAGCATGATTCTTGCATGTTTCTTTCTTGAAATGTTGGTACTTGCCAGCCATGTAATCTTATAATTGCCTGGTGTTTGGTCTTAGCAGATACAGATAAACATCCCGTAATAGAAAACGATGTACTTTTTGAGTGAGATGTGTTGTGTTTGTCAGTGTTGGATATGAATACACACATTCTAGAGGCAGCAGACTGGGGGTTTCTCTTTGCTCATGGGATATTATGATTAACTTAATTCCCTGCTTGAGTGCCGAGGAGTCACCTCTTTCACTTTGACGCTTGTGTTTGAAAATATTTTCAAAATTGATTCATCTGTCTCCCTAGACTAAGCAGGATAGTGTCCCACCTGAGTATACTTTAATCGTCTATCGTTTTGGGATTTAGGATCTTGAAGCCTCTCAGAGTCAGAATTTCTGGTGTGTAGGGCAAGTACTTTTAGAAAGGGTCAGAAAGATTCATGTCCATGTGGTAGTTCTATAGACTAGTTGCTTTGCCTTGCAATTGTTTTCTTACAATGTGTTTCTCCTGAATAAAGAAAGCTTAACAGCAAAACAACATCAGAGGGTTTTGTGGTCTAGTTATTTGAGTTCAGGTTAGACCCAGCTTTGCTATACACAAGATAATTTGTTTAGGTGCTAGAAAAAAAATTGGACATTTTTCCAGACACATAAAGTCTAGCTAAGCAGGCCAGATAATAGCCTTCCCACCAAGATTTTTAGACTATGATGTGTTATTTTTTATGTGGTTGAGTGTATGTACTAGTGTGCATTATTAGAATTTATTCAGATACCAGTGATGTTTTGTCTATAAAATAAATCATATGACCAGACTAACTCAAATTTAAAAAGATATCAACTGAAAAACAATAAAAAGAAAAATCTCCAGGATATACCGATCAGTCTTTCACAGACAGTAACATGTTATACATCATCTGGAACTAAAGAGTCATGAGTAATGGAAGGGCAGAGATACAAGAAGTCTGCAAAATTTGAGATAAGATTCTATATCTTAGCCTGGGTTTTGTCTTTACTTTTGGAAACTGCAATGAGTGCATATTTCAGCCACCTGATGCTAAGCATTCACTTGTCCTGTGGAAGCCTGTCCCTTTCAGAAGGATATTCTATGTGACAGACAGATCAGGTTTAAGAAATATACAGATCCTGAGCTGGCATGGGCTGAGTTGAGCTTCAAGAAATGGTAACAAGCCAGTGGATTTGGGAGATTTTTCATTTTAGGTTTTACAACTCTTGCTGACATTAAATTAAGACTTTTGCCATCTTATATAAAGTGTATTCCAGTGATTCAGCTATTCTAACTTAAGAGGAGTGAAGTTGGCCTAAAGTACACAGGGTTGGTTGTTTTTTTTTTTTTAAACATACTTTCAGAATTCTTTTGGTTTTAAGTGACAGAAAACCAACTCAAACTGCTAAAAGAAAAGGTAAAGAGGTTTTGTGCCACATAACTGGGAAGCAAGGTACAACTTGCTTCAGGTGTGGCCTGATCCAGGGGCTCAGAGTGTCATCATGGCTTTGGCTCTCTGGTTGTCTCTTGGTCAGGCTCTCCTGCTATGCTGTATGACAAAAGCCATTGGCATCCACAGATCACACAGTATTAGCTATGGAACTCCAGGGGAAAGGTACCATCTTTCCCAAGTACCTTCTGGAAAGACTTGGTGGTGTCCAAATGGCCTGGCTTCCGTCAGGTGCCTAGCCCCGAGCCAATCCACCCTGGCCAAGAACCTGGGGTTACTCTTGGCAAACGTGGTTCTCATGCCCATTCTTGTGACTGTGGGTGGGTTCCAACCTATCTAATCTACTTAGAATAGCGCAGAGTTGGGTAGTTGTGACAAAGACTGTGAGGCCTGGAAAGCCTGTAATATTTATGATCTGGCCTTTTACAGAAAAAATGTGCTACCCATTTGGTAGGTAAGATAAGCCCGTAAATAGGGCCACCTTCATGAATGTGCAGTCCGAGTGGTCACACAAGGCCTCACAGCTAGAAGGGCCCATGGTTGGTTTAATGCTCTGCTATCACCGTCTTTAAATTCTTAACAATTTATGAACAAAGGTGCCACATTTTCATTTGCGGTCTCTTGAGTTACTCATAGACTAAACGTTGAGGGATGAGAGGGATTTCCCAGAGGAAAATGCCCTGAAGAAAGGGCATGAAGCGGGAATCTGCTTTCTGTTCCATGTGAGTAACAGAATACCTGACCCAGAGTGACTCAGCAATGAGGAGCTTATTGTCTCACAGACACAGTCACCCAGAGGTGGCACTGCTAGGTGAGGCTAATTTAGCAGCTGACAGCACCTGCATCCTGGGCCAGCCTTTCTGCAATTCTCTGGGCTTTCTCCTAGTCACAGGTGATGGAAAGCTCCAGTTCCAAGCATCACATCTTCACCCAACAATGTCTAATGGAGGGGAAAGGGAAGCCATGTTTCCTCCCTTGTATTACGCTTCTTGTTAGGGAAGAAAATGTTTCTAGAAAGTTTCCCAGCAGATCCACTGACTGGAGCTGGCTGCCAGGGGTGGGGAGATTTCCATTTCTAGCCTCTGAAGTAGGAGGTGGCTTCTCCATGAGGAACCAGGGGCTGGAGATAGGAGCTGGGGGTTCAGCAGCCAAAGCATTCGCCACTGGCAGCCTTGCATTGGCAGCTCCTACTGTGAATAATTTGTTGCAGAATTCCTTCAACTCCTGGGTGAACTTCTGGGGACATTGAAAAGATGACTTAGTTTGGTTCACACACACACACACACACACACGCGCGCGCGCGCACTCACTCTGATTTGCTTGATTTCTCCAAGAATACATCTACCACAGAGAGTGAAGTCCACCACAGAGGGTGAAGTCCATCACAGGCAGCCACACTCCCAACACAGAACTGGGCCATAGCACAGTCTCTGTGGGTCACACTCTCACATTGCCCAAAGTTATGAAACTTATTTTTTTAAATAGTTCTGCTAAGCAGTTTCTGAAGAATTTGTGGGAGTAGGAAGGAAAATTTTACCTCAAAAGATATTTGATCAGATCCTGTCAGATAAGCAAAGGGTATTTAGGGTATGTTTGTGAAACATGATTTCTTATCTAAAAATTGAACAGCTCTTCAGTAAAATGGTATTTGATGCTTTGATAGAGTTTATGCCCAAATCATTTTTCTTCCTGACTTCTGTATTTCTGCGTGTTTATGCTTCTATATTTATTCAAAAAGAACGTCTGAAATGTGTAAAACATAATTTTTCTTGGCTGAAGCACCTCCATTCCACACAGGAATTTCACTATACTTGCTTTTTATAAAATAAAACGTCTGTTGCAATATTTACCTTAAATATGATTTTAGTAACAACTGAACCAAGCTATTTCTTCTCCTTCAGACTATAATTCTTTCCAATAGGTGTTGGTAGGAAGGCATAGACATATTAATATGCATGTCAAATAAAGAATACTTTCTAGTTTCTTATAGGAAATTACTACTACAATCCCTATAGATTAAATAAAATGTACACTCTGATTAGTTATTAAGGTAAGAAACTTTCAGTTTAGAAATAAAGGTTTTTTGTGGTTTTTACTGAATTAAAAACCTGACCATCGCTGTCTCCATAATTCATTCTTCCTTCCTTACTCCTTCGCTGATGACAACTAGTTGGGCACCTGAACTTTCACAAAAGATGTCCAGTTAAAAGGAGCCAGTATGGAACTTTGTACACAATTTCCCCTGTATTCTACTATCTGCAACAATGTGAAACTTTTTAATTTTAATTTTTAATTTCAATGTGAAATAAAAAGTCTTGAAAGGAGACATTTTTTTCTTTCGGTGGTTTAAAGATCGAGTCTCACTTTGACCTTCGGAAAAATGTTAGAGCATTTCAGAGACACGTACGTCTGCGAACCTGCAGTGATTTGGGGACTTTATACAACTTGAAGCCACTTGAGTTCTGTAGACACTCAGAGATTATGAGAATTCTGTTGATATGAAGCTCTTTTGCCTCTTGGCCCCGGCAAAATTGTACGTTGTGAGTAGTTTGTATTTTTAGTTGAAGGTTTTGCTTTGGAGTTCAACTGCAATTTTACTTTCGTTGTCATCTTAAATCTGTAATTTTGAGAGAAAGTTTTTAAAAATATCTTCAATCCACTGCAGCAATTATTCTGACTGCAGAGTGACCTTTATCTTCTTCTGGTTAAAGAGAGAGAGAGAGAGAGAGAGAAGTAGTAGAGCATTTTGGGGTTTTTCAAACCCTCGGATTACAGGGTAGGACACCTCAAGATACAAAAGCAAGATTTTCAGACTTCGTAATGTCATTGGATAGTCATTAAATTTATACAAAATTACAGTTCAGTGAACTTAAGGATAGGCTGAAAAAGGTAAAAGTGGTAATAGTCAGAAAGGCTGAAATCTGGAATCAATTAACTGAAAACAAATTAACCAACAATTATGGTATGCCCTGTTTATTTTTCTAAAGATCTTGAAATAAAGCAAAAGTTTTCCACAGGTACTAATAGCTAGAAACCCATGGGAATAAGTTTCGGAGTAGAACTTCCCCACATGGGGTGGATCTCCAGCCACAGTGGAAGAAGAATCGACTGAGATGTTTGGAAGTTTTAATTGCCAAGGCATTAAGACAAGAGTGAATGGAAGTGGACAAGGAGGCCTGGCACTGGTGCTGTACATCCTGTGCGTTGCAGCCCCAGAGCCTTTCCACTGGACGAGCTCTGACCTTGCAAAAAGAAGGCCCGCCCATTCTTTCCCTGGACGTTCTTTATGTGAACGACAACGTTGCTGAACTAGCCTGCTGCCTCTCTCTGGGGCAGGCCTCTCTGCTCGAGGTAGAAGGTCTTGCTCAGAGCCAACACCTCTCTGTTTTTGTTTCTGCCTGGTCTTTCTTTCTATCAATGGGAGCACCTCGGTTCTCTGGGTTCTTACCACTTCCCTTTTTCTTTCTTCATTTCACCGTTGTATCTCCAGGTCTTTGATCCACTCTAAGAATGGCTTCTCAGCTCTGTTCCTTGTCACCACCACTCTCTCATCTGGTGACTACATCATGTCTTCCCTGTACATTGCCAGTTCCCCATCTCCCAGGGCTGCTGTAATGAAGCACCACAAACTGAGTGGCTTCAAACAACAGAAACTCGGTCTCTCGCAGCTCTGGAAGGCAGAAATCCTAAATCCAGGACTTGTGACTTCTGGCAGGGCCACGTTCCCTCCCAAGGCTCTGGGAGGAACCCTTCCTCGCCTCTTCCAGCTTCTGGTGCTTGCCTGGGGTTCCCTGGCGTTTTTGGCTCGTGGCAACAACACTCCAGTCTCTGCCTCCCTTGTCACTTGGCCTTTTCCCCTGTTTCTCTTCTGTATCTCTGTTTCGTCTCATGGCAGCCTCCTCTCTGCGTGCCTGTGTTCAAATTTCCCTCTCCTTGTAAGGCCCACACTACTCCAGTATGACCTCAACTTAGCTTGGTTACGTCTGCAAAGAACCTATTTTTAAATAAAGTCACCATCACAGGTGCCGGGAAGTAGGAGTTAAACGTATCTTTTTGGAAGGACGGTTCAACCCACGGCACACATCATGTTATCCTTTCTCAAATGATCCCTTTTTCTCACTCCGTTGTTCAATAACCATTTGGCCTGTGGAAGAAATTCTGACTACTTTAGCCTGATGCTCATACTCTTTTCCAGCCTGGACAACCCCACCTTTCTAGGATCACGTCCTATTACCTCCCATATGAGAAATTTATGCCCTGCCCAGACTGGTCTACTGTTTCTAGAACATTCCATGTGCCATTTACAATATCTGTGCCTTTGCTTACAGCATCTCTGTTGCTTTGATTTAACCACCACCACCACCCTGCCCCCATCACGTACACAAAATCTAAGTCCTAACAACTCTCCAACGTCCATCTCAAACCACATCCTGGGCTCTTTCTCTAGAGTCTTGGAGACTCCAACCTATTGAGAATCCTCTCTCCTTTGAACATTCTGAACCATTTAGAGCTTCTCATCTGGTGCTTTGTTGCTGCTGATGTTGCTCTTGCCATAAATAGCTAACGTTCCTGGAGAGTTCACTGGGCACCGTAACTGAGCTCTTTGCACACATTATCTTATTGGCACCCCACGGCAGCTCCACAGTGTGGGAACCATTATATCGTGGTGTTGTCGATTAAGATGCTGAGGCTGAGGGAGGCAAATCCCTTGCCCAAGATCTCACCAAGTAGTGGGAGATGGAGACAGGAGTCGTGCTGATTTTTCTGACTCCAAAATTCTGGTTTTTAACCTCCAAATGCTCCTGCTTTTATTGGTGTTGGTTACTGTTCAATTTCATTTTCATAATTAGAGCATAAACTTCCTGAGCCTTGAGACCATACTTGAAGGCATCTGATCGTGTTTGGGGATCAATGTCATGGTTATTAATCTGTTACTCCATTTTCAAAGACAAAAACCATTGAGTTAACTGAAGACCTAGGAAGTCTGGAGTCCTTCCTGCTCCCTCCTAGTGCCCTCAGACCATCCAGTCCCCGTGTGAGCTGCACTTCTTGCCAACCTTAACAGCTTGCACCTGTTCCACCTCATTATGTGGCCCAGGTCAGACCCTGCATGGAAATACCAATTCATAGAATATTCTAATTAATAGAACAGTGAATATTAAAGAGCATCTCGTAGGTGGTAATTGTCTGGTAACTAGTGTGTAAGTCACTGTCCTTCCTTCTGTTGATGGACTATATACATAGGTCATGGTGCGTGTGGAAGACCCCATTGAGTGCCTGTATTTTGTGCCAGTGGGCTTTTGTTTTTGTTAGTCAATCATTTGACCAAAAAGCATTGCTTTGATCAGGTGCACACTGTCTATGTTTGTTAATAGAACAAACCTTAATGCCTTTCTCAAGGTCATGCACAATCTCAATTAGCTAGAGAGACAGGGATAGGATGACTTATTTTAAAAGAATGCATCCTTATTCTTTCATTATCAGGGAATATTACTGACATGTACAGAAACTTTATATGTATTCCATTTGTAATTCTAAATGTTTATTTTTCTCTGATTTAGTAAAATAACTCACTGAAGTCTAAAAATGAAAACCTGGTTTTGTTTAGATGTGTAAGACGGTCCGAGACACACTCTGGGAAGCAGCAGCAGCTTCCCACAGACAGGGTCACATGATGCATGGGGCTGATGACACTTGATGAGCAGAGGTTTATGGGAGCGTTTCTGCGGTAGAATCCCAACGCATTAGCTGGAGGCCAGGAGGGGCTGCGAACTTGACAATATGGCTGAGTCATGGGTAGTCGTTGAAATTGGCTGGTGGCCGTTATGCCTAAAATGACTCATGCACTGCAAGCAGATATGATTGTTGGCATGACTTGAAATGAACACCGGCCATTTCAGCGGGATGGTCAGGCCCGCTGATCTCGATGGTGATTAGGTGGATAAGTTTTCAGCAGGGCTGGGTTGCCTCATCCTCCTGTCATTGTCCAAGGCTTTGAAATCACTTTTTCTTACACTTTACTGAATCATCTAGATAATTGCCCCAAACGAAACCTTCATTCAGGTGGTTAGTCTAAACTTATTGGGGTCTTCAACCTGGTAAGCAGGTAGTTTTAAAGTGAGACTGAGGACTTGACTACATAACTTAAATTCCTTATTCCTAGGGCCCCAAAAGCACAAAGCTCACCATAAAAAGACACAGATGCCCTGAAAGAAATTTCTGGAATCTACAGGCCTTCTGCTCAAGCCTACCTTCCTTACTCTTTGATATCAGATAGTGGTAATAAAATGGGACATATTTCTGATATACTGGGAAAAGTCATTTCTTCCCCTCTTGAAAAATGTTCTCCTCTTTTCTCACCACAGCTGGGAGTTTCTAATATGAATAAAGTGCCAGGAATTTGGCAGTAACAGTATATTCATAAATACACATGAAATTTGGTGGGGTTTAAAGAAAAATAAAATGGAAAGAGCATATTGTCAGGTTTAAGCACAGACCTACCTTGAGATGAAAACTGAGTCTGTTTGTAATGGTTGTTCATTTGCTTTGCAAGGATGCGTGCCAGGCACTCAGCCTCATCCAGAGGTGCAGGCAGAGATCCCCGGCACCCACAGCTGGGTAGGAGCAGCAGGGGAGGTGCTGGATCTCTGTCTTCAGGCCCAGAAACAGAAGCTGCAGGATTCACACGAGCTAAAGGCTACACTGGCCCTGGTTGCACATTTTGCGTCCACAAACCAGATAGCAAATATTTCACTGCAAGAGCCGGTGAAATGCAGAACATATGGCCCCTCCCAATGGCTCCAGGAGCTGGAGACAAATCCAGCATGTGGGTGATGAGACTTGCCGGGCCCTTCTGGTCTCTCTCCTGGTTGTGTAAATTCTGTCGTCTTACACTTCATTAGACCAGAAAAAGGTACAGACCTTCCTGATAGCGTGACCTCCCCTCTGCCATGGCAGGGTTGAGATTCAGTCTTTGAAATGTGTCTACTGATGCCGGAGAGCATGGGCGTCTGCAACGGTGACTGACCCCTCTCCTGTCCTGCATCTGCACCTCCCACAGGGGGCTTTCCAGGGAGGGCCGTGGACTCAAGGGAGGAGAGCAAGGCCCGTAGTGGCTGTCCATCTTGACTGAACACCAGCCCCAACCCATGAGGAGATACCTGGTTTGCATCTTCACGCTTCTTAGGAAACAGTGATGTTAATTTGGAACACATGTCTTTGTGTGGAATGAAGAACTGTAATTTCACATTGAAGCCCCAGTCCCTTCCCTCTCCCATTCCTGCAGTTCACGGAGGTGATGTCACCCCATGCGTGGTGGAGACTTAGGCCTTCCACGTACCACCCGCTGTCTGGGGCTTTCAGGCCTGTGAAGCATTTTCTTGCTTCTTCTCCACTCATAACCTCCCTCCCTTCCCAAAGATGTCCCTACCAGCATCACTTCTCTCTGTCACATGGCCACCTAAGTATCTTTACTTCAGCCTCCAAATTCATTGACTATTTGTTGGGCACCAGTGATATATAAATACCAAATGCAGCCAGGCAGGCTCCTGCATGCCAAACCCAGGTCTGTTTCTCAGGCTTACCTCTGTGTCCTCAGATGCTCAACCATCCGGCCTTCCTTAAATCAGTCATTTAGTTCCCAGCAATGAGAAATTCCCTGACTTCCATTCCATCTTTGTGCTGCTCCTCTTCGGACTCCTGGCTTGGTTGTGCTTCCTCTGCAACCCCAGGAGGGAAGCACACGACTGTCCTCTCCCACAGGGTCACTCACAGTCTTGCTGTGGACCTCCTGTGGTGCACAGCCTCCAGGCTGCATCACCAAAACCCTCAACTTGCCTCCCTTCCGCTCAAGCCTGGGACATGTATCCCGAGCTTGTTCTATGTTCTGGGCACCAGGCTCGGCCTCAGGGATTCGAGGACAGATCAGATGCAGCTGGCTTCTTCCAGAGTTCACCAATGGACTTTGTCCAAAAGATGCCTTGTCACTCCCTGTAGGGGCCCTAGTCAGTGCCCTTTCCAACCAGCTCATCTTTGCTTCGTCATCTCTAAGTCTGTCTTTACAAATAGCTCCTCACCTAGCCATGTCTTCCACACCACCCCTGCCTCCACCTGGGACCGTGTCTTCTTTATCTCAGGTCTGGATTGCACGGCAGATTTCTACTTCTTTCTCTTCTTCCCATCTTAAAGCCACAGCAGCTCCCTCTTACCCAAAATGATGGGTCAAATTTGTCAGCCCGGCTTCCAAGGCCTCTATACCCTAGATCCCCTGCCCTATCTGAATTTTTCCTTTGTCCCCTAGTCTCCCACTGAAGCCAAACGACATTCCCTGATTTTCCCTGACTGACATTTTTGAAAAGTTAAAATCAAATTCCCCACTTTTTTTTTATTTTACAAGAAGCAACAGATGCTCCTTACAGAAAATTACAGAAAGGAAAGGAGGAAATCTTTAAGTATTCATAATCTCACCCACCAGCAACTAACTATAACTAATCAGGCAGTTACCATGAACTATGACTTTTACTACACAAATTTATTTCTGAGCACGTGTATTATGTATTGTAGTTATTTGAGTGGATGAGTTATTTTCTGTCAACCCCAGTTCTTACCCACTCTTGTATCCCACCTAGCATCCAACATGACTCAGCGACATAGAAGGGGCCCAGTAGGTCATTGAGCCAATCAGAGTTGCTCAGTAAATGTGTCTTCAATCAAATGTAGACAAATAAGTTATGTCAAAGCACAAACTTCAGAAAGTTAAAGCCATGGCTCTCACATAAACCTATAGTGAGCATCTGTCAAAGGTTTATGCAGCTGATTGATGAGGGAACCAGCAGGATGCCAAAGCAGGCTCAGGGAGAACAAGGAAGGTTGAGAGAAGCCTGCTAGCTCACATCCAGAACCGGCTCATGTTCTTCCAGGCAATGAAACCATCACTTTAGCGCTTTATCTTTTCTGCCTGACAGATATCACTTGCCATTTCTCAGTCTTCTGCAAGTTAACATCTAACTTTACAGAATCAGGTCCCTAATCAATAGCAAATGGTAAATCAACCCAAATAGCATCCCCTAGAATGAGGGTCTACAAACGTTTTCTGTGAAGGGCCAGTTATTAAACATCTCAGACTTTGCAGACCATGCAGTCTCTGTTGCAGTTACCCCACTCTTTTTGCCACAACACAAAAGCTGCCATAAGCAACACGTTAAGTAGCTGCATTCCTATAAAACTTTATAAGAAACAGGCCCCTGGAGGCCATCCGCTAACCCCTGCCCCACTTAGATGCATTCTAGGCCAGCTTGTGAGACGGTGATCGGGTTTTACTTTGAAAGCAGACATAGTGAGCTTTTCACCTTATTTCCAAGTTTTAGGTAACTTAACAGTTTCATGGACCCCTGTCTTTTAGATATCAGTTCCCAAGTTTATCATATAAATTGTATCATATAAATAGAGTAGTCACATTTAAAAATGGTGTCTAAGAATTCAACAATATTTAAGATTGATACATAATGCAGATTTTTAAAATTGTATTTTTTATTGAAAAATTTAAGAATCATATATATCATATACATGTTGTTTTGAAATATGTATATATTGTTGAAGGGCTTAACTGGTCTAATTAACGTATGTTGGTTTTTGTTTTTGTTCTTGTTTTTTGGGTGGGGGATGGAGTTTTGCTCTTATTGCCCAGGCTGGAGTGCAATGGTGCGATTTGGCTCACTGCAACCTCTGCCTCCCGGGTTCAAGCGATTCTCCTGTCTCAACTTCCCGAGTAGCTGGGATTACAAGCACACACCACCACACCTGGCTAATTTTTCTATTTTTAGTAGAGATGGGGTTTCACCATGTTGGCCAAGCCAATCTCGAACCCCTGATCTGAGGTGATCCACCCACCTGGGCCTCCCAAGGTGCTGGGATTATACACATGAGCCACCACACCTGACCAACATATGTATTATTTCACACATTTTTGTGTGTATGTGGTGAGAACACTTAAAATCTATTCTTTTAGCAATTTTCCAGAATGTGATACACTGGTATTAACTGTAGTTACCATATTGCACAGTAGATCTTGAACTTATTCCTCCTAACCGAAATTTTGTGTCCTTTGACCCACATCTCTCCACCCCCAAGCCCTCCACCCCTGGTAAGCTCTGCTTTTAAGAGTTAACTTTTTAAGATTCTACATATAAAGGAGAACAATATTTAAGGCAGATACGTAATTAGTGCAGATTTTTTAATACTACAATCATGCGACCTTAGCTTAAAGTAACAAGACTATCAAATTCTACCTCACTGCCATAGGCATTCAAGCGTTGCCTGCCAGCAGAATTTTGGGGGCCACATGAGGTCTGATTATCCCGTTGAGACAAAGTTTTGAAGATGTTCCTAGCATTCTGTGTTACATACGTATGTCAACAGACATTATACAAGGGTACGATTACAGGCAAATACAGAAACATTCACTGCAGACCCAGAACCAGGGTTGCAACTTTCTACCCTGAAGCTCTGAATGAGCAATTTTGCTTCCACAAAACCACATTACCCATTAGGCTGAATTAATATCCTTCAATTGAGTGGTCTTGGGTTGGTAATTTACTCTGTATTTCATTTGTGAATTTGTTTTGATTGGTGTGTTATACACATACATTTATATTTCATTTTATTCTTGCATACATTTAAATACTATTGGGATAAAAATATTGTAAGTCAACACCAGGGGTCTCTGAGAATTGGAGACTTTCTCTACGTGTGAGAAATGCTACATTAAATCACGTTTTATTTGTCACTGGCTCAGCCAGATTACCCAAGTCTGCTTCCCGATAAATGGTGAGGTGTACACTTCCCTTTGATTCCTTGCCTTTTATTTGTCTCAGAAAGCTTAAAGGATTCTTCTCTAGTCTGCACACAGGTGGGCTGACAGTGTCCAGAAAGCTTTTTTTTTTTTTTTTTTTTTTTGAGCATATGAACTTATTTGATGTCTGTGACTGCTGGCAAGGGACAGAAGCACCGAGGATATTTAGTTGTTTGAAACTGAGCCACTCCAAAGTTTGATTTAACATTTACTTACATAACACGCTGTATTTAAAGTCTTATGTATATTTTTGATTATCTTCTCCTAATAAGCACCTGGAGCGTTTCTTGAATGGTGCTCTCTTCATTTCACAAGTGTAACTTTTCCAGGAAGAACATCACTGCTTCCAACGCATTTCAGGCTGTACAACAGCAGTCTCTCTGTTTCCAAATCAACCCCTCAACTTTGGTTTCTCATATCAGGCCTCTCTCACATGTTTATTTTATTTTATTTTATTTTATTTTATTTTATTTTATTTCATTTTATTTCATGAGACAGAGTCTCACTCGGTTGCCCAGGCTGGAGTGCAATGACATGAGCTCACTACAACTTCTGCCTCCCGAATTCAAGAGATTCTCCTGCCTCAGCCTACCGAGTAGCTGGGACTACAGGCGCACGCCACCACATGCAGCTAATTTTTGTATTTTTAGTAGAGGTGGGATTTTGCCATGTTGGCCAGGCTGGTCTCGAACCCCTGACCTCATGTGATCCACTCGCTTCAGCTTCCCAAAGTTCTGGGATTACAGGCGTGAGCCACCGCACCTGGCCCTCTCTCATATGTTTAAAAGGTGTGATAATGCCATTGTTGTTTCTTTATCTTTTGAAAGAAAGAATCTACCCCTTCTCTGGGTTTCATAGCTTAGTTTTATTTAAAGTGCCCAGTTTAAACCACACAATAAATTAATCCAGTAAGCACATTTCTCTAATGTATTTGACCAGTGGCAGGAATCAAATAGATTTTGTCCATCATTGCCATCAGATTACAGTGACTTTGCAAATTAAGCAAAACCTTAACTGTCATACTGGTTACCTGAGTTCATTGTCTTCTGGAAATGTTTATTTAGTCTTGTCTATTGCATATGGTTTGTCTTTTTTTTTTTTTTTTTTTTTTTTTTTTTGAGATGGAGTCTCGCTCTGTCGCCTAGGCTGGAGTTCAGTGGCACAATCTCGGCTCACTGCAACCTCTGCCTTCTGGGTTCAAGTGATTCTCTTGCCTCAGCCTCCTGAATAGCCAAGACCACAGGCACAGGCCATCACACCCGGCTAATTTTTTATATTTCTAGTAGAGACGGGGTTTCACCATGTTAGCCAGGATGGTCTTGATCTCCTGACCTTGTGATCCACCCACCTTGGTCTTCCAAAGTGCTGGGATTACAGGCATGAGCCACTGCGCCCAGAGGTCTGTCCTTTTCAAAAAGATTAAAAAATTAAAAATCCATTACAATGCCCCTTTGGCAAAGGCTGGCGACTCTCTCCCATTGGAGTAAGCTGAATGTTTCTGCCTCTTGCAGAATTACATGGTAGAAACCCGCAGCTCTAGACCAGTCAAGGCCATTTGAGGAGGACCAGATAGTCACATGCTGAAATGGGTCTTTGGCATATCTTTCAAAATTTCACTGGCCTCCATGCTTTAATTTGATCTTTTCAAGTATTCTTTAACCACTTCAGAAGTTTTGTAATCAACTGGTAGTGAAGGACATTTTCAAAATATTCCCGAGGGGGATCCCATCTACTGAAGTACAAACAGAGATTTAGAATTGTAAGTTAAGTATGTGCGATGGATGAATATAGACATCTTTGTGGTTGATTCCCATGTCACATTTCTCTTGGAATCCTGTTATTCTTCTTTCTGTGTAATAATGTGGTCATTGGCTGACACAAGGAGTAACTAAAGATATATTTTATGAACAAATCTGTGTTTATTACTCCCATTGAACATAAGCCTTTGGAAGGTAAAGCTGATGTCCCTGTGTCCCTTTGCACTCAGGACAGGGGTGCCTCCAGCAGACAGGGTGCTCAATGTATGTTTGTTGTTAGTAATAACTATAACTTATTGGGTGATGGCCATTATTTACTATGTACCAGGCACTATTCTACACATTTTATGTATGTATATTAACTCATGCAGTTCTCATAAGGACCACAAAAAGATTGTCCTCATTTTTAAAATGAAAAAAGCAGTCACAGAGAAGTTAAGCAACTTTCCCAAAGGCACATAGCTAGTGATATGGTTTGGATCTGTGTCCCCACCCAAATCTTATGTCAAATTGTAATCCCCAACTTGGAGGTGGAGACTAGTGGGAGGTGATTGGATGGGGCCGGGGGCAGACTTTCCCCTTGGTGCTGTTCTTGTGATAGTGAATAAGTGCTCACCAGATCAGGTTTAAAAGTGTGTAGCCCTCCCCATTCTCTCTCTTCCTCATCCAGCCATGTAAGACGTGCCTGCTTCCCCCTCACCTTCTGCCAGGGTTGTAAGTTTTCTGAGGCCTCCCAGCCATGCTTCCTGTACAGCCTGTAGAACCATGAGCCAATTAAACCTATTTTCTTTATAAATTATCCAGTCTCAGGCATTTCTTTATAGCAGTGTGAGAGTGGACTAATAGAGCTAGTTATTAGTAGAGCCAAGATTTAAATTCGAGCTTGCTGGCTCCCGAGTTCTACTTTCTCAAACCCTATGTTAAGCTATTGTCCACAGCATTCAACATTGTTGAATTATCTTTGTCAACTAACCTTGGAAGTCTTAAATTTTGTCCTAATCCTGTCCCCTATTCCCCCCACCTTAGTCTTCTCCATCACTCAAACCAGAACATTAGGAATCCTCTCTTTCCTTACCCACCCCCTCTGATCCATCTCCTTCTATACACATCAATCCTGAATCCATCCAGCTCCTCCTTCCCAGTGACCCTGCGCTGAACCAGTCCAAACCATCATCACCTTTCATCTGGACTCATGCGGTCACCTGCTGACTTCCTCCAGGCTTCCCCTCCTGCTGCTCACCCCCATCTATCCTCCACTCAGCAGCTGGAAGGATTAACGCATAAACTAAACAATGGTAATCCTGGTTTATAACCCCATAAAGGCTCCTCATAGACTGGGCCCGGTGACTCAATCCCAGCACTTTGAGAGGCTGAGGCAGGCAGATCACTTGAGGGCAGGAGTTCAATACCAGCCTGACTAACATGGCAAAACTCCATCTCTACTAAAAATACAAAAATTAGCCGGGCGTGGTGGCAGGCGCCTGTAATCCCAGCTACTCAGAAGGCTGAGGCATGAGAATCACTTGGACCCAGGAGGCGGAGGTTGCAGTGAGCAGAGATTGTGCTACTGCACTCCAGCCTGGGTGACAGAGCAAGACTCTGTCTGAAAAAAAAAAAAAAAAAAAAAAAAAAAAAGGACAAAACTCCTCATGGCAACTCAAACAAAACCCAAACTCTCCCAGACTCTTCACCCTGGCATTTGCCTGGCCTGTCAACCTCTCCAGCATTATCTTGTGCCTCCCACCTGCTGCGTGCTCTAACCCCACTATCTTATTTCTATTCCTGGGCTGCTCTGCTCTTTCCTGCCTCTGCCCTGTGTGGGAACATTCCTCCCCAAACCTGTCCACAAGGCCAGCACCTTCCAGCTTTGCTCTCAGCCACCATAGCATCACTTCAAAGAGGTCTGTTCCTCACCACCTTCTCATTTTCAGTCTCCCATTAGTGTGTTTGTCGCTTTCATAGACAAAACAGCACAGGCTGTAATGTACACTCTTCACGTTTTGTCTGCTTCCCACCAGACTTTGAACCTCCCAAAGGGCAGAAGCATACACATGAATTTTGGTGAAATTCCCAGCCTCCAGCACAGCTGGCTGGAGGCTTTTGCTAAATGAATGAATTGGGGCCGGGTGTGGTGTCTCATGCCTGTAATCCCACCACTTTGGGAAGCAGAGGCAGGTGGACTACTTGAGGTCAGGAGTTTGAGACCAGCCTGGCCAACATGGTGAAACCCATCTCTACTAAGAATACAAAAGTTAGCCAGGTGTGGTGGTGCAAGAGTAGTTGAGTAATCCCAACTACTCAGGAGCCAGAGGCGGGAGAATTGCTTGAACCCAGAAGTGGAGGTTGCAGTGAGCTGAGATCATGCCACTGCACTCCAGGCTGGGTAACAGAGTGAGACTCCGTCTAAAAAAAAAAGAAAAAAAAAAAGAGTGAATTGGGCAGATGTAGAAGCAGGCACGCTACACGCTAGTCCCCTCTGCCCCAACCTGAGAAGGCTGGATAGACAGATGGGATGTCTCAACAGGTGGGGAAGCCTGGCCCCGGTCCTTAGTGACTGCCTGCCATCGAGGCTGCACTCAGCACAACCATTTGGAAGAGTGAGCTCAGGATCCCATTCACAATGCTGGGTCTTCAGTGACCATCTTCTGAAAAGAGACAAACGTCTACAGGATTAAGAACTGAGTGATGATGTGCACCTGAGATACAGAGTGAAATGAGCTGCTGCACACACGGCCTAGGGAGTCCGAGGGTTGGGGATTACCGCAATGCCGTCTTCAGGAAGGTTCTGCAGGAGGCTCAGCCTTGCAGAGCAGAGGCTGGACATATGAAAGATCAAGCAGAGAGAAGGGAGCCACTGAGGCGAGGGACAGCTTGTGGGGCTTAAAGCATGGGCTCCACAGCAAGCCTGCCTGCAGGTAGATTCCGGTGCCCCTGAGTGCCAGCTCTGTAGCCCAGGACAGGGAGCCCAATCTGTCCTCACTTTGTCATCTGTAAAGTGGGAATCACAACAGTATCTACCCATAGCTTATTTTGAGGCATAAACATGGCAATGCATGTTTAGCACATGCCTGGCACGTAGTCAGCACTCAAAAAACAGTCCTAAGAGTTGGTGGTATCCGTAGAGTAGAGCAGCCGTACTTGTGGCTGCTGTTGTCCTGATGATAAATGAGGATAGAACAAAGGACAAGGAAGAAGAGGAGTTGGAAGCTGACTCTGGCATTTGAAGCCCTTCACATTCTGGCCCCAACTGGTCCTTTTGCCTCAGTCCTTCCTACACTCCCCACCGTATACCCCATTCTTCATCCCCACTGAACTTCTCCCCATTCCTGGAATGTTCCATGCTCTTTCCTGCTTTGGTTTCTTTCCACGTGCTGTTCCCACTGTCTAAACACCTTGCTCGGTTTTCTATGCCTGGTGAGCCCTTGTCCTTCATCATGATCCTTCTCTATGCAACTTGGTCTGTGGGACCTTCCTTCATTCCTTAAGTCCAGGGCTCCTTCTTCAGTGCTCCTAAAGCTCTCATTGTATCTGCATTTGTCTCCCTACTCTAGGATGTGGGCTTCTTGAGAAAAGGGACGTTTGTGCAACAGGGCTCACACTGCACCTGATGCTTAGAACATGTTCATGGATGGATGGATGGTGAATGGATAGATGGATGGTGAATAGATGGATGATGAATGGATGGGTGGATAATAAATAGATGATGCATGGATGAGTGATGGACAGATAGATGAATGAAAGGATGAAGGATGGGCGACAAATAGATGAATGGATTATGGATGGATGATTGATGGATGGATGATAAATGGCTTGATGGGGGATGGATGGATGAAAGGATGATGGATAGATGGATGGATAAATGGATAAATAATGAATGATTAATTGTAATAGTTAAAATGCAATTGAAAAAAAGATTCCCAAAGGTAAGATGAGGGGATTAAAGGGCGTACAAAGATATGTCATGGGATCAAATAAAAGAAAAATGATTCCACTCACAGAAGATGCCTGTGACTGATTAAGTTCCCTGAAATTAGGAAATAAGAATGCTATCTAACACTGAGCTGTAAGTTCACACACAGACAAGGCCTTTGTTTGTTTTCTTCCTTGTGCCCACCAAATGCATGAGGCATAATAGGTTTAAAGTAACCCTGAAGGAAAAAAACAGATGGACCATTCTGCAGGTGCCCCACTCAGTGAGGTTGGAAAAGAAGGAATTTCGATGCACGTTTTATGTGTGGGCAACAGAATGAGACCACACTGAGTCTTGAAGGCTTTTTCAACAGTGATGTGGCCAAAGAATTAGAGCACACCCAGTGGTACACATGGAGTCTAGCAAAGGTCCACAGAAACTCAGGGGCTTTGCTTTGAGTTGTAAAAGCTTAGATTCCACTTTGAGGCTTTGGACTCTGCTCTCAACATATTTTTGCCCTTATGAGCCAGACTTGTCAGAGGAAAGAAGCTGACATGGGAACCTGAGTTGGGAGGAAGAGGACAGCAAACAGTGAGAACAAGCTGCAGTGTCCAGAAGTTCTTTGTCACATAGGGTGGACTGGGCTGTCATTGCCCCTTCACAGCCTGGCTTTCCAGTGGCCTCTCCTGGGAACCTGCACTTCCTCTTTGCAGATCCCTTAGGTGTCTGATTAGCCAGCACTCTGACCTAAAGCAGACATGTGCTTCTTTCTTGGATGCTCATCTCACACTCCCAGTCATCTGCAGGAATGTCAGGCTCAGGGGACAGCGTCATCTGGTACTCAGAGTAGCATGTGATGCCATGTGCACATTTACCCTGGACCTAGTGGAACATAAGGAGGTCTTCAAAACTCCTTTCATTTTAGCTCATCAAGTAATTCCAGCAAGATATTAAAACCTGTGCACTGTGGCCAGCGTGCTGTGCCTTGCATATTCCCACCTGGTGCCCTCTCTGTGCCCACCCTGCAGCTCCGCCTCTTCCTTTAGACAGCCTCTGTGAAGTCACTTTGAAGTAGCCTAGGGTTGGATTGCCTTAACACCACCCTCTAGGGGCAGGAGCAATGTAGCCCCAGGGGTGGAGTTTCCAGCCAGGGCATCCCACAACACCGACCTGGGCTCCCACCTCATGATGACTCCAGACCTGAGCCTTCTGCCTACAGACATCAAATACAGCCACTTGCTGGGCACCCCGGCGCCTGTGTGTCAGCATTTTGATTTCCTTGGCTTTAAGAAGAAGCTAGAAGGAAGGTTGAAATCATTTACTGAAATGCCCCCAGCAGCAAAAAGCCGCTTGGTATTTTATTTGCAACATTAAATTTGTTTTTTTTTTATTTCATTTCCTTCACAGTTGGGGAGAACTTAAAAAACAGAGGTAATAAGAACAATAAAAATCATGCAGAGACGATCAGAGTGGACAAGTCCTCAGAGGATGCCTGTCCTGTATTGTATCTGTATTTTAAGAAGAAGTATGAAAGTTTTACTGATGTAGTAATTCCCACGATACAGAGATTTTTATATATAAACAGCACCTAAACGTTGGAATGAAAGAAGAAATTAGTTACTCTGTCATTCATGTAATTAGCTTAAAACTGGGGCAGAGAGGAGCTGCAAGACAGTGAAAGACACAGGGGAAGACCATGCAATTTGGAATCCAAAGTTGGAGATTGATCTAGTTAGTGACTGTGTGTCCTCAGGAAAGCATATTTGCTCATGATGACTCAGATTCCCCATCTATAAAACAAAGATGGTAGTGCCTGCTTCCCAGAGCTGCTTGAGAGATCAAAGAAAAATAATATGGATGAAAGTGTTGTTCGCTGTCCATCCTGCAGAAATGTCAATTTCACAAGAAACTTAAAAGTCATCTTCTGTCCATCCGCGATGCATTCTGCTTCTTCCAGCCCCGGCCACCTCTGTCATTGGTCTTCTCTGCTCTTGATGACCTGCCTCTTGCCCCCTCCCTAAGGCTCCAGCCCCTTCCTGTTGTCTGCTGGTCCAGACACTGTGCGATTCCTGCCCCCCTCTATGGCCCACTGCCCCCACACTCAGCCAAATGTCACACAGAATGGCCTTTTCCATCTTCCCATTCATCCCCATGTCCCTAGAACTACAAAATTGAGTGCAGAAATAAATGACCTTTGTTCAAGTGAATACAGTGTGTTGGGCTGAACTTTTCCCTGGGACTCAGATGCTGCTCCCTTGTTTGAGGAGTTGGAGTGATAGCTCCAAGGGAGGCCAAAGCTCTTCTATTCAGATTACTGCCCAGCCAGGCAGACCCAGACAGAAATTTTCCTTCAACCAAGCACCACATTGCTCCACATTGCTGTTCTCCGGCAATAGACTCTCACTTTTTCTTCCTTATTGGCTAAATGGTCCTCTCAAAGGTCACAGTTGCTAAGTATATTGATCGATAGGGTTTTTCTGCCCCGCGGGGATTACAACATGGTAAGCCTAGTGACTGAACACTGCACACTGTCCAGTTAGAAGGTAGCAGTCAAGGAAGACACAGAGATGGGTTTTCTGAAGCATCCCCACCGGCTCCTGCTAACGGGCACCCTTGCCACAACCCTTGGGGACACAGGACAGGCACAGTCCCCTCTCTTAGTGCTTTAGCTCTCATTGGCCTGAGTGGTTGTCATTCCGGATAGAGGTCAGTGACTTCTAGCAACAGCACAAGTCTAGACAGAACATTTAAACAAAATATCATCAAACTTTGGAATTACAAGTGACGTTTTTGGTCATCTAGTTCATTTCCCTGGCTAATCTTCAGATATTTTTGAAAACATTCCCTCAGGAGTTGATTCATAACTGGGGCCAGGAGAATGTGCTCTCGTTTGAGATGGTCTGTTTCCTGAGACAGTCATGATGATGGTAAAATTATTGCTTGCATTGGGCTGCCCAGGCCGGTGTAGCTCCAGCCACTGTGCATTGGTCTGCTCTTTCTCACTCAAATCATCTCTGTTTCTCTAATTGCTCCCCATGGGTGGTGTGTCTTACTCTCTTGCCATCCTAGATGTTGTCCCCCAAATGCACTGTTGCTTGTCAAACTCCATCTTTTGGGAAGCTTTTTTGCTATAGTTTCCACTTGTAATCTCACCCATTAAGCATATAATAGACCACAATTGGCCCCATTATGTACTTTCTAAAAATTACTTTCCCTCTATCCAAAAAAAAAAACAGATGTTAACAGAAATCAAGATATTCCAGCAACCCTTGACTCTTGCAAAGTGGGAGCATTGTGTTCAGAAAAGGTTGCTGTCATTTGCCCCTCTAAGATGATCAGAGTCATTTCACTAAGGCTATAGGGCATAGCCCTGTGTGGCAAAGAGAAATTCCACAAAAGAAAGCTGAAGAGTAAGTTCAGACCCTTTTTATTTTACACCATTGTTAAAAAATGAAAATATGTTTGAAAGATGCAATGCAATAGCAACGTCTTTCTTTCTTCATGGACCTCAAAAGGAAAGAATTCTGTGACTTAGATGAAGCAACAACCCCACAGCATTTGTTACCCACAGAGGTAAGCCAGGACTCAGCTTTGTGCTACAAAATCCAGACCATGTGCAAGACGGTCCTGAAAGGATATATGGCCCCGAAAGAGAGAAAAGATGAAACTCCAACCCGTGCTTTCATTAGATGGGTAGGTTTAATCCAATAAGAGATCACGGTCAGGGTGCCATGTTGGCTTGGTCTCTAAATCCATCAGGATGTGCCCTTTCCACCTCAGTTTTCCCCACACAGGATGGTGATGGTCACTAAAGTTTTGATTCCAGTCCTCATGGAGTCCCGAAGAAATAAGGCAGGGCTCGTGACGTCCTCGTACCCTTGTTGTACACTTGCAGAGGGAAAGGCAGGATTTGAACTCTGGTCCTCTCAGGTGGATCTTGTGTATGTTCTGCTGCTGTGTGCTGGGGTTCATTTTTCCTGCAACATGGTTGTCAACAGACCAAGCACAAACACAAGAGACAGAACTGAAGCGTGGCAGCCGTCGGAAAGGTCATCAGGTTGTGAAGGTGCCCAAATACTAAATTTTGACAAAACCATGAAAAATTGAACTTTAGCACTGAATCCCTTAATTCTAGTCTAGAAAATGCCATCTGCAATTTGCAAAATACGGCACAGCTTTTGCCACTTCATCATAAGAATTGGAGTACTTAAGTCTAAATAAATTATATTTGGAAGACTAATGTACTAATGAAGGTTTAAGCATGAAATCCAAGCAGGATTAACAAGCTTTGCGCCATATTAAAAATTTGAGGTCACTTTTATGTAACACTCAAGAGCTGGGGGCTTTCTGCTGAGCATTCTTTTATTACTTATGAAAAATAATAAAACCTATGAGAGGTTAATTTGCTCATATTAATGTTATCTAAAAGTTGCTGATATTACAAAACCGAATGTAACGGCACCGAAATATCACTTTGCATTTCACTTTTATCTGGTATTTCAATTCTGATATGCTCTGGATTGACACTGGGAAGACCCAAGGTACTGGGGGAGAAGAAGGTGCTGAGTGCTTCTTGGAAGGGGCTGAAATATTTCTGCTTTCAATGGGACACAGTCTTGGTTCTGGTACACATTTGGTAGGACTAGGTCCAGATTCCTTGGCTCAGAGTTATGACGTTATTAGATATTTCACACTTTTTTGAAGAAAATCAAGTAAAATATAAGGATCATAATAATGTAAGAAAAGATTATTAGATATTTCATTGTGTTACATAAACATTTATTAAGTGTGGACTTAGTTTTTAGTGTTCGTCACAGAATTCAGTAATAGATTCTTCTGCAGTTACACGGAAATCGCCATTGACATCTCCGTGTTTGGATTTCAAAACCTTCTATAATTTACTCACTTTTCCATCCATTCATGACATATCAGTGGGTGCCCATTTTGTGGCTCTAGGAGAAAAGATGTCACAGGCTCCTGTGGTTGTACTTTGGGGAAAGATGAAGCCATGACTCTTTATTACTGTCATACTCAAAGCACTTAGGATAATGTGTGGGAACAGAGGAGACATCCAAAAAACATTTATATGAATTAAGAATTTTATTTTAGAAGTGCGGACGACATGTTGACTTATCAGCTATGCCTTCAAAAAGCCTGCACTTCACCACTTGCCCCAGATGGCTGTTTCACCTGTTCTGCTTTTCCAGGAAGGTGTGTAAATGGCATGGCAGGAGGTGAAGCTCACCTGTCTGCAGTAGCCATCCTGGGACTGGGGCGAGGTGTTTTACAATGTGACGCCCTGCTCGCACACGGGTGGTGTTCTAGTGCAGTGGTCCCCAACCCTTCTAGCACCAGGGACCAGTTTTGTGGAAGACACTTTTTCCATGGAATGGGGTTGAGGGGGTGGTTTGGGGATGATTCAAGCTTATTACATTTATTATGCACTTTATTTCTATTATTATTACGTTGTAATATATAATGAAATAATTATACAACTCATAATATGTAGAATCAGCGGGAGCCCTGAGCTTGTTTTCCTGTAACTAGACGGTCCCATCTGGGGGTGATGGGAAGCAGTGACAGATCACCAGGCCTTAGGTTCTCGTAAGGAACATGCAACCTAGATCCCTCGCATGCACAGTTCACATTAGGGTTCAAACTCTTGTGAGAATCTAGTGCTTCTTCTGATCTGACAGGAGTTGGAGCTCTGGCAGTAATGTAAGCAATGAGGAGTGGCTGTAAATACAGATGAAGCTTCACTCACCTCCTGCTGTGTGGCCCAGTTCCTAACAGGCCACGGACAGGTATCGGTCTGTGGCCCGGGGGTTTGGGACCCCTGTTCTAGTGGATTGCACGCTTGCGTGCCAGGAGGCGGGAAAATTAACTCTTCTTATGTTTATGTAAATCCCCATAGTCCCGAGAATTAGACTGGGGGTCATCCAAGTAGAAGAGACGCTAGGGACGCAAAACCTTCTGCTACACTCCTCAAGCCCACCTCCACTGACCTCACGGATGTTTATTTCTGCCCCACCATGATCAATATTTGCTTTGAATCCCCGCAGCAACTTACATGAAATCTGGGCTCTTCACATCCTGGCACAGGCTCTCTCTCTCTCTCATGTGCCTGATAAGTCCTATACCTCCAGTGACATTTTAAACTTCCCCAAGGCAGAATCTGCTATTTTCATGCTTTTACGTCTTTTGTCTACAAAGGATACTTTGAAAAGATCAAGAATTTAATAAACTTTCATTAAATAAGTGAACACATCCAGAAGAAAAATTTATAGTGAGTGTTTTTTTTGTTTGTTTGTTTTGCTGGACAAATCTTGGTCCCTGGTTAAGGAAATTCCATTTGTACGAGACTATAAATGTGTTTTTAGTCCCTTAATGTTTTTTATTAGATGTCTTTATGTCTTAGATACTGCAAATAAGTATGCTGTGCTGTGATAGATATCTGGCCCTCAACATCAGACTTCTGATTGTACCACATACTCCCTCTACATGTTCATGTTTTTGGTATATAATTCTGACAAGGCATCTCAAAGGAAACTCACCAGCCACCAGGCAGAGGGGCACCTGGCAGCAGGGCCGCTGTTACCTGGCGTGCCATACGTCAGTGGTTACTTCCTGGGATGCACTGCGTTGCCGGTGCTGTGTGAGGGTGAACTTCCATCTTTTATTTGTTTCCCTAATCATGTGCTTTACGTGTCTTCTGAAGGATGTCCTCTGCTACCATCTGAGAAACAAAGGCATTGTGTAGGCAGCAGACTAATGGATGCTGACCGGGCCATGCAATTAAAGACCCCAGAAATCATGTAATCTCCCGGTGGATCTCAGCTCCCTCCACACCAGGAGGGGCTCCTGCGGCTATTGGTCGGTCCAGAAGGACTGCTGCCAAAGGCCTGATCTTCTGACTGTCAACAGCTGGCTTGCTTGCAGAAGAAGTGGTGTAATGCCAGTGAAGGCAAACACAAAGCTGCAATTTTAACCAACTGAGAAATGGAGGTGGAATCCCACAGTATGCCTCTCTTCTGCCTCTCTCCTTCCTCTGAAGGTTGTTCTTTCATTCGCTTGTTTCATTTGTCTTTCACTGCCCAAGACGGCACCTGACACTTAGCAGGCTCGTAATTAATGTTTCTTGAGTGGCTGGGTGGCTGAATGTGTGGATGGCTGGGTGGGTGGACAGATATGTACACAGATACTATACTTATGAAATAGTAATAATCACAAATTGAGTAGGACATGGTATCATGTAATATATATCAGTATAACTATAAAACTATCAATATAATTATTGTAATTATTTTGAGGCATTCATAAAGCTATGATCAAAATCCCTGTGTAGGCTTGGCGTGATGGCTCATGCCTATAATCCCAGCACTTTGGAAAACCGAGGGTGTTGGATCACTTGAGGTCAGGAGTTGGAGGTCAGCCTCGCCAACATGGTGAAACCCCATCTCTACTAAAAATACAAAAATTAGCTGAGCATGGTGGTATGTGCCTGTAGTCCTAGCTACTCAGGAGGCTGAGGCAAGAGAATTGCTTGAACCCAGGAGGCGGAGGTTGCAGTGAGCCAAGATCATGCCACTGCACTCCAGCCTGGGCAACAGAGGGAGACTGTGTCTCAAAAAAAAAAAAAAAAATCCCTATGTAGCACAAGCTGCTTTTATATCTGCTAGATTCTTTATTAGTTATTTATGTTAATCAGCTAGTATAACATTGTCCATGAAATAGCATTGACTGTTGAAATTATCAGGCTAAAAGCAATATCTGAACTTTCCTCCTTCAGACTTGTACTTCTTCCTCCTCTAGAATGTGTGTGGCTGATTGTTAAATAATGAAAGTGTATTAGTATAATTGCAGTAACGATGGCCCTCTCTCCAGAAGCACAGTGCCACGGTGGGAAGTGAAAATCAACAAAATAACAAATTTGGTGTTCATTAACTTCCTTTCTAAGAAGCTTCTTTGTACGTGATAAGGTTTTGTAATTGAAGAGGGAAAAGGATCGATAACTTCCAATGCAAAAGCAAATTAAAACTTCATAAATATTTATCTGAGGAAAATAGGGCACTTCTGCTGCTTGGTTTTAAATCCTTGTGAAACAGGTGCTAGACAGACAGACACTGGGGCTTATCTTTTTTTTAGAAAAAATAAAAGATGCATACTTTTGGAATTATCAAGCTTACCTTTTACAGTCAGGTTTCTCGTACTGTCTTCGTTTAACATTTCAATGCTTTTTCATGAGCATAGCAATAAACGTTACATGCCACCCACGTACAGAGATCACATGAACACACGTGAGTACCGAATCAACCTCATGGCTCCTGAGGTCGGTTGCTGGGGGGCCCCTCCAGAATCACAGAGCCTGGCTCTCGAGCTCTTGAATGCAGAATACTCGGAAAGGTCTTCCTTGCTGTTGCTCAGACCTTGACCTCTGCAGTCAGAAAGCTCGGATTCAAACCTTAATCCGGCTGGTTACTAAGCGGATGACCTTCCGGACATTCTTGATCTGCGTTCATCTTCATGTATAAATTTGGATATTAATAGTACCTGGGGTTGTTGGAAGATTAAAAACTCCTTAATACAGTGCCTGGGACATGGCCATCATCCCAAATAATTACTGTTATTTCTGATGATATTGTCTGTATTGTATCAATATTATATGGATGGGTATTGTATGGACCTTGTAGCCTAAATAATAGTTTTCTTTGAAGAATACGTTGGGTTTTTTGCATTGGTTTATTGTAAAAATTGGGAAAGACCTTCTTTGAAGGCAAACAAGAAGACTTAGGAGAAGCATTGGTGTGCGGTCACCACATCCAGGAAGCCGTCCTTAGCTCTCACTCCCGTCTCTATTCTGCCTGCCTAGTGACAGCCGACTACTTCCTCTTTCAACCTTGCATGCCATGCATGAACTGCTACCCCAGCATCAATAACTATTTATTTATACTTTCTTACCTCTTGATCACCCACACGAGACCAGAAGGACCATGGAGTATGTGAACCATGGTCTAACCCATGTTGGTTTCCCCAGTACCCAGCCTGGCATTTATCGGCACTCAGTGTTTATTGAATTAATTAACAAATTAATCCAAGATCACCTACATAATGTTGAACATAGTCAAAAGACAGGCAGGTAGTACCTGTGGCTGAGTAACATTTTTTAGCATCCAAAAGGTATGACCCATTTTTCTTCACAAGGGCAAAACAGTTCTAAATTGCATGAACTTTCTCTCTAGAATTGACTTTGTTTTATCAGAGTGGCCATTACCACTCTTGGTGGAAGAAATAGAAATTTGGTTCTGACCAATCAGACCAGCTCATTTTGAGCCCAATGTGTAAAGAAAGTGGTGCCGATTGATTGTATCCTGTGGGATGACTTGATTGCAAACACAAGAAGCCAGAATTGAAACAGACTGAAAGCACAGTTACCTGCAGCGGCTCTAATGCTAACTACAGAGGTGCCAGAGCAAACAGCAGAGGGGGAAGAGGAGCAGCTAACCCGCTTCACTTAACCAATATTTACGAAAACTTTGGGCACAGCTGATGGGAGATTCCCACACACTCCGCTTTTGTTCATGAAATAAACTACAGTCACGTTGATAGGGACTGCTTGAGTGCTTGAGTGGATATTTTCTTTTTCTTCTTTTTTTTTTCTTTCTTTTTTTAAGATAAGAGTCTCACTGTGTTGCCCAAGCTGGAGTGCAGTGGCACAATCTTGGCTCACCGCAGCCTCCGCCTCCTGGGTTCAAGCAATTCTCCTGCCTCAGCCTCTCGAGTAGCTGGGGTTATAGGCATGCACCACCACACCTGGCTAATTTTTGTATTTTTAATAGAGATGGGGTTTCACCACGTTGGCCAGGCTGGTCTTGAACTCCTGACCTCAGGTGAACCACCCACCTCGGCCTCCTAAAGTGCTGGGATTACAGGCGTGAGCCACTGCGCCCGGCCTGCTTGAGTGGATTTTGACAGCTGTGTGTTATGTTTTCCCATTCACATGCAATGGAGACATTTGCTCGTTTACTTTTCTACAAAGTACCTCCAAGAGCATTTTGTGAAGAGTTTTGGTTTCATCTTTTTGTCTCCTTTGATTTTTTTTCTCTCTGAAGCCTGTTTCTGTTGTGTTCTAGTACTTTCAATCTCATTAAAGAAAGAGTAAGAAATAAACAATTATTTTTACAAGCATACAAAGAAATATATTGCTCTTTTATATGAAAGAGAGTTTGACAATTTGTGTAATGTTTCAATTGCTACTTATAAAACTATCTGAAAGATGTTTATCCAAAAAAAAAAAAAAAAAAAAAAAAGATGTCCTCCAATGAGGACTAAGGTAAGCCAAAAAGGAAATATAAGTATTTCTCGATTTTCCTACCTGTTTTATTAATTTGAGTTTAAGGTGCAAAATTCTCTTTATAAAAAATGTGACTTGAAGAACACATGTGTCACAAACCAAATTCCTCTGGTAAGAAGCTTTGTAACTACAATATGGGGATTTTTTTTTTTGACTGTTTGAGACCATGTTTATTCTCTACATAAGAGAATAGTTCCCATTTATATAGAAGGGAGTTTTTAAATGACTGTGATGATTGACTTTGTCTAATGTAGATGCTAAGATATTGACACAGCCATTTTCACATCAACAATCACATAAATAAAACACAAAACTTTCCCGGTTACTGTTTTAAAAAATTCCAAAATTGAGTTAGAGACTAACATTTTATTCAGAATTGAGGTTAATAAACTAAGTTAAATGAGCGCATGGAGATTCTTCCCTAATGAAGCTGAACAAAGATGCCAGAGGCTTGAGTGACACGTTGCTCGCTCCAGCTACCTCCATTCAAATGCAAAGCCTTCCTTTCTTTTTGGCCAAAAGCCTGATAGTGAAGAAGGACTTCAGCCGCAGTTAATTCCCATTCTTTGTTGCAATGTAAGAAAGCAGGGGCAACTCTTGATTGTATTATTTAACTTTATCTTGAATTCACTGCATTGGATTCATTTTTTTGTTGTTGTTCATTTGCCGATTTGTATCCGCATTCTTCCCTGGGCTTTCTTCCCACATTCTTAAACCAAAATGTTGTTTACTTTTGTCTTTTAAATAACCAAAACCAAGCAAAACAAAATCTATTCCTATCATCGTCACAAATCTTCAGTAGGAAACCTTGAAACTGATTCTGGAGTCAGACTGATTTAGGTCCCAGTCTGGTATCTCTAATTTATTAGCTGTGTGGTCTTAAGCTATGTAATCTCTTTGTGTCTTAGTTGTCTGTTCCACAAAATGGTCAGATTCATGAGACCTTCTAAGTCTTTTTAAGTACTAAATGAGAGAGTGCTTATTAAATATTAGCATGACACATAGGGGTTCCATAAACGGTGGCCGTCATCATTATTCTGTAATTATCAGTGTTTCACATCTCACTGGCATCAAATCTCCTGTTTCTCATCTCATTGCTTTTTTTTTTTCCATTTACAATCTAATGTTATCTTCTATTTTCCTCCTGGTAAAGTAATTGTCCATTTTTCTTAGTCTTTTCTTGACAACCTGGCCTCTCCTTTCATAAAAGGCTCTAATAAGCATTTCCTATAGCACACCTGCAGCCATGTACAGCCATAAATGAATAATACCAAGTGTATTATGACCAGGAAACCGTGTGTGTGTGCGTGTGTGTGTGTGTGCACATGTGCACACACACATACACTTTGGCACACTCCTGCTTAAAAAGGTGACCCAATGACAGATTCACTATGGCTGTATACAAACAGGGCAGCTCTTTTTCAAATGAAGGGAGCCCTTTTCTGAAAGTTCAGGAGTCCCAGTTGCCAATTTCTCTCCATGCTTTTTCTCTCTCTCAGGCTTCGGCAGTAAACCCTTAGAGGGAAGCTCCTGCAGTCCCCAGACATCACGTGGAAGAGTCACCTGACATTTAACCACACACGTCTCCACGCTTTGGGAGACAATGAGAGATTTTGTTCAGAGCCGTTAGGAATTAAGTTTTTATTTGAATTTATTTTTTAAGGTCATTATTTTTAGGCTAAAAGAGTATCATATTTTAGTTACACTGTTGCTTCCTATGCCACTGAAACAAAAGAATTGTATTACTCTGTGAAATACAAATAATATGGGATGTACTTGATTTAACTATTTACGTATTCTGAGCACAAGATAGACTATGCCCTAGATGAGTGATTCAGAGTTCTTGCAATGGCAATGTCTTGCCATTTCTGGTTTTATATTTCCTCTCCTCGAAATGTGTCTTAAATTTCACCTAGTGTCTTTATTTAAAATGACGGTAAACTCTATTTCATATCACCTATAAATGAATACCCTAGGAGGCCTCATGATAACGCATCCCACCCTGAAGGATCCCAAAGCCAGCATTTTGAATCATGGCCTTGGCCGAGAGCAGTGTTTACCCTCTTGGTGAGCTGTGAGCTCTTTGAGCCAAAGGCCGCAGGACCAGAGAAGGCCTTGAACGCATGTTAATTCATGGTATGTTTTCCATCAGAGTCCCTGAGAATATTCTTTACTTGGGATCGTTCTGCAGTTGTTATGTGTGCTCAGTAACTTCCCGGAACTCAGTGCCTGATCTCTTTTGTTTTATTAGCCTCCTGGTTCTCTGACCCCCTGAGGATCGCAGTGACCTGACTCTCTTGGAACAGATCTTTCTCTGTGGTGTGCAGGGTGAGGGCGAGGCAGCCTTTCTTTATGCTGAGCTAGCACACACACAATGTTGATTTCCATCACACAGCTTCAGGGAGAGACCTTACGAGACCCATATTTCCAAAAGAGGGGAACAGCAGATCACACCTGCCTCTGGGGCTTAAATGCTGACTGGGCTCTCTTGCATGAGGCTTGAACCCCCAGGGAAGTCCAGAGTGGTAAGGGAGAGCCTTTCCCCTCCTTCCAAGAGCAGCTTGCAGGGCAGCCACCGGCTGGGCTTGTTTTGCAAAGTGCAGTGGAAGCCCCTGCTCTTCTGGGCATTCCGATGGAACGAGCAGACTCTTTCCCAACTGCCCCCAGCACGACACTTACGTGGCACCCACATCACATCACGTCCCTCTCTCGCCACTCGAATGAAACGACTAGGTTATGCTTCAGAACTCCTTGTACCATTCCTCGATTGTTTTTGATGAGAGAAAAAAATGTAGGGCATGTATAGGCAGTTTCCAAAGCAAGTCATGT
Source organism: Homo sapiens (assembly GCF_000001405.40). NCBI lineage: Eukaryota > Metazoa > Chordata > Mammalia > Primates > Hominidae > Homo > Homo sapiens. Next base: position 126,175,535 of record NC_000010.11, on the reverse strand, counting down.
ACACAGAAAAAGGAAAATCGACTTGATGCTGTGTTTTTTGGCACTCACCACTGACTGTTTTAGAAACATATGTTTAAAATAAAACCTGTAGAAGTCTCGTCTTGGTGTTCCAATGGTTTTGCCTGTTTTGAGTTTTATTTTCCGAGCAATTGTTATTGTTATGAGTAAATAATAATAATATTTTGTAAGGTTGCCCCGCCAGCAGGCAGGCCATTGTGGAGGTGAGTTGCAACTCCTGGCACCTGGCTGTGTGGCCCAGTGGCCTCCACGCACACTGGTCTTCCGGTGCTGTGTGTTTCTCTCGGCAGCGTTCTTCGCTTATTTGTAAATACACCACCTCCTCGTGTGTGCTGTGCTGTTCAGCTTGGCTGCAGGTCCTTGTGAAGCCATTGTTTCTGGCTCTTCTCGCAGGATTCTGGCTCTGAAGGTGGTCCCAAGGAAATAGCAGACAAACTCAAAATTGTTTTAATAAAAATGGGTGGCCGGGCGCGGTGGCTCATGCCTGTAATCCCAGCACTTTGGGAGGCCGAGGTGGACGGATCACGAGGTCAGGAGATCGAGACCATCCTGGCTAACACAGTGAAACCCCGTCCCTACTAAAAATGCAAACAAAAAATTAGCCGGGCGTGGTGGCAGGTGCCTGTAGTCCCAGCTACTCGGGAGGCTGAGGCAGGAGAATGGCGTGAACCCGGAAGGCGGAGCTTGCAGTGAGCCGAGATCAAGCCACTGCACTCCAGCCTGGGTGACAGAGTGAGACTCAGTCTCAAAAAAAAAAAAAGGGGGGGTGAGGACTGTGGTCCTCAAATATGTCATTATCATAGGAGATAAAAGCAGTGGAAATGTCTCATTCCAAGAGACTAAGGGTAGTGAGTATAGGGTAAAGGGCACGGGGAGATGGAATATCCTAAAATCATCTTGTGGTAGATGGTGGCACCACCCTGAATAGGGTAAAAAACATGCAATTGTACATCTTCAGTGTGCCAGTTGTCTGGTACGGGAATAGTGTCTTAAAGTTGTTAATAAAAATATAGGGAAAATGGACACGACACCCTAATGCAAGCCCCGGCCCTGAACTCGGCCTGGGAGGAGGAAAGACATGCCGCAAAGCTCACAGCTGGGTCAGGGACAGCCTTGAGTGTGGCTGAGAAGCGAGGAACTGCCTGGATGTGACATTTGCCGACTTGGATAGCCGGGCCATGATGCGTAGGAGAATATCTGCTTATAGGAAATATGCAATGAAGTATTTGGTGGGAAAGGGCCATGGTGTATATCACTTATCCTCAGATGGTTTAGCAAAAACACTCTGTGTGTTTGTAAAGATTGGGAGGTGGGCAGTGGGGGGAAGGGGGAGGAGGGGAACAACGTATAAAGCAAATGGAATAAAATATCGTCCCAGCTACTCAGGAGGCTGAGGCAGGAGAATGGCTTGAAACCGGGAGGCGGGAGGTTGCAGTGAGCCAAGATCACTCCAGCCTGGTGACAGAGTGAGACTCTATCTCAAAAAAAAAAAAAAAAAAAAAAAAAAAATCAACAACAGATGAATCTGGATAAAAGGTGTATAGGCATATATATGTTGTTTGTATGATTTTTATTTTTGCAATTTTTCTGTAAGTTTGAAATTATTTCCAAATATTAATGCTCTTTAAAAAAAAATGCCCATTCCTAGCCCCCAGACCCCTGCGATGCTGACTCCCTTGGCCTGAGGTGGTTTCTGACACCAAGGTCCCAGACCGGCCTGAGAAATTCTCTGGAGTTGGGGCCTCTGGTCTCGGGGCCCCAGGCAGACTCTGCTATACTCCTCAGGAAGATTTTCCAAACCACAAAAGAGACTGAATTAGCATTGTGATTTTTCACACTTTTGTTCCTCCATTGACTTTAAAACTTGCGCTCTGAAACTTAAAAAAAAAATCTATATTCAAAAGAAGAGGAAATAGTATATTAATCCCTCCTACATACCAGCAGTTCTCAACTGAGGGTGATTTTGCCCCACAGAGGACAGTTGGCTGTGTCTGGGGACAGTTTTGGTTGGGAGAGAGTTACCGGCATCTTGGGGGTGGAGGCCAGGGATATTGCTAAACACCCTCCATTACACAGGACAGCCCCCCAGCACAGAATCATCTGCACCGATTGTCAGCTGAGCTGAGGTTGAGAAGCCCAGATTCAGCCGGTGTTAAGATTCGCCGCGTTTGCTGTTTCTGTGGTTCTCCCCTTTCTGAGGTCACCTCAAACAGACTTCATGCCATTGCTCCTCTTAACACTTCAATTTGTGTTTTTATTATTATTATACTTTAAGTTCTGGGGTACATGTGCAGAACGTGCAGGTTCGTTACATAGGTATACACGTGCCATGGTGGTTTGCTGCACCCATCAACTCATCATCTACATTAGGTATTTATCCTAATGCTATCCCTCCCCTAGCCTCCCACCCTGTGACAGGCCCCAGTGTGTGATGTTCACCTCCCTATGTCCATGTGTTCTCATTGTTCAACTCCCACTTATGAGTGAGAACATGTGGTGTGGGTTTTCTGTTCTTGTGTTAGTTTGCTAAGAATGATGGTTTCTAGCTTCATCCATGTCCCCACAAAGGACATGAGCTCAACCTTTTTTATGGCTGCATAGTATTCCATGGTGTATATGTGCCACATTTTCTTTATCCAGTCTATCATTGATGGGCATTTGGGTTGGTTCCAAGTCTTTGCTATTGTGAACAATGCTGCAGTAAACATACGTGTGCATGTGTCTTTATAGTAGAATGATTTATAATCCTTTGGGTATATACCCAGTAATGGGATTGCTGGGTCAAATGGCATTTCTGGTTCTAGATCCTTGAGGAATCGCCACACTTTTCTTCTACAATGGTTGAACTAATTTACACTCCCACCAACAGTGTAAAAGCATTCCTATTTCTCCACATCCTCTCCAGCATCTGTTGTTTCCTGACTTTTTAATGATTGCCATTCTAACTGGCATGAGATGGTATCTCATCATGGTTTTGATTTGCATTTCTCTAATGATCAGTGATGATGAGCTTTTTTTTGTATGTTTGTTGGCAACATAAATGTCTTCTTTTGAGAAATATCTGTTCATATCCTTCGCCCACTTTTTGATGGGGTTGTTTTTTTCTTGTAAATTTTAAAATAACACACCGTGCCATTGTTACACCCAAGAAAATTAGTAATGATTCCTCAGGACCCTCTAATAACCAGAGTCTGAAGTTCCAGGTCAAACAATGCTCTGACCCATTGAGAACTGAAATGTGATTGTTTAATTTTGGAAATCTCAGCCTTTATGGGAAAGATAAAGAACAGTAACTCCACATTTTATCTACTTTCTGGTTGGATCCATTGCCTCAGTCTTTGAGTGTACAGGAGTGCACTTAATACATAATTGTTTTCTGACCCCAAGAAGTGTTGATTAATTCAGTAAGTTTGGAGATCATAATAGTATTTTTTAAAATGAAACTTTTAGGAGGGATTACTGAGGCTGATCATTATAAATTACATCTTTTAGTCATTAAATTGGGCCTCCCTCCTCCTCAACGTATTAGCTATTTTTTTCCCCAGACACATGGAAAGCTTTCAGCTTCTAATGAAGAACTCCTTTCTGGAGCATGTTTCTAGAATATGAGTTTAGCAGCACACATGATGTCATCCTAATTCCCAACTTTGCGTGCAAGATTGTTGTGTGAAAATGAAACCATAAATCCCATCTGAATTCTACTTGCTGGGTCCTTTTACAGGAAGTATTCTTCTGTTTTCCTTTTCTAAAGAAACCACAACAGTGTCATCTGAGTAACAGATCCACGACTGGGAAGCCAGAAATACTGGAAGCATGTTCATCTTTTTCTGGCCAAAGCCCATCCAGAGAAGTGAAGTCATGTTTTGGGATGGGTGCATTGAGTAGGTATCTGGTTTTGTCCCATACGCAAGACACCGTGGAGACTTAGCGGTGAACAAGCCACAAGGAAAAGGTGCTAACTCTAGCCTAGTGCTGTAAGATTGCTTGTTGCCTAATGCCAGCAGCTTTTTAAAAATGCAATCCAAGTAAGTAATACGTTAGAATGCCTGGACAGCAAATGAACTCTAAAGATTTCATAAATGTAATGAATTACTGCTTCAATCAAATATGAACCAACTAACCACCCCTGCCACGGTTTTTTAAGTAATTTTACAATTTGAGACCATGATGCTTATTAAAGATCTCTATTTTTCATGACCCAGGGTAATATTTTGTCGTGTATTGCATTACTTAATTAAATCAACAAGGTAATTCATAAGAATTACCCTGCCTAGCCGAAGCATAATGAAAGCCGCCTAAAATATTCCCAACCATCATTCTGACTAAACTATTTAAGCGCTTATGGAAAATTAGCTGTTAGAATTAGCCAAACTCTTTTGTAACCTAGGAGGCTGGAATTGAATAAGAAATTAAGGCACTGGGGAAAATGTCAATTTACCCTTGGAGAGTCCATATGGAGGAAGCAAATAGTTCAAAGGCCCAGCTGTAAGAATATTGATTGGTGTGGCCTTTATCCTGGAGAGAAATCCATCAATGAATGGCCCACTGTCACTGACATCTGTCCTTTGGTTCTTCTCTAGGGTTCTCGACAGCATTAGATCTTAATGTAAAATGCTCCCAGTTTTGTATTGTTTTGTTTTGTTTTTTGAAGCCCAGTTGCTGATCAGATAGTAAATCAACTAAGCACTTGGAGAATCGTTACTGGGAAACAGAAATATTCAGCATGGGTATTACAAGTACTTCTTGTTGTAGTTTCTTTAAAACAAAGAAAACAGAAGACTACTTCATATAAAGAACCCAACAGCGAGAATTCAGATGGGATTAATGGTTTTATTTTACAATTTTATATTTTACAATCCTTCCTTGTCCCAGACACGGTGCTTTTCTAACAGCTCTGTTGCAGGCAGTGGTGTCTGCATGGGGCTGGCACAACCCATGGCTTTTTTTGGATCCTCCTGACTCAGCCTAGGGGATTGGAGCAGGCAAACTCAGTGGGCCTTCGCAGAAAAGAGGGTGTGCTTTAACTGATTATGCCTCTGTACACCTGGGTTCACACACAGGGACTCCCCCCCCGCCCTCTTTTTTTTTTTAAAGGAAAAACACATCCATTTCAAAATCCAGGCACATTTCATGGTAGCCTCAGCAAGAGGAATTGAACTGCTCCGTGGGCCAATTTAGAACACTTCAGAAAGTGAAGGTCCTCTTCGCCGCCCCGGATCCCTGCTGGTGTCTGTCTCCTGGCCACGATGGTATGGAAATTTGCAGAGCATGACCCTCTCTGAGCAAGCAGAGAGGAGCAAATTTGATCTAACACACATTCTACGGGTTTGGTTCAATGTAGGTCAATTTTTAAGAGAGCTCAGCTGGCCAGTCTGCAAGTCTGCCAGGGAGCTGGCTGGCTGGCTGGCTTCCGCCACGGCCAAGAAAATCCCCTTCTGCCTCAAAGCACCAATTAATACAAGTTCTTCACCGAGCTGGGTGGGTAAAGGAAACAGGCTGAAATGCATCCAGCTTTCTGTGAAACCACTTACAAGGTCATCAGCCCCGATATCTTGCAGGACCCCCTGCTTTGGGCTAGGCGGAAGATGCCAATCTACATCAGAAGACTCTGAGATACCAGCTGGTGTGAGGAGGGGACACGCATACACCAGGTCATTTTATTTTTAAAGTGTAAAGCTGTGTGTCCAAGGAGTCAAAGGTATTTGGTTCAATGGTTCCAAATAAGTCGGCTGAACTTTTTTTTAATTCTGGAAGTTAAGGAAATGCCATTTGAAGATGTATCTTGTAAAGTATATTTTCTATTCTACCTTATGAACTAAAAAACAGATATATTTTAGGTGGTAGAACTTCTAAGGATCAACGTGTCTTTTACCAGTCAGTGTTTTGTGGGATTGGGTGGTGTTGGTGGTTTTATTTTATTTTATTTTTTTTAGAGTAGAAAGAAGTCCTCATATCCTAAAATAGCAGCAAGTCAATAATGATTCTATTATGTATGAGTGCTTTTGCCATATTTTTCTCATTCTCAGTTATTCCATTCATTCTACAAGTGTTTATTGAGCATCTACTAAGTTCCAGACATTAATGTAAGGGCTGGGGAGGGACCCAGACAGACTCTGCCCTAATGGGGGAAACATACCTCAAATGACAGAGCAAATAAATGAGAAATGGCACTATGTGCTCAAGGAACAGGGCAGAACCTTGCGAGAGCAGCGAACAAGGAGAACCGCATTTAGGAAGGGGCAGGCAGGGAAGATTGCTGCAGATACTGTCATTTTGGATGGGGGTTACTAAGAGTTGGCGAGGCAGAGAAAGTGGGAAGAATGTTCCAGACCAAGATAAGAAGGGTGGTGGACTTGGGAAACCAAAGGGAGGCCACAGAGCCTAAGTGGGATGAATTGAGCAGGTAGAGGGGGTGGGCCTGGTCCACACTAAGGAATGTGTTTTTTGCTTTTTGGGTTTTTTTTCGAGACGGAGTCCCACTCTGTGGCCCAGGCTGGAGTGCACTGGTGCGATCTCGGCTCACTACAATCTCTGCCTCTCGGATTCACACAAATCTCCTGCCTCAGCTTCCTGAGTAGCTGGGATTACAGGCACGTGCCACCATACCCGGCTAATTTTTGTATTGTTAGTAGAGATGGAGTTTCACCATGTTGGCCAGGCTGGTCTCGAACTCCTGACCTCAAGTGATCCGCCCGCCTCAGCCTCCCAAAGTGCTAGGATTCCCGTGTGAGCCACCGCGCCTGGCCGTGCGCTAAGGAATTAGAATTCTGCTCTGGGTTCTGTAAGGAGCAGTGCAGTGTTTTAAGTGGAGAAGTGACATGATCCGTTTTCGTTTTAAAAACTTCACACTGGCTGGTGTATGAAAAACAGACCTAAATGTTTCAAGAGTGAAAACAGGAGTCTGGCTAATCTATTATGGAAGGTTAGGTGAGGGGAAATGGTGGCTGGGACCGGAGAAATGGTAGGTGAGACGAATGGAAGCCAGCGGACTTATTAATAATAATAATTGCTTCCATTTGCTGAGTACATAATATGGGTTCGGCATGTTTATCATCTATAGCATATATTAACTTCCCATATAGTGTCCCTGTGAGGCAGGCACTATCATTCTCATTTTATATGAGGAAACTCCAGCATGAGGTCGGATTTCATATTCAAAGTCATAAAAGAAGAAAATGGCAGAATGAGATTTGTTCTTCCACTGTTGCTATACTACTGCTAGAGATATATTTTGAAGGTAGTTTGGTCTTCTTGTCCACATTTTATTACTGAGAAATGTATCAGCCCAAACATTCTGCAGATACTGACTGAAAGTCTTTCGGATCCAGGAACTGGCCTCAGAAGTGAGTAAGAAAGACCCCATCAGTTAGCCCAGCTGAAAAGGCACCTCTCTCCACTTGAATATTTTTGTACATGAGGTTCAGTTAATCAGTTAGGTAAATACATTCCTTAAAATAATCAACCAAGAATTTTCTGGGACAGGAAGGGAGAAAGGTATGCTTTCCTATCCAACATGCATGTGACCAAGGGCTGGGTGTAAGATATGTTAGCATGTGACAACCCAAGCCCATTGCCGCTGTAAGAGTGTGTGGCCTTGAACACATTTCTTAACACTTCTGAGCCTCAATTCCTATATCTATAAAATGGCCATATACCAACTCATAGTGTCATTATAAAGATTTAAAGACTCACCAGTTGTCACGTGTCCTCCCACATCATAGACCATGTGGATGCTTAATGAGCAGTGGCTAATAAATACCACTTGCAGTCCAGGGCAAGAAGGGCAATTAGAAAATGAATTCGAGGTTCACTTTGCTTCTAGTCTATAGACTATTTGCGGGTGGTATGTGGCACTAATGAATAAATATAAATGAGTTTGATCGTTCACTCGCATTATTGAATATTTCATGCACCTTTACGCATGGAATAGTATGAACTGATACACATAAAATGACTAAGGTGATTATTCTCCACACTAGAGGCAAACAGAATCCTGATTTATGCAGTTCCTCGTTGTTCCTTTCAGTTTTGACCCATGGCAATAAGTGGGAAATAGATTCACCCAACTCACTCCAAATTCTTTATAATTTCTTTCAAAGACAGAGATTGCTACATTAAGTATAGTTGTCCCTTTAAAGGAATATGGGCAGAAAAGGCAAAAGTCAGATTAAGGGGAAATAGAAGTTGTATAAGTATAGCAATAAGAGCTCTGAAGTCAAAATGCCTACACAGTGCCAGCTGTGTGACCCCGGCAAAGTTGCCTAACCTCTCTTTGCCTCCAGTGTCTCATATACAAATAAGTACCTACCTGCCAAAATTGTTGTAAAAGTTAAATTTAAAAATACACGTAAAGTGCCTTTGCTTAGGAGGAGCTCAAATGAACGTTAGTGACTGATGCTACTTAGTGACTGATGCTGTTGCTACTGTTACAGCCAACTCTTGTTTTCTGAAAGGAAGAAGGAAAATTTTGAAGTTTAAGAGAAATGACTGTTTTACCTGTGTTGGTAGAAACGTTTGAAGAATGCAACGTAAGCTGACCTACTAAATCTACCCTTGCGATTCATTCTGAGAGAAGTGGGCGTGGGGCTTTACTGTCAGTGGAAGTAATCGTTTATCAGGTTTACAACTTTTCCCCTGTATCTGAGGCCCTATTTTTTTGTTCTTAAAATTGTGCTACTGAAACTTGATAGATCTTATACTAGGAAGGCAATCATGACACATTAAAAACAGCCTGAGGCCGGGCATGATGGCTCATGCCTTTGGGAGGTCGAGGCGGGCGGATCACAAGGTCAAGAGATGGAGACCATCCTGGCCAATATGGTGAAACCCCATCTCTACTAAAAATACAAAAATTACCTGGGTGTGGTGGCACATGCCTGTAGTCTCAGCTACGCGGGAGGCTGGGGCAGGAGAATCACTTAAACCGGGAGGTGGAGGTTGCAGTGAGCCGAGATCTCGCGCCACTGCACTCCAGCCTGGTGATAAAACGAGACTCCGTCTCAAAAAAAACAAAAAACAAAAAAAAAGAAACCTGCCTGAAATGGTATGTAAGTCCTCATCCAAGACTTGCAAACTGTATCTAGTCATTTGAAAGGGGAGAAAACAGCCCAAAGCCTTAAGACTGAGTCTCATGCCAGCTGGAGAGCTGCAAAGGTGGAAACCCATCAGTTTCCACCTGCTCATACATTTCAGCCAGTGGACAAGTCAGCCCTCCTGTTCTTATAGAGACCTCCACTGAGTCTGCAGCAGTCCAAAAGGCTGTCTGTGAACTCTTCGCTCATGAACAGATAGGCTCATCTGAACAGTCCCAAAAGACAATCATAACAGCATGTCTCAGTGTGTCACATGATTGGACCCAAAATTCTGTGTATTTGTGACTTATAGTGAAGCAGTATATTAAGAAGTTATTTTGCAGGAAACTTTGTTGTCCCCTACAGCTTCCAAAATGCTGTATCAGCAGTTTTATTTAATATAGTTTGTGAAACTAAATGAGAAAGAGCTGGGCAAAGGAAGCTTTTTTTATTCCAGGGGAAAACAAAAGTTGTTTTGATCATTTTGAATCTTTTAGTAAATGGAGAATAACAAAAGAAAAATGGAATGTACGTGCTCCATTGTTCTTACAGATGTACAGTTTAAATAGTTAGGATCCCAAAATACTGAAATTATATCCAAAAATAATTTGGATTTTGTAACAAAATTGAATTGCGTGTGAAGAGAAATAGCGTAGCACCGTTTTCAAGTGTCTCTTCCAACATGGAGGAAAAAATATTTCAGAAAAATACGGAATTTGGTTTGTTGCTGCTTATTTTTCAGACCGTCAGAACCATATGCTGATGCTGCTTCCTGGGAAGGCAGTGTCCACCAGTGGTTAGGAACAGGTGGTCTTTGGAGCTAAATAGAGTCAAGTTTAGTCTCCAGGGCTCAGCTGTGTGGCTTTGGACAAGTCACTTAACCTCTCTGAGTGCTTCCTCTTCCTTATCAAGCAGGCAATTACAGTCCTTACCCTGCAGAGTCTCTTTCAAGATAAAGTAAGGAAGTGCGTATCAAAAGCGAATGCCCCCGGCTGGGCACCGTGGCTCACGCCTGTAATCCCAGCACTTTGGGAGGCTGAGATAGGTGTCAGGAGTTCAAGACCAGTCTGGCCAACATGGCGAAACCCCATCTGTACTAAAACTACGGAAAATTAACCAGGCGTAATGGTGTGTGCCTGTAATCCCAGCTACTCAGGAGGCTGAGGCAGGAGAATTGCCTGAGCTTGGGAGGTAGATGTCGCAGTGAGCCGGGATCGCACCACTGCACTCCAGCCTGGGTGACAGAGAGAGACTCAGTCTCAAAAAAAAAAGTGAATGCCCCAAGGCCTGACACCCTGTGAGCAAACAATGAACAGGGGCAGGAGGAAGATGGCAAGATGATGAGGGCAAGGCATTGAGGGTGGTGGCCGCGATGCTTTGCTTTCATTCTTTAAGATGAGAACCCAGACCATGAGTTCTTTACCAGGCTGTGATAACTTGTGCCATAAAAAAGAAGCATAAATATTTGCAAAGACAAGGTTCTGAAAGAAGTTTGAGCAAAGTTGAGATGTGAGAAATACCAGATGTCTTCGATACTTCTTTTTCATTTTTCTCCTCTTATTTTATACCTCAGTATACTGGTTTTACAGAGAATCTTTCAACTGTCTGATCTTTTCATAAAATAGTCCAGAAAAGCCAATGATAGCAGCATGAAGATCTTCATGATTCCAGCTAGTCTAGAGTTTCTGCTGAAAACCAGAGTGAGTGTTTTCAGAGGATGCAGGGTCCGGTCTGGGTGCATACCGTTTGCCTTCCAGATCTTTTCTCTATATTTATTTACCTGTGATTGTGGAATGGACAGTTTTCATTAAAGGATATCATTTTAGTAACTTGGAAAATCCTGATCATGATTTTTAATTATGATCTTTATTCGGTGCTATGTTTTGTTAAAGCTCTTGGCCCTTAGTCCCACATATGAAAGTATTTGTAGCTGTATTTCCACATTCTAATAAAAGAAATCCATTACCCAAATTTACATATGAATGATTTTGTAATTTGTGGAATGATGACATGATAAAGTAAATCTTCAGCAAAAAACTCGGTTGGATGCTTTGTTCGAATACCAAATGGATCCACCAGGAAGAAGAAATCACTGAAGCCTACATTGCCTGGCATGATTTAATTGCAAAGAGTATCTATACTGCCTGCTGGTGTTAATTGACAAACAAGAACTGTCTTGTGACACTTTGGCATGGCATGAATATGCTGTACAGAATAATTAAACCCTCCAACAATACGTATGGTCTTCAAAGAAATAATAGGAAAAAGTTGACATGTCATCAATGAGTTTTTTCATATTCTAAGTAATTGATGCCAATCTCTTACTTTTCTTTCCCTGTTTCCCTCATTTAAGCAGTTTGAAATTGATAACATGTTGTCAGCATTGAACTGGATGACCGGAGAACATTCAGAATTCTTGAAATAATGAAGGAATGAATGAGATTGTCCCCACCCCATACCCCCTGTATGATCAGTGTAAGCAATTTGAAGCATATTTCTTTTATTTTTAATTGATCCAACTAGTTCTGACACATTCTATCCAGATTGGGTTGCGTTTCTATGATAATGATTCAGTTTCTCATTCGTTTATTTATGAAGCACTTCTTCTATGCTAGGCATTGTGCTAGGTTTAGAGGTGTTGTTTCTGCTTTTTAGCTCAACCCAGTGTGGGAGGAAGACAAGTAAACAAGAAATAAGGCCGAATAGGGAAAGTCTTGTTACAGAATCCTGGCAGAACACAAGAGAAAGGCTGATTCACTTCTGGGGCCGGGGGGTTTCTTTCAGCTCTCCCATGCTTTGGAGTGTAACATATGTTATCTTAATGAAATCCATCTCATTCAAACTGTGTAACTAAATTATATAAGGGTAAAGTTAAAGTTGGATAATTTCAATATTGATCTGAAAGCAATTTGGAGGTCATTCATGTTTTGAGTCAATACTCAAATCATTTCAGAAATGCAGGACATTTTATCAGGAAGAACTTTACCTACATGGTAATATTTTCATGCAAATTCTAAATACTCGTTTTCAGCCAGTATGTCCAAAGATTTTGAAATCAGAAAATACAGTACTCGGCCAAAAAGGATGGGAGTCTACTTGTCCTCTCTAAATGAGGGTGGACACCATGTGTCTCCAAACCGTAGGAGTCACCTGCTCCCATGACGTGTCCAAGAAAGAGAACAGCTCTCAGCACTGAGCATGGCTGGATTAGGACATTCTTGCGTTGCTATGAAGAAATACCTGAGACTTGGTAATTTACAAAGAAAAAAGGTTTCATTGGCTCACGGTTCTGCAGGCTTTACAGGAAGCATAGCATCGGCATCTGCTCAGCTTCTGGGGAAGCCTCAGAAAGCTTGCAGTCATGGTGGAAGGTGCAGTGGAAACATGTACCTCGTATGATGAAAGCGGGAGAAAGTGAGAGGAAGGGGTGGGAGGAGGAGGTGCCACATGCTTTTAATTGACCAGATCTTGCAAAAACTCATTCTTACGAAGACAGCACCAAGCCATCAAGGATCCGCCCCCACAATCCAAACACCTCCTACCAGACCCCACCTCCAGCTTTGGGGATTACAATTCAATGTGAGATTTGAGTGGGGACAAGTATCTAAACTACATCCATGGCTAAGACTGAACTCATGTCTCTTCTCTCCTTTATGAGTGACCCATCTCTGTTGACATCACGCAAGAGTCCTCAGTCTGTTACGCAGTTCCTGATTCTGGGCCCCCCTGAATTTCCCATCCAGTTGTGTCCTGGCCTGGTGCTCTGTATGGACGCTCACACCAGCCTCCTTGCTAACCTTCCTGGAGCCTGTATTTTTCTCTTTCCCCTCCAAGTCTCATCTGTGTGGCTGTCAGAACCACCTGTGGCTCTGAAGCTTGTGTCTGCTCAGGTCCCTTCCGTGTTTGGCGGCTCTGCATGGCACAGGATAAAGTCAGCAGCATTGGGCAGCATGTAGGTTCTGTCCCCAGCCTGCCTGTCTCAGCAGCAGCGGGTCTCCCTGCCTCAGGCCCTGCGCCCTGACCACCTGGCATCCGTGTCATTTCCCCTCCCCTCTGCGCGTTGCCCGCTAGCATGCTGTTTCTGCACCCCCATGCCTTTGAGGATGCAGTCCCCTCTCGCTGGAATGCTCTCCTCCCCATTTCCCATTCCTCTCCTCACCTTTTCCCCACCAGCGCAGCTCATTCTTCCCCATCTTTCCCGGCTCCCTTGGGCACCCCCTCCCCAGGCTGACTTCTGGGTTGGAAGCCTTTCCTGGGGCTCCAGCAGTGCTTTGGGCGTGTCCCTGTCATGGAGCCCTGACCACTCTGGGTCTGTGTCCTTCAGCAGTGGGGCCTCCTGGAGCATCTTATTCCCATTGTGCAGCATGCTAGATATTGTTTAAATGAGAGAATATTTAGGTGTCACGTGTCATCCCACAACAAACGGCAAATAGCAAAATCAACTCCTGGCACAGTTAAAATGCATTTTACTTCCTGGTATTGAGAGAAGCAGAGTGCCTTGTTAGATCGCCTAATCTAATAAGCAGAGAAAAAGAATGTTCTCATGAAATTATGCATTCACCTTCTGTTTTCATTTGCTGACGTAAGATAGTCCATCTAATTGGATTTTCTCTTTGGGGAAATCTGCAGGCTCCAAGGCCATTGCTGTCACATTTCCAATACTGCCATTGTCCATCCACCCCCCTTAGTTCTCTCCAGGGGACTTTGACTCCCGGCCCCTTTTAAATTAGGCACACATCTTAGAAAACCTCCATCCAGCGCCTTCTCAGTTTCATCCATGCTCCCTGGCAAGTCATGGTGCTGGAGAAAGATGTGGGACGTGTATCACCCAGGAAGGAGCAGAAAGCCCGAAGCAAAAGGGGCAGTGCCTGCCGCATGCTCCTCAAATTCACTTATTCTTTCACGTATTCATCTGCTCAACATGTAATGTATTCAGCACTTAGCACAGCACCTGCAGCAAACACTCCGTCAATATTGCTTGACCATCCTGTAAGGTCTGGTAGCGCCACACAGTGGTTAAGAGCACAAATTCTAAAGCAAAACCACCCGGACACTGTCATGGATGGCATGACCTTGGGCAGGTCATTTGACCCTGCTGTGTCTTGGTTTCCTCTTTTAAATAGGGATTAAAAAAATAATATCCATGGGCCAGATAATATATGGATTAAATGAGATATCAGGGGCTCAGCACAGTACCTGGACCAGGGTGTGTTTAGCAGCTATTAATGCTTACAGCCAGGAGGAGGTGCAGGCTCTCTGCAGGGCTGGAAGTGAGGGAATACAGCGATGACCAAGGAGCCCTCCTGTGGCTCACATTCTTGAAGGTAGAGATAAATAAGTAAGGAGACGCATAAACAAAATAGGAATACCAGGCAGAAAACCAAAGGAGGACTGCGATGGGGGCTAATAGTGGTGATGGGGCTGCTTTAGATAAGAGATCAGGAAAGGACCCTCTGGAGAGACAACACTGAAACCAAGAGCAGAAGGATGAAAAGGTGCTGGCTACATGAAAAGCCATGTAAAGAATGTTCCAGACACGGGCACAGCAGGTGCAATGGCCCTCAGAGGGAGAGGATCTGGAATGTTCTAGAACCAACCAGAGGCCAGTGTTGGCTAGAGTAGCATGAGCTAGAGGGAAAAGTGAGCACAGTGTGGTGGCAGGGTGGGCAGCATGAGGTTGCAAGCACCTCGGAGGCCATCGGGAGGCGTTGGGATTTCACCCCAGGGCCAACAAGAAGACACTAAAGAGTTTTAGCAGGGACAGCAGCATGATCTCCAAGCAGGACCTGAGGAAGTCAGAGCAGGGAGCAGGGGCACACAAAGCCCTGCATGGTGGGTTCATTCCCAAGGGTGTGGAGCGCATGACACCTGGAGTCTTGGCTGCAGAAGCACAGATTCCTGGAAGGGAGAGCTGGGAAGGAGTTCCGATATCAGGTCATATTGCTTCTCTCCATCTCTCATTCAAACCCCTGAAAGAAAACCAAGGAAGCTGCCTGTTTTTCCAGCTCATAGCACTGGGGCTGATCAACAGAAAGCCCATCTTCAGTTTGGGGCTTTTTTTTGGAGAGGGGGGAGTTGGTATTTATTTAGGTATTTAGCTATTTAAATGGACATATCATTGCGTGTTTTTGTTGGGCACACCATGTTGTTTTGAAGGAGATAGTTGAATCTAGCTAATAAACAAATGTATTACCTCCCAGTTACCATTTTTGTGGTGAGCGCACGTAACATTCACCGCCTGCATTTTGCAAGACTCTGTTGTATGCTGAGCATGAATTTTTGCTGGCTTTCCTCCTGTTCCTGTCTTCCCCTTCCCCTTCCCCTCTCTTGTCTTCAAAATATCTTGAGAAGATACAATGTACACAAGTGGTATGACTGCATCTTATCTGTAAATCAACATTTCTTTTCCAGACTGCATAAGAAAAACTCGAAAAGGAACATATCATTTAGTGCCTCAGCAGCAGTGGGACATGGTCAGGGCTGTAAGCACAAGCCCCTGTTCCACTCTCCTTAGACAAGAGAAGACATAACACAGTGCTTAAGAACTCTCCAGAGCTCCAAGCATGACTGTGGTTGTATTTCTGCTTAGCTCCAATGACACTTGGATGATGATGAGGAGCAGTGGGTAGTTTTAGGGCTTTGTATTGCTGTTCTGAGTCACATTTCAAAACCTTCTAATTAATTTTACTGCTGTTTAACCCTAAAATTACTCTGTCCTCCAGTTTGCTGACAGTTGTCTATCAAAAGCTCGTTTTCTCTAATCCCCAGCTTTCCTGATGGACTTTTCTCTCCCTCATACGTAAAATGACTTTTCTCCTTGGCCATCTGTCCAAACCAGCTTTCAGTTAAGCCTGGTCAGAAGCCTTCGAATGATGTATCTTTGTTCTACAAATGTCTGCACCCATCACTCCCCTTAATATTAGGTATCTATATACCTTGTTCATTCAAATAAGATTTCAACATTGTTAAGACCTGAATTGCTAAAATATTAATAAAGGATGTGATAGAAGTACAAGTACATAGTAAATAATATATGTAATAATTAATATAACTTAATCTACATTAAATTCTTCCTTTCCTTTCTCTGTAATATTTAAGCTGGTCAAGTGTGCTCCTTTTTTTTTTTTTTTTTTTTTTTTGATGGAGTCTCGCTCTGTTGCCCAGGCTGGAGTGCAGTGGCATGATCTCGGCTCACTGCAAGCTCTGCCTCCCAGGTTCACGCCATTCTCCTGCCTCAGCCTCCTGAGTAGTTGGGACCACAGGCACCCACCACCGTGCCCGGCTAATTTTTTTGTATTTTTAGTAGAGACGGGGTTTCACCGTATTAGCCAGAATGGTCTCGATCTCCTGACCTCGTGATCTGCCCGCCTTGGCCTCCCAAAGTGCTGGGATTACAGGCGTGAGCCACTGTGCCCAGCCGTGTGCTCTTTTTTAAGACTATTGAGGCCACTATGGGTTCTGGCTCAGTAGAGAATAGGCTGTGTGCATCCTTAGCTGCATCTTCCATGCTCTGTGCATCCCCCCTCCATGCTCTGTGCATCCTCCCCACCATGCTCTGTGCATCCTCTCCCCATGCTCTGCGCACCCTCCCCACCGTGCTCTGTGCATCTACTCCCCGTGCTCTGCGCATCCTCCCCACCGTGCTGTGTGCATCCCCACTCCATGCTCTGCTCATCCTCCCACCCGTGCTCTGTGCATCCCCACCCCCATGCTCTCCGAATCCTCCCCACCATGCTCTGTGCATCCTCTCCCTGTGCTCTGTGCATCCTCTCCCCGTGCTCTGTGCATCCCCCAACCCATGCTCTGTGCATCCCCGCCCCATGCTCTCTGCATCCTCCCCGCCTCTGCTCTCTGCATCCCCACCCCCGGCTCTGTGCATCCCTGCCCCATGCTCTGTGCATCCTCCCCGTGCTCTGTGCATCCTCCCCGTGCTCTGTGCATCCTCTCTCCGTGCTCTGTGCATCCTCTCCCCATGCTCTGTGCATTCTCTCCCCGTGCTCTGTGCATCCTCCCCGTGCTCTGTGCATCCTCTCTCCGTGCTCTGTGCATCCTCTCCCCATGCTCTGTGCATCTTCCCATGCTCTGTGCATCCCTCATGCTCTGTGCATCCTCCCCTCCATGCTCTGTGCCTCCCCCTGTGCTCTGTGCCTCCTCTCCCGGTGCTCTGTGCATTCTCTCCCTGTGCTCTGTGCTTTCTCCCGTGCTGTGTGCATTACCCCGTGCTCTGCAGATATGTCCTGTGTTGTGTGTATCCCTCTGTGCTCTGCATCCTTCTGCCTGTTCCTCTGCAGCTTCACCCATGTCCCCTCTCAGCCCCATCCCTCCAGTTATTCCCCTCAAGTCCCCGTCTCTGGTTTTCACATCCCGCCTCTCTGCTTCCCTTTGGAACTGTGCTGTGGAACATTCGTTCACCTCGCCTGTCACCTTGACCTGGGCTCACCTGCTGCATCTCCATTGTCAAGGTCACCAGACTCCTCCACCATCCTGGAGCTCTCTACCTATGACTAAGGACTACCCCTTCTTCACACTCTTCTCTTCAGGGCCCTGTCACCTTCCCACTGCCTTGCCTGCTCTCCTTCCCCTCTTCCTCTCCTTTGCTCATGACTGCGTGACAGGGCCAGGGTGCCCTGTGAATGAGCCTGCCCAGGCAGCCCCTCTGGCAGCTCAGAGGAGGTGAGCTTAGAAGACAGGGGTTTCAGAGCTCAACGCTGCCAAGGAGGGCAACTTTCTCTGGCACGACATGTGCACTGCTGAGGAGAGTGAGGGGCAGCACTTGGGAGGCCCACGTGCCTTTGCCAGTGAGTGTGAGGGCCCGTCTGTGTTTTATGTTTTCCGCACACTCTCTCAAACACTCGCTGTTAAGTAGACTGCAGCGGAGACCTGCCATCGGGGTCTAACTGATTTAAGCCAGGCATATCCTCAACATATTGCAATCCATGTAAAACAAGGAGCTGACTCTCAGTTCTGAACTTGGCTGGGAGCAGGTCTAAGAACTCTGACTGTGTAAGGAAGTGCTTCTCATCTCTGACATTTGCATATTCCCGCTGCTTTTCCTTCCCTGCCATACTGATCAGGACTCTGGTTGCAAAACCCAGCTCCAGCCAGCGTAGGCAGAAGAGAGGGACTTATGAGGAGGAGGAGAGGCGGAGCAGGCCCCATGGGCAACAGGTCCATCTCCCTCTCCCTGCCTTTTGTCCCTGCCTGAGGGTGACAGCTTTGTTCTCTCTGACTAGCTTTCTCCTGAAGTAAGGGACCAGGATGGAGGTGGTGGCCACATTCTCAGAGCCTTGAGAACAGAGAAGAAAGACGTCATCCCCAGACATCCCAGCTCAACATGCTGTAGGGAAGATTTGTGATGGGCTTAGCTTGGGTCACATGTTCATCTCTGGATCAAGAGTGGAGGAGCACCCCCCCACACACACACACACAAAACCAAACGGTGTGAAGAGTGGAGAGTGTCTTCCTCTGAAGACAGGAAAGGGCAGGCAGCACCTTCACCATCCACAAAGTTCAGTATTTAAAGCAACTCTTGACTCCCTGTTGTCCAGACACAGAAAACCCAGGTTCTGTTTAGAGCCTTTCTCTGTCTTCCACCAGCCCAGCTCCCCAGACTCCAGGCCTTTCAGGCCCTGACCTTGACATTATCTGCCAGGATTTCCCCTCTCCTTCCACCCTGTCCTGGGCCTGGCCGACTCCTGCTCCATCGTTAGGGCCCAGTAGTTGTCGGATCCCTACGCAAAGCCTTTCCCTTGCAGGATGCTCCACCCAAAGCACATCCACGCACCCAGAAGTGTTACTGCTGGAGGATGTCCAGGTTCTTGGTGTTTTGAACAAAGAATTGGACAAAATGCACAAACAAAACAAGGAAAGAATGAAGCAACAGAAGCAGAGATTTATTGAAAATGAAATTACGCTCCTCAGGGTGTGAGGGGGCCCAAGCATAGGTGCTCAAGATCCCCGTTACAGAATTTTCTGGGATTTAAATACCCTCTAGAGGTTTCCATTGGTTACTTCGTGTGCGCCCTATGTAAATGAAGGGGATGAGGTAAAGTTACAAAGTCATTTAATCGCTGTACGCCCTATGTAAATGGAGAGGATATTTCCTGTCATAGCTGAAGTGTTTCCGTTTGACTTAGTTCTAGAAAGTCAGCATGAATCGACCTTTGTTCCCTGCCTCCAGACCTTACTCTCCTGCCTCAGAAGGACTCTGTTTCTACTCTGTGATCGCTCCCTTCACACTGGATTCTGTGTCAACCATCACCCTACCAGCTCGTGGTGTCATCAAGATGGGGGCTGTTCCTATTTGTCTTTGTATCCCAGCAGCTAGCACCTGGCAGCGGTAGTTACACAGGAAATACTTCCTGTGGTTGTGTTGAACAGGATAAAATAGTGCATGTTATGTAAGACATTGGAAAATAATTTAAAATCTAAGTAACCCATGCTTTGCAATCTTTAATGAAGTTCTGGTAGACTGCATACAGTTTTATTAATAGCATAAACGGGGTTTCCTCCCCCTTTCAATTTATCTTAGAAATTCAATATTTCAGGATGTGCAAAATCATTTTTCCTCACCTCATACATACATTGCTGCTTTTAGCATTTCATTGCTGTTCTATTCTCTTCTGTGACATTTCAATATTTTCAGCCGGTTCTCTCACCTGCGGGGGAGCCAGCAGGGGCACTGCTGTGGATCAGAATGATTTTCCCAGCAGGTGGTTCAACCATTGATTCCAGTTGGTGGAGACTGTGACTTCCAAGCAGGAGATTTTCCCAAATTGGAAATCTGCCTGTACTATTCATGGAAGAGTATATGTGTGTGACAAATGTGTGCCTTTGCAAGTGTGTGCACCCAGTGTGCGCATGAAGGAATGAGGTGGGAGGAAGGGAGAGAGGGAGGGTTCCACATTGAGTGTGTGGGCTATTGTTCCGAGGATGCATATCTGACTCTGTTGTCTGAGTCTCCTCTGAATTCTCCCCGGAGAACCTAAACTGGGAAGGCCCTAATGGGAGCTTCCTTGGATTATCTGTTAAAAAAAAAAAAAGGAGGTCACAATCTTGCTACCCTATAGCCTAGACATTCACAACAATGTATCAATGCAATTCTGCACTCATCTTTTTATGGTGTTTTTGTTTTTCCGCAGAGGTCTCATTGCCAGCAGTTTCACGGAAACCCACTATCTGCAAGACGGTACTGATGTCTCCCTCGCTCGAAATTACACGGTAATTCTGGCACGTTGGGATCACCATAATCTTACACCACTGGATCTGTGCTTAACCTTTGTAGCCATTTTATTCGGAGCAAAATCACATGCCCAGATTCTTAACTTAGGCCCCCCCAAGAAGCGCTGGTGTGTCCCTTAGTGGTAGGCGTTCTATTATAAATCCAAAACAGCAGCCTTGGCCAGGTATGTGCACAGACAGCCCCTGAGGGAATGGCTTTATGGCAGAGCTGAACCTTGAAACCACCTTCCAAGGACTATGGATCCTCATTTGGGCAAATCCTTTTTAGAAAACCTAGCCAGTTAGAGATGGCTTGGAAGGCAGCCTTGCCTGAACTGAACTTGGCTACATTAAACTCTGAGGTGCCTTAAAGAACTTTAAAAGAAAACTGATTCTGCTTAACCTATTCTGAATGTATCCACAATGTGGATACGATTCTATATCGTGGGTGTTACTGTAACATGACATTTATCCCCTCTCAGGCAGTGTTTCTGGTATTTGAACTTTTAGCTGTGTCCTGGACAAAATGCTCACTTCATTTGTTGCTTTAACAAATGTTTACTGTGTACTCTCCATGATCTGTCCCACATGTGAATATGGGGATTCAGAGAGAATAGGACAGAGTCACTGCCCTCTGGGAAGGAGGAAGGTTACTTGTTTTAAAGAGCTGTGGGTATTTTAAAAAGGATGAGCTTGAGGCAGGCTTTATGCTTCTCCCTTATCACTGAAGGTTGTCAAGTAGCCATTACTGTCTGCAGTGATTCCTCCCTTCTCTGCATGACACCAACACTTTTCTTTATCACTTGTTTGACACTTGGCACTTGCAAGCTGATACCTGCAGCCTTCCAGGAACTTGGTGGAATGAGCTGCTGTAGCTCTCCCAGCCCAAAGAAAACACATGGAAATCCAGGATAAAATATAAACATTTAAGAATTTTTGCTAATGCCTGGTCAAGCTCAAAAGAGAGTCAGCAAAATCCCCAAGAGGCAGAAACAAAGAGGGGATGTTATTCCTGAGCACTGGCTGGTGAGTTGGGGCTCCCCAAAGGACTATTCAAAGACCCAAAGGGCTATTCAAGACCCAGAAAGAGGGCCTGGTGCTTGGGTTTGGAAAAAGAGAAGTAACCGCCTGCAACTGAGAATCCCACAAAAGCCAGATCCCCAGGAGAGCTGCTTTCCTCTGTGAAAAAGAGACAAAAAGAACTCTTCCAATCCAGGGATGGGGGCTGGGAGGAAGAATTGTTTGCCAGGTGTCTTGGATTGAAAAAAGACTTCATAAAAAATGAAGACATTGAAACCCCAGTTAGTCTCATGTGTGGATGTTGGGAATAGTCTGGGCCTGTGTCCAAATTTTTAATACCAGCGTAGGAATGGAATTCCCAGTCAAGATATTGACCTCAAAACTGGTCCCACATCAGTGAAACTCCCATGGGCCCAGACATAAGCCAACCCAAAATAGTTCTGTAGGAATATTTCTATAACCCAGATAACATGAGATGCCCTCATGGAAGAAAAAGTAATAAAAATATTAAAGATGAGCCCCAAATCAAAATTACAAGCCACACAATGCAAAAAGCCGTTGTACGCAAGCATCAGCAGACAAGAGAAACAAGAATTAGGACTTCTGAGAACATAAGAGATAATGGAAAAATCAGAGAAAAAAAATTAAAGAGAACAGAATGGGTCTAATAGAAATTCCACAATGAAAATACATAAAATTTAAAAACACACACAGGAAACAAGCCGTGTTTAATCAGAGTGTGACGAGCCTGTCCCTGAATTGAGGAAAGACATGAGTCTTGAGGAAAATCCACCAAGGAGGTGGATAACTTGGAATAACTAAACTAAACATACTCCAGGACAGCTGCTGATGAAAATGCAGAACACCAAGGATGAACTCTTAAAACCACTTGAGGCAAAAGAGAGATTTGTACAAAATAATGACAACTAAACCAACAATAAACTTTTCATTAGTAACTATGCAATTAAAACTTGAGAGCTAAGGGAAAATTATTGTCAGTCTCAATCCTATATTCATTAATTATTTTGTAAGAATAAAAATGAAATAGACATTTTCATACAAAGATGAGAGAAATTACTACCCTCAGATTCCAACGAAGGTATCTACCAAAGGGTAACTAACAAAGAATAGCTCAGTAGGAAGGAAACTGATCACCAGCAGCAAGGACAGGAAGTCAGAGGCACTAGTAAACAAAATAATGCATGTGAATAAATTTAAATAAGCTTCTTAAAATGACTGTTGCAACAGTGACCAAATTTGGATGGTTTAAAACCAGATGAGCTAATAGATTTAAAATGGTTTAAGAATTTGTATTGTACTGGAGAATAATAGACACGCTGATTAACTTTAGATTTTGATAAGAGTGTGTCCTGCAATTTTAAGTATAACTATTTAAAGAGTAGAAAAACATAAAATAGCAAGATAAAAATGAGTCAACATATTAATCTCATTATATGTAAATAGATGGAATCTCTTTGTAAAAATGAAAACATGATCTGCTTAGAATTTAAAATAAAATCCAGCTACATCATTTTTACAGGATTCACACCCAAAATATAAAATGGTTGTGAGAACTAAGAAAAGGAATGGGAAAAGATATTGTAGACAAATCTTAATTAAAAAAAAAGCAAAACAAAACAAAAAAAAAGCTGCTGTAGTGGTAACATCAGAGAAGCTAGACCTTAAGGCAAAAATGACATTAATAGGCATAAAGGGAGTAATTCTGTAATGATAAAAGGAGCAACTTAGAAAGGTAGTAAAAGAATTTTGAAACTGTATATGCTAGCAAAATTGTCTCAAAATATATAAAGTGATAAATGGCAGAATCCAGATGTAACTTTTAAATCTAATTATAGATTCATCTAGAACTAAGCTTTAGCCCAGCTCCTAATTAAAGGATTTCTGAAAATCCGAAACAAAACAAAAAAGCATTAAAGATTAGACATTATGGGCTAAAACTTGTTTGGTTCCTAGAAGGTTACCAAAAAAGCTTTCAATACTGACAGCATTTTACAATTTTTCCTCAAAAGAAAAGTCTCTAGATGTAAAATTGATAAGCTTAATTCATAAAGCAAGTCACTGAAAATGTCTGGACACATTCACAGAGTGGGAGATTTAAATATACCTCTCTCAGAAATGAAGATTTTTTAAATGAGCAGAAATTAATGAAAAGGAAGACCAAAAAAAAAAAAAAAAAACTCAAGAGGGAAGATGAATTAAACCAAAAGCTGGTGCTTTGAAAATATTCATAAAATGGACAAGACATTTATAAAATTAAGAAAGAAAGAATTCCCAAGTAAATAATATTAAGAATGCAAAGAGGGATATAAATATTTTTATTCAGAGATTTTTTAAATCACAAGAATGTTGTGAACAATACTAATTATTTCTTAGAAATGTAAAATTATTAACACTGGATCAAGGTGAAAGAGGAAAATTTAAATATAACTATATAAAGATATTAAATTTGTAATAGTACTTTTAATATTTACTGACAAAAATAAGCTCAGACTCAAATGATTTAGCTGGTGAGTTTTAACTAACATATAAGAAACAAATAGTTCCTGAGAAAAAAAGAATAATTTTTTTAAAGGAGGGTGTGGAAGGAGCTTCTAAAACAAGAAAAAGAGCATGCACAAAATGAATCCTACAGACTAGTTTCAATTATGGACGTAGTTGCAAAAATCCTAAGTAAATTTTACAAACCCTATCCAGTACATATTTTAAAAATACTTCTGACCAAATTATACTCAACTGAGGAATGCAAGGATAGTTCAACATTAGTATATCTACTAAGGTAATTTAATCCATTAATATCTTCAGATTAAAAGTATTATAACTGATAGTATTTCTTCTGTGATAACCTATACTGTTTCTTATAGTGATTTTAATAGCTTTTGTGAGTGGAGAATGCTATCTATCCCTTTCCTAACCCCATAGAGCCTCACATAGCATCTTGCATATAATAGATTTTTAATAAAATTATCCATCTAGCATTGCATTGTCTTAGGTGATGCCATGTAAAATTCATTTCTTCATCTATTCACTCAGCAAACATTTATTTAGCACCTCCTGTTTGCAGACACTGTTAGGCTATGGGGAGATAGGCTGACTAAAATATATTCCTCAGCATATAAATCCTGCTTAAGAGGCACAGAGCATTTTAAAGACATTTAAAAAACATGTTTTAATGTAATTACTATAATAGGAGATGTGTACAAAATACCACTGTGGTATTTTAATTGTGGCTGATTTTAATTCTTTGGACGCCATTTCACTAAGGAAGTAACATTAATCTGGGTCTTTAAAAGTGGGCAAAGAAGAAGACCAAGATGGGGATGAAACCTTTCCATACTAAAGAGTTTCAACTTTACCTATTGAAATTTGGGAGTCATAGGAAGTTCTCATGCAGCAGAATGGCCTGTTCAGTTCTGTGATTTAGAAAGGGTCTCTGATGACAGAATGGAAGAAAGATTGGTAGGAATATTGGTAGACAGAAGACAGGAAGATTTCTTATGGGCCCATTGTAGTTAGTGAAAATTTTGCCTACAGAACTGGGCCTTGGAATGGTCAGCAATTGGCCAGAGTCAAGAGTCCTTGGGAAGTCAAAGGAGACAGGATCAGGGGATAGAGGGTGGGGGAGGTGTCATCAGTGGGACTTTCCCTTCCACTTAGGCCATTGGATGGGCAATTTGTTTCTCAGTGGTACCATTAAGGAGCAGTTGTTGGTTGGAAGGCAGAGGAGATGAGTCTTGGTTTGTCTGTGTTGAGTTTGTCATAGGACAGCCAAGTAAAGGTCTTCTGTAGGCAGATGGATATATAAGAACCTAGAGTACAGAGAAAGATGGAGTCCTAAAGTAAAGATCTGTGGATCAACGTCATAAATAAGTGATGGGCAGGGCCATGAGTTCACATTTGACGTTTATGTCCTCTTTTACCTCCCTAAGATCTCATTTAAAATATGTTTTCAGACTCAGCACTGAGGCTATCTCCACAGTGTAAATAGTTATTTCAGAAAGAAACAGAAAAGAGAGATCTTAGAAATACCACAACAATAGGCTCCGGTCTTCCAAATGTCCACGATCTATGATGGTGAACAGTGCTTGTCTAATACAGACATCTCTAGAATGTGTAAAATATGCATTCAAAGTTATTTGAATAGTTTTGTGCATTCTGTTACAATCTCCCTTACTAGTTTTCTTTTTCTTAGGCATCTGTATTAGTATTAGTCAGGGTTCTCTTGAAGGACAGAACTAATAGGACAGATGTATATATGAAGGGGAGTTTGTTAAGGAGTACAGACTCACACGATCACAAGGTAAGGCCTCACAATAGGCCATCTGCAAGTTGAGGAGCAAGGAAGCCAATCCAAGTCCCAAAACCTCAAAAGTAGGGAAGCCGATGGTGCAGCCTTCAGTCTGTGGCTGAAGGCCCGAGAACCCCTGGCAAACCATTGGTGTAGGTCCAAGAGTCCAAAAGCTGAAGAACTTGAAGTCCGATGTTCAAGGGCAGGAAACATTCAGCACGGGAGAAAGGTAAAGGCCAGAAAACTCAGCCAGTCTAGTCTTTCCACATTCCTCTGCCTACTTTATTCTAGCCGCGCTGGCAGCTGATTAGATGGTGCCCACCCAGATTGAGGACGGGTGGGCCTCTCCCAGTCCACTGACTCAAATGTTAATCTCCTTTGGCAACACCCTCACAGACACACCCAGGAATAATACTTTGCATCCTTCAATCCAATCAAGTTGACACTCAATATTTACTATCACAGTACTTTTTCCCCTTCTTTCTCACTTGGGAGGAAAAATGCAATAAGCAAGAAGACGAAGAAATAGAGGACTAGAGAAACAGGGGTTCAACAACTGCCAGGTCTGTTTGGGACTTGGATTGCAAAAGCTGAAGTCTACATATCCAGGCATCTTAGTAAACAGCCCGGATGGAAGGGCTCCAGGGCGTTGATAGTGTTTGTCTCCATGTGGTGCGGGACTCTGTGCTTTTCTGGGTTCTCTGATTCACATGTGCACAGGAGCAGGAGCTCACATTTTTCCTCTCCTCCTTTTCCATGTGGTTACTGTGTGAAAGGGTGAATGTCTGCTCCATTCCCCTCGTCTTCCCCCGGTCCTCCCCATGGAACTGTCTCTTTACAGGGAAGAGGGTGGGAGGAGACAGGCCCTGAAAATCCCTGGTCCCTGCTAACTGGGGAGTGGCTGCAGCCCCTGTGTTGGGCAGCCCTTGAGGTCAGTAGTGGGTGAGACTTGCCCCTCCCTCCCTCCATGGAGTCCTCTAGGCAGCAGTGTTCCTCATTTCTACCTTCCCCACAATGGGTCCTGAGGCTTTTGGCTGGGAAGAAGGGGAAAGAGGTCGGGGCATGGGGAGGATGGAAGTTGGAAATTGCAGGAAGCCTCTCTACTGTCTAGGCCTAAACTAGTATCCTCTCCAGAATATACCAGAAGCCTCTTTTTTGGCAGTCATTAAGCTGATGCTGTATTTTGATCTTCATCTGACTCTGTGGATCATCTCCACTGGGGAAGCAACTGAAAGCTAGATTAATTGGCACCCCCAAATCTCCAGAAGCATCAAGCACATGTTGCTTTTATAATTAGAAAAATGGTGACTTTTCTTTTAACCCAGCAGTTCCCTTCCCCCATTCCTTTGAATGCCTTTCCAAGCAGTCAGCCTTGTTACAGTAAAGACAGGGAGTGAACAATGTTGTTCACTAATTAAAACCCACAGCCCAGAACAGCTGGTCCTTCCAGCAGGAGCCCCTTAAGGAGAGTCCGAGGCTTTGCATTGTTTTTCGTGGTGAGGACCCAGATGCAGCTTTTAGGGTTTTGTTTTTATTGAATCAGGCTGGAAAACAAAAAGAAATTTGCTGACTCATCTCCTCTTCTGCTCAAGTCAGCACACAGGGAATTTTCCTAAATTTAAAGTTATGTATAAAATAAGAACCACTTTTTGTTGGCTATAGTGTATAGTGCTATTTTTTTCTTTAAATATCTCAACAATTGGTATAAGCTGGTTGACTCAGAAGAGTGGCTGATTTTAATTTTGGAGTTAATCACATCTTTTCTCTCGACTGTCCTGACAGGATGAAATATTTGTGGCTTTATCCTTTGCTGCCCACATCTAAGGGGAGATTATGTTTTATATTGTTACTTTTAATAAGGCCTGCGGGAGACTATCCGTGTGACATTTCTGCTGTTTACATGCCAAAAGACAGCTCTGAAAGGCTGGCAGAGGTCCCCAAAAAGGCTAGATGCTGTCAGTGCTTTGGAGGGAATACATTCGTCTGTTACATGCATCTTGTCAACCAAGAACCTGCACTACGCAGGTACCATGACCTGTTCACATGCCCCCTTATGCTGAGAATACAGCAGGGATTAAAAACAGACAAGGGAGCCCATGGGTGAGGGGAGGCTAGAGGAAGAAGACTGCCCTTATCCTGGTAAGCACAAACATAATTAACATCTGGGCTAAGTGCACCAAAGGAAAGGCCACGGGGCCCTAATCTGGTCTGAGGGATCATGGAAGGCTTTATGGGGAAAGGAACATTTGAACCAACAGCTGGAGGCTGAGGAGGCATGAACCAGGGGACAGGAGGAGAAACGTTCCAGGCTGATGCTGAGTTTTACTTGGGGTGGCGGGGGAGAGGAAGGAAGTGTTTAGGAGCTGATGAAAGTCATAGCGTATAGGACCTGAGGACCATGTTGATAGCCTTGGTTGTGATAGGGGAACATTAGGAGGTCAATAAAGGCCTTCCTCAAGGCGTGTCATGACTATGTTTGGGCTTTGAAAAGCACCCGCTGGCTCCAGCATGAAGTCGTAGTCAGAGGGAACAGGAGGGGAGAGGGAGGGTCCCCTGCTCTGTCAGGGTCAGGCAGGGGCCTCTTGTGGAACAGCCTGAAGCCCAGGTGAGAGGAGATAGCAGCAGAGGCCAGGTGCACGGAATGAAAGGAAGGAAACATGTCTCCCCTTAGACATGATCAGGACCCAAAAATGTTTCATTCGTGGTATATGTTTCTCACTGGAAAAAATAGAGAGCATTTGCTTTGATAGTTTCAAAGGAGACCAGCTGAGATGAACTGAGGCTGGACCATCAGGTAAGGATAGAATCTAATATTTTGGCCAAAAGTGTTGTTTGGGTGACATCCCATTCATTTCCATGGCAACTACTGATTGTCAGAAAGGGATAGTATCTTCTACAACCAGCTTGGACTAAACACGTCAGGGCGGATGACTATCAGGAGTTAACCACAGTTCATTACAGTTAGAAAGCATCTAATCGAGATGAAAAGATAATTCTGGAAGGAAGGGGAAAGTCAGAGATCACGCACATCTCATAAGTGTATCAAGTGTAAGCAGTGTTGCAGGTGCGCAGTGACTATCTGGGCCAGAGGCGTGGGGGTAAGAAGAATTTACCAAGACAGTTGTAGGTAAAGAAAGGGAGATTTACTAGAGATCATAGGAAAATACATTACAAAGGAGCAATGGGCAGGCCAGCAAGAGAGGAGCTGACTGCAAGGAGACAAAGGCTTGCTGGAGATGTTATAGGATGGTGCTTGTGCCACCGGTGTGCTGAAGAAAGCTTTGTGCAATATTGATAATGCCAAGGTTGCAGTGAACTAAATTGCAATTTTCTGTCAGCTGGGGGTCTGGTGATAGCTGGGCACAGGAAGATTGTGAGTCATGTGCACGGGAGGGATATGTGTCCTGGACCATGAAAAAGGCAGACTTGTAGCTTATCTGCTTCTTCATTTTGCTTTCCCCCAATCCTGCTAGCCTGACTCCTCCTCCCTAACTAGGACTCCACAAGCCAGGCTCATCATCATATTCTTCTTAAAACATCATTGAGAATGGATTGAATTTCCCTGCTGTTGCTGTACTCCACACATACCTAACTCACCGGCTCTCCCTGCCTGCCTCTCCCTCACAGGCTGCTTTGCTGTCCCACTGGCCGAGGCACTCAACACCAGTGCCTTCTCTCCCTTGGGTCTTCACCCAAGTCCCGTGGTGACTCCTACCTCCACAGCACATTCCACACCCTTTCCTGTCCACCATCACATGGCTGCACCAGCTCAGGCCCTCCCTTCCTCACAGCTGGAAGATGTTTTAGCCACCTGTCTTTTTCTCCCAACTACCAGTATAACCTAGCTTTAATCCAGACCCCGCACCGGCCTGAATGATCCTTCTAAAACATCTTTCTATTTGTATCACAAGATTGCATTTACATTTTGATCCTCCCAAATCATCAGCAGCTTCCCCCAATGCCTCCTCAGTCAAATTCAAATTTCTTAGACCAGTATCACCCTCCACAGTGGTGACGGCCCTACCTTTTCACACATGCCTATGTTTATTCAGTCATTCATTCATGCACTAATTCAACAAATGTTTACTGATAGTGTCCAATGTGGTAGCTAACATTGAGTAAATATCAACAACAGGCAAGACACTGTGCACAGAACTTTTCATATATTCTGTTGTTTGATCTTCACCAAAAATCAGTTCTTGCTATCTTTATACCCAGATGAGAATACTGAGACATTGAGGGGCTAAATAACTCGGCCACACCCACAGTTAATAAGGATTCAAACCCAGATAGTCTGACTCTAGAATCTGAGCTCCTAGTCTAAGGCTACACTACCCAGAATGAGCCTGATCTCATCTGATCTTGGAAGCTAAGCAGGATCAGGCCTGGCTAGCTCTTGGACAGGAGAGTCTCAGCTCCTATATGCTGTGCTACACTGCCTCCAGTTCACTTGGAACAAAACACTGAGTCTTGGTTATACGTTTCTGGCTATGGTGTTTGTTGTAATGGAATTAGTCTATAAATGGAGTGGATTGGGGAAGCGGGTAGCATTCATTTACAATGGGAGACACCTAGAGAATGCTCTTGGGGGAGAGCAGCTGAACCAAAGTCCTGGAATATGAGGAGAGGAGAGGCCAGAACAGGCCTCTGGGGATTCACTAAGTGCATCACTCCAAGGCCCAACTGAACTCAGACCAGTAAACATCCCATACTCTGTGGCAAGTCTGCAGAAGGGAGGATGCAGCCCCTGTCCTCAGGGAACATACATTCTAACAACATATGACATAATGTGCCCATAACAGAGATGCTTTGGGAGCCAAACAATGCAAGGGGCAAACCCACGTTCCCAGAGGAACTCACTGTTTTGGTGACTTTTCTTCCATAAAATTGTCAGGAAAGGGCAGGCTGTAAGATAGACCTTCTGTCTGGAGACAGGATACGTCAAGGTTAGGATCACAAGCCAGAGTCCAGCTACCCAGGTTCGAATCCCAGCTCGAGCACTTAACCAGCTGTGGGATGTGACGATGAAACAGACACCGAGCCTGGCACTCAGTCGGGGCTTTGGGGAAGTGAGCCAGCCATGGCCACTGCTGTGCCAGTGATCATTTCACAGCAGTTCTTCCCCACGCTGTACCATATGTTCCTTCTGAAATCCCTTGTAGATTCTGAGAACAGATGAGAAGCTGGGATGCGGCTGATAACTGAGTTGTTCAGGCCTGTGTGTCTCCATCAAATTGCAAATGGCCCTATAGGTCTTCTGACCCCTGCCCCTGCTAACCCCCCCGTGTGCATTTTCACACAATATCCAAGAAAATTTGCAGTTAGGAGTTAGAGCCAAGTGACAGGGTATAAGCAAATAACCCTCCCTTCTCTCTAATGGGTCAATTTCTCTCATGCACATCCATTCATTCATTCGTTCAACAAAAATACACTGAGCAATGGGTCAGTGTGGAAGAAAATAGCAAGTGGAAAATAGAGCTTACAGCAGAGTGGGTTTAAAATATTTATGTTCGTATTCCAGATTTGTAACAATGCCTTACATTTTATGAATTGCGTCCCCATGTCATGTTTATTTGATCCACAAAACTCTGGACAACTAAGTGCCCGTCCCATTATACAGATTAAAAACTGAGAGACTCAACCCGAAGATTTCCAATTCTGGATGGATCTAGTGATCTCACTATTGCAGACGTGCTGTTCCCAGGCCCAGTTTGCCTGGAGGTCTCAAAGACTATGAACATGATTTTGTAAGCGTTTGTTCTCTCTGCAGAATTCTAGCACAGCAAAATGATTTCAGTGGTCCCTGAGGTTAGTTCTTTATAGTCTTTTAACCAGACATGGTTCTTGTTATGGACATGGGAGCAGAGATGCTCGGAGGATGGGTGTGGTGACTTATTTCTTCACAATCCTGCCCTGCACACTCTCAGGACTAAGTGTAATGTAGCCCAGTTATAGAAACACACAGAGCTGCAAAGTCACTTTTTCTTTGCTCAGATGCATTGTCACCTTGTTTTAGTCTCAAGCAAACATGTAGTATGTTGGGGCTTGCGTGCAAGGGAACAAGGACCTGACTGCAGTCATGCTGAAATGCAGGCTGGCAACAGACATGCATGTACATACACACACCCAGAAACACAGACACATACACACCCATATACACACAATGCATATACACATGCATACCCACACACACACATATACACACATGCACACCCATATATGCACATACATATACACATATGCACACCATATACACACATACGTGTATACACACACCCACGCACCCCCATATACATACAGATACATGCATATACACACACAAATATACACATGTGCCCACATATACATGCGTGCATACCCATACACATGTACATATACACACATGCACACCCACATCCACACATATACATATATGCACACCATATACACACATACATATACACACACATGCACACCATATACACACATACATATACACACATTCACACATCTGCACACCATATACAAACATATACACACACGCACAGCATATACACATGTATATATACACACATGCACACATATACACATGTGCACACCATATACACACATGCACACCCACATGCACACACACACATGCATACCCATATACACACATACATATACACACATGCACACCCACATCCACACAGACACACACATGCACACCATATACACACATACATATACACAGATACCATATACACACATACATATATATACACGTGCATATATACACATGCACACTGATATACACATGCATATGCACACATGCACACCATATACACACGTACATATACACACATGCACACATATGCACATGTGCACACCATATACACACATACATATATATACAAATGCATATATACACATGCACACCAATATACACACATGCATATATACACATGCACACTGATATACACACATGCATATATACACATGCACACCCATGCACCCCATATACATACCCATGCACATGCACACACACAAATATACGCACGTGCCCACATACACACACATACACACCTATAGACACACATACACCCATACACATGTACGCTCACCCACCTTTGGACCCCTCCTATTTATGGGCTTTTCTCTGAGTTTGGAAATGACTTCACCTTCTTATGATGCCATGAGTGACACTGTAATGAGGCTCTGCGGTACCCAGGAAAAGCATTCCGCCCATGTATGGATTTTAGGTGATAGCTTTTTGTTGGGAACAGGCCCCCCGCCAAATCTGGCCATAAACTGGCCCCAAAACTGGCCATAAACAAAATCTCTGCAGCACTGTGACATGTTCGTGATGGCCATGACACCCACGCTGGAAGGTTGTGGGTTTACCAGAATGGAGCAAGGAACACCTGGCCCACCCAGGGCGGAAAACTGCTTAAAGGTGTTCTTAAACCACAAACAATAGCATGCATGATCTGTGCCTTAAGGACATGCTCCTGCTGCAGATAAGTAGCCCAACCCATCCCTTTATTTCAACCCATCCATTCATTTCCCATAAGGAATACTTTTAGTTAATCTACAATCTATAGAAACAATGCTTATCACTGGCTTGCTGTCAGTAAATACGTGGGTAAATCTCTGTTCAGGGCTCTCAGCTCTGAAGGCTGTGAGACCCCTGATTTCCCACTCCACTCCTCTGTATTTCTGTGTGTGTGTCTTTAATTCCTCTAGTGCCGCTGGATTAGGGTCTCCCTGACCGAGCTGGTCTCGGCAGCTTTTCTTTTCTAAAAGAGAGAGAAACTCATGTTTCTGAGAGAAATGCATGTTTCTGACAGCCAGGTATGGAGGGAAGTGTCTGGCCTAGAGTTGAGAGGCCTGGATTTTAGTTCCTGCCCTACCGTTAACCAGCTCTGTGACCTTTGATGGTTATTTAGGTCTTGGTTTCCCCATCTATTCAGGGAAGGGGCTGGCTAAAAGAAAAAGGTTGGCCTTAGATGGCCCAAAGCTTCCTTCTGGCTAGAATATTGTGTGATTCAAGCACTTAATCAAGATAGTTTGGCTCATTGCATAGGGCAAGGAGTCTGGGAAGACCCTACAAATTTCCCCTAAAGAAGGCATTCAGAATAATTTTCATTTGGTATACTCCCTAACAGACTTTGGTAGCATTCCTTTCTAATCACAAGGTCAAGCCATCTTTGTTACCACTTAAGCATATAAAATGCCTTTCCTTCTAGTCCACTGAGAGTTGGGTAACAGACGTTTGATTTTACTTCCCACATGGCGTAGAGTTGAGGGCTACCAATTTTCAAGTTCAAGAGTTCTTATTCCATCTTCCTCTTACCCACCATTATATTTGATTGATAGTATTAAACAGAAGGAAAAGTTGTTCTACTGGAGTGGGAAAATGCATTAGGTTAAGTAATAAGTATATAAAATACATGGTTAGAGGTTTTTGAAAAGGAAAAGATGTAATTTTCTGGTTATGCATGTTTGGGGCTCTTTTTCTGTGTTGTGTTTTGTTGGTAGAAATAGAATGTCTTGGATCAGCAGAACTAGGCAAAGACGGCCTGGCCTAGTGGGACCATGTCTTGTTCGGCAATGTCTTTAGAGACATAAGGGTGAGGAAAAGAAAGAGGCTATACAGTTTAGCGCCCTTGAGGCAATCAGAGAGAGGAACAGGAATGCAGTGTTGGAAGGTCTGCAGAGGGTTGTGGCCACAGCTGGCTGGCTGGTAAGGGCCATGCAGTGATCAACAGGTCAGGGGGCCCTGGGGTGCAAGCCCCTCTTAGGCATGATGGCTCCCTGCTGGGTCTCTTTCTGGTGTGGATATTCAGACCCAAAAACCAAGTGTTTGTGAACCCACAAGGCCTAGTTGGTGCCTGCCTCTTAGCATCAGTGCGTGCAGAGGTGCACCCTTGGGCAGGGCACAGGCTCACCTGGAGATTGTCTTGACTGGCCACTGCTGGCCACTAGCGGTGATGTAGCCTGTGCTCCTCTCTCTCTGCCTTTGTCACTGGCTAAGAGGGTCACCCCCCACCCCCAGGGGTTGAAGACTGCATCTCCTCCACTCCCCATAATCAAATTTCCCAACCAACCACGTGATGCATGGTGTGACAACCATGTCTTGCTGAGTTGCGAAATTATCTGTGTTTTGACTTATGTTATAAAAACTCAATCACATTTGTTTAAACACTTAATGAGACATATTGAAAAAAATTAAATTTCACGAAATTGTCATTGCCTTGGAAAATCTAGAATTTGGAGTTCTCATAATTATGGTCAGTAATCTAAGAAGTTAATCACTGTCAGGAATGAACAACGGACTTGTTAGTCAACTGTCTGAAGGTGATACAAAAGTGGTGTTAAAGCTGGAAATCAGTTGTTAACTCTACTAATGACTGAGAGAAGTGAGATTGTTTACTTTAAGCAACAGTTTATGAGAGCTGAAATCCACCCCCCTCCTCCCTCATAAGCAATACTTCAAGTGAGTTGTTGAACTGGAAATTAATTTGATACTAGTTTGTTCTAAGCTCATGCTCTAACGAGCTTATATTTCTGTGTATTTAATTTGAAAGTACATTTAATAAATAATCTATTAAAAACAAATTGAGATTGAGTATAAATGAGCTTGAAATTTCAGAGGTCAGTAATTAAAATTATTGTCACCATTTGGTTTTCAGTTTTTTAAACAGTATTTAGCTACTTAGAGCAGCATTTCACATTCCTCTAAAATGGGGGAAATTCTGTAACCATATGTGACCCCAAAGATCTGTGACAGTCAAAACCCAGTGATTCTGGTTACCTTAAGCAGCCAAAATCCTAACAGCAGCTGCCAACCTTTCACTCTCTGCATTGTCTTCCGCTTTGATGCCTGCCGTGTGCCCAGGGCTAAAATCCCTACCAGGGAAGCCCGGCCTGGGAAGGTACTAGGATCCCCCTGATGCCCCAGAGCATTATGATCCAATTATATAACCCCCTCATAGTCAGAGAATTATCATGCTTCCCCTACATACCCAACTAAGAGTTAATCTAGAGTGAGAGGACACTGAAGCCATTCAAAATATATGTCACACAAAAGCTAAGGAGGTGACCTGGCAGCGAGGTTTGCCCTCCCAGATGGCCTGGATGGAAGCCTGATGCATCCTTTCCTAAGCCACGTGCTTATTGAAGATGGCAGCTTCTCTGGGGGAGGAACAGGGCACTGTGAGAGCTACACTCCTGCATCTGAACCTTCCAGCCCAGCAGAACTAACCCCACCCCTGGATGCCACTCCCCACCCCCAGCGCCCACTATCTTTGCACATGCTTTCCCTCTGTAGGTAAGTCCTCTCCTGCCATGGCCCCTGCATACCTAGCCATTTCACTCTTCAGTGTTGTATGAAGGATCCAAAAAGGAGCACACGGCACTTTCATTGTTTGCAATTGATATAATCAGCAACATAGAAAAAAGATACGCTACAAACTGATAAACTGATAAGATGGTGTGGCAAAAGTGCCCAATATAAGACCAACTTACAAAATCAAAAGCTTCCCTTTACATTAAAAATAAATATATGTAAGACAAAATAGGAAAAAAGAGATCTTATTTATGATATCAACAAATCTACACAATACCTATACATAAGCTTAACAAAAATTTTCCAACAGCCACGTGGAAAAAAAAATCTAAAACTAGACTAAAGGACATAAAAATGACCGTATTAAAAGAAGAGGCCTGCCATGTACATGAATAGGCAAGCGGTTTATTATGAAAATATAAGTTCTTCCCAAACTGACCTGTACTTCAGTGTAATACAAACTGAGATCTCAATGGGTTATTGTGTAGCTTAAAATTGGATTCTGTAATTCATCTGAAGAGAAAATAGGGAATGATAACCTAGAAACCTTTGAGAAAAGAATGGTACCAAAAGAAAATGATTTGGAGAAAGTCACCAAGACAATTCAATAGAAAAAAGAGTAGGTGTTTCAACAAATGGTTCTGGAACAACTAGCTGTCCACATGCCGAAGAATGAAGTTGGACTTGTACTTCAAGCTACATACAAAAATTAATTCAAGATGGCTAAAGATGTAAATATAATAGCTAAACCCATACAACTCTTAAAAAGAAAAAGATATGTGTAGATCTTTATGACCTTAGGTTAGGTAATGGTTTCTTAGACATGGTACCAGAAGTGTAAGTAGCCAAAGAAAAAAATAGACAAGACCTCATCAAAATTTTGAGCTTCAAAAGATACAATCAAGAAAGTAAAAGGGGCCAGTTCTGATGGCTCACGCCTGTAATCCCAGCACTTTGGGAGGCCAAGGCAGGCAGATTGCTTGAGGTCAGTAGTTCAAGACCAGCCTGGCCAATATGGTGAAATTCCATCACTACAAAAAAATACAAAAATTAGCTGGGTGTGATGGCATGTGCCTGTAATCCCAGTTACTCCAGTGGCTGAGGCAGGAGAATCACTTGAACCCGGGAAGCAGAGGTTGCAATGAGCCGAGATCGTGCCACTGCACTCCAGCCTAGGTGACAGAGCGAGGCTCTGTCTCAAAAAAAATAAATAAATAAAATAAAAATTAAGAAAGTAAAAGGACAACCCATAAAATGGGAAAAAAATCTGTAAATCATATATCTAATAAGGGTCTAGTGCTGAAAATATGTGAAGAACTCTTCTAACTCAACAATAAAAACACCAAAATCCAATTTACAAATAAGCAAGGATTTGAGTAGACATTTCTTCAAAGAAGACATAAAAATGGACAATAAACACATGAAAAGATCCCCAACATCATTAGTGATTAAGAAAATTAAAACCAAAACCACATTGAAATACCACTTTATATCCACTAGGATGGCTATAATTGAAAAGATAAACAATAACAAGTGTTGGTGAATATGTGGGGAAATTAGAGCCCTCGTGTAATGCTCACAGGAATGTAAAATGGTTCAGCTGCTTGGCAAAACAGTTTGGCAGTACTTTAAAAAGTTAAACATTGAGTTTCCATATAACCAGCAACCTTACTTTTAGACCCACGTGTCTACTCATAGTGCATATCCAAGAGAACTGGAAACACATCCTTACAAAAATGTGTACACATGTGTTCATAGTAACGTTACTCATAATAGTCAAAAAGTAGAAACAACTCATGTGCTCAACACTTGGATAAGCAAAATATGTTTTCATCCACAAGGCAGAAGGTGATTCAGCTGTAGAAAAGGAATGACATTCTAATGCATGCCTCAGTATGAATGAACTTGAGAACACCATGCTTAAGTGAAAGAAGCCAGTCACAAAAGGCACTTATTGTATGATTCCATTTCTATAAAATAACAGAACGGGCAAATCCATAGAGATAGAAAGCAGGTTAATGGTTGCCAGAGATGGAGGAGCAGGGAATGGAAAGTGACTGCTAATGAATATGAGATTTCTTTCTGAGGTGACAGAAATGTTTTAGAATCAATTAGTGGTGATGAGTATATAATATTGTGAATATACAACAAAACCCACTGATTATATATGCTTTTAAAAGGTGAGTTTTATGGCAAGTGAATTTAATCTTAATTTTAAAGGACAACTTAACTCTACCTGATATCAAAATAGAGTATAGAGCAATAGTCATTGGAACAGTGTGGAATTGGCACAGAAACAGACAAATGGATGTCTGTCTCAGTGGGCTAGCACAGAGAGTACAAAAGTGGCACCACAAACATACTGTGGGCCTTTGATATATGCCAAGGTAGCATGTCACATCAGTGAGAAAAGGAAAAATGGCAGCAAAGCACAGCTGGCTCTCATTTTTAGGGGAAAGTTAGCATTGAACCTCACAGTCCCACAAAAATTAATTCCAGATGGATTAAAGAGCTAATTGTCAGACTATAAAGATAGAAGAAAATAAAGAAGAACATATTTGTGACCCTGAAAACAGCCACCTTGAGCTATGCAAAAAATGCATGAAGAGAGCGACAAATGCATTTAGATTGATATACACTGGAAACTCTGAACAAAAAATACCATAAGCAAAGTTAAAAGACATTTCCCATGTAATAACAGGCAGAGTATTAATATCCTGAGTATATAAAGAACTTCTAAAATTAATATGAAAAAGCTCAACAGAATAATAAATGTCCCTGCAACCCCTTAACCCTATCACCCTCCTTTCATCGCCTTTTAGATGATCTGAGAATTTTGTCATCTACGTTGAGACCAAGAGATCATCTTAGCCCCTTTCCCATGGTGGTGTCTGGTTTTCTTCATGACTCAATTGCATCTGGTGCTTTTTCTTAGCAAAGTCAAGGTGGGTTTTGTTGGGCAGAATGACTGGACACCAAGCTCTGCGCTGGACAAAGTGCATGACTGTTGTCGTGTGTGAAGGAGCTGTGTGCTAAGGAGGGTGCAGTGGAGACAGACTAACACCTGAGCTGCTCAAAAGAGGAGCTTCTCAGAGGAAACCCTGAGAAGATGCATGTACCTTTCTCTGCAGAGACCTGCACCCAGCTGGCGTCCAGAGGATCTGAGTGAGGAGTACTGAGTATACTCAGCCACTTCTTGCCAGTCTGCCACTTAATTGGGGCTGCAGCATAACCTTTGCTCGATGATAAAATTAACCTTGATTCCGGACTGATATCTGTCTTCACTAAGGAAGTGTCTGTGCTGTGGTTTCTTTTTGTAAGCTGTGACATTATCAAAGAATAGAATATTGCAGGCATGACACACGGGAACTTTTGTCTTAGACTTAGAAGACCTTCCTATTTTTCTTTCCTGCCGAGATAGACTTTCAGCTCTCAATTGGGTAATTCAGTGAGGTCCCCTCCTTCCTTCTTCACCCCCACTTCCTCTCATCTGCTTTCCCGTTTTCATAAGCCACAGATTTAGGCCTTGTTTTATTACATTTCACAGTGTGCTTAAATACCCCCTACAGTTCTTCATCTCATTACAAAAGACAATTTACATGAGGGTAAAATGGCGATGTCAATGTGATTTGTTTTGCTGCTGGATTTTGTAAAACGTTCTGTATCAGGGCTTTCCTGTAGGGTGCCAGAGAGACAAGAGTGAAACTAGGGTTCATTTAAAAACCGCTGTTGGTAATCTGTAAGTAAATCAGATATTCCCGACATAGACCCTGGCTGGGTCATGTTGGGCTTTGCATTAAATATTAAGACTGTAGAACAATATTTTATGCAATGGAAAATTCTATAGTTAAAAACAAGAGGCAGTTGATTTATTATAAGTGGGCAAAAATGTGTTATAACTGAAATGGGATTCTCTCCTCCTCCCCTTTAGGGTCACTGTTACTACCATGGACATGTACGGGGATATTCTGATTCAGCAGTCAGTCTCAGCACGTGTTCTGGTCTCAGGTAAGTGGCCATGACCATGGCGGCTCTAGTCTTCAGCCATCTACTGCAGGCAACCTCTGTCTTTTCCTGCTCGTGCTAAAGCACTGAGAGTGAGTGATGGGGGCTCCCAGCTCAGCTACACCTCCACCTAGGCAAGAGAACACGGAGGCCCTCTCTCCACTGCTTACAAGAGCATGGCCACCCAGGATCTTAGCCTCATGTTCATGCCCCCTCTTACAGTGCCATCCTCAGGCCTGGTGGGGTAAAAGCGACTGAACTGGTTGAGTTTCTACATCCAAGCATTTTGTGAATTATTTTCCATTTATGTGGCTCTGATGCTTTATAATTCCCAGTGCTAAAAGATAGAACATTACATACCAATGTTGAAGCTGCTGGCTTAATGTAAATCTTAAAGGGCCTCCTCTCATTAGGAAACAAAGTAAGGAAACTAATTTAGCAACAACCAAGGTGAGTTGAATAGAGGCATGGATTGGTAGGGGGTTTGCTACTATGCTACGGGCATGATGCAGGAAACAATTACCTTCCCATGCTAGACAAGTCAACCCCAGGTGTTACTCACAGCCCGCTTCCTTCCACATCACAGTTATTGGCCATCAGGTGGCCCTTATGTGCTCCCCAGGAAAATCATTTTGTTTGATAAATTTCCAGCTGTTTCAGCCTTTTTACTGGATTTGCTTATCGAATTTGTGAACTAAATGTTTGTAACCTCAGAGTCCTGGGTAACTTTGGCCCAAGGCACCAAAGCATGATTCCATGGGAGGGAAGAGAGAGAAGGCCCTGGAAGGATATACCTGCTTGAGTTAAAAAGCAGAATCACATTCTGCGCATCAGCAGTTCCTGTGACGTCTTTGCAGGTTCTGTGTGGGATCATGGAGGATGAGAATATGCATGTGACACACACAACAACCACACACCTACCAGTTTATTCTTTGCTGCCCTCACTTCTACTCCAGCCAGCAGAGAATGAGAGTTCTATTTGCTCACATGTTCCCCATTGCTCAATACATCTGATTTATCTCTAAGTATTTACCAGCGTTGGTCCTTTCATGTAACTAAAAATAAGTACACAAAGCTATTCCTCTTCCTCGTTCATCCCGTTCCAGTCCCACTCAGATAAAAATGCAAGCTGGGAATTCCCCTCCCAGCTTTCTCATCCCTTGTGCATGTAAACACATAGTCAGAGATTGGGGTGTGTATTTGTTTATTTTTACAAACATAGAGTCACATCATATACATCATTCTACGGCTTTCTTTTGTCACCCAACCCTGTCTGTCTCTCCAAGTTAGCAGACACAGACCCAAATCATTGAGTGAACACACACATTTGCATGCACACACACATTTCTGCATACCTGCATTTTTTTAAAAGCATTTTTATGTCCTATTTATGCAACACAATTGAACTTTAAGATGTCTGCTACTCTGAAAAGTGAAGGAGGTGCCTTGTGGTTTGAATTTGCTTCTCTTCAGTTATTCATTCGTTCAGAAAACATTCCTTGAGTGCTTCCTCATTGCCAGTTCTGTTCTAGGTTCTGGGGGCACGGCACTGAACAAAATGCATTCTTCCTGGAGCACTTCCTAGTGGAAGGAACAGACAATGGACATAGAGTAAGATACATGATGTCAAGGATCATGGAGAAAGACAAAGCTGAGATGGAGGACAGGAAAGGCAACAGGTAGTCAGGGAGGTTCGGAAGGAGGTGAGGTGAGCCCTTTAGATGAGGTAGGTAGCATATCAGAGAGAAGAGCATGTGCAAAGCTCCTGAAGCAGAAAGATGCCTGGGATATTCCCAGAGCAGCGAGGTGGCCAGCATAACTAGAGTGGACAGGGACAGGGAGGCAGTAGAGAGAAATGAGGTCAGAAGGGAAGTGGAAAGGTAGGATCACCAGGGGTCACGAAGGTGATCAGATGTCCTTTGGCCTCCCCCCCAGTGATGGGTGCCAGGGAGCTTGGAGCTGAAGTGATGTGGTCTGACTTCACATTTTTACAGGGGCACTCCAGCTGCCAGGCTGGAAATAGACTGTAGGGAATGTGCACAGAAGCGGAGGCTTGGGTAGGTGTCTTCAGAGTAACTCTGGTAAGAGGTGGTGGGGCAGGCCTGGTCAAAGGTGGCAACTTTTGTGAGAGTCGAGAGACCTTTCCACGGGTATTAGAGAGGCTGGCGACTCTAAATTTTGTTAGTGATCTGTGTCTTAAAGTCACTTTCCTGAGGAAGCGTGGGGTGTGAGCACATGAAAGGACCTACTGAAGATGCAGCAAAATCCACTACCAGGCAGGGACTCCAATACGCGTACACGCCCAGCATGCAGAGTGGGCGCTCAGGAGAAGGTGAAGAAGGAGAGTTTGGAAGTGACAATTTAGAGCAAAGATGACAACTGTTCACCACCAAGGAGCTGAGGTACATGAGGGAGAAATTTTAAGTAATGAAGTATCATCCTGAGAGGCTGCAGGGGAGGTGATATCAGTGGAATCAGCCAGGATTCAGCTAGGGGAAGGAGGTAAGAGGAATATTCTGGAAGAGATTTGGATCAGGATAGGATTTGAGGATGGACCATGAGCCCCAAGAGCACAGTGGAAAGGGTTAGGGAAAAGGGAGTGGGGATAGGGTCAGTAGAGGATTAAAGACTTGTGGGGGATAAGGGGCCAGTTTTCATGGAAAACCAGTGCTTGAATTCCTGGAGGAGACAGAGATGAGGGGGTGAAATGGGATCAGACCTGGTGGCATCTGAGGTGAAGGTGAGTGACCAATTCAAAATGGATACTCTGGGACCCCAGGTAGATGTTCTCACCCTAGAACATGATAGTCAGGGTGGTGAATTAGCTGTGTGACGATGGACAGGTCACTGGGCCTCTCTGAGCCCCAGTTTGCATGGTGGGAAGTTTGCATGTTCAAACAAAGTTTGAGTTTGTTTCTCCCCTGTGATGGGTGCCAGGGGAGAAACAGTAAACAAATGCAGTGACCTCTAGGAAAGCCAAGCCCTGTGCCCACCTCTAGTGAGCATCATGAGACAGTCTTTGTTCTTTGATTCTGGGACTGGACTAGTTGAGGGGGGGGGGGTGTTCATGCAGCACTCCTGGGATAATTCCTTGCAAAGCTTTGCAGCTCCTGTAGAGACCAGGGCAGAGATACACAAGGCCATGGTAGTAAGGACCACACACACTTGGAAAGGGAAATCCACACTTTACTATTGTGCCTCTCTGGGGCCTGAAAGGTGGACCTCTTTCTTCAAAGGTCATGTGTTGAAGGCTGGATATTTTCAGCCTTCAATTTGGCATTAAGGTCATTGTGTGTAAAGAAGAGAAAAGCTGCCCGGGGGCGCGGTGGCTCACGCCTGTAATCCTAGCACTTTGGGAGGCCGAGGCGGGTGGATCACAAGGTCAAGAGATCGAGACCATTCTGGCCAACATGGTGAAAACCCATCTCTACTAAAAATACGAAAATTAGCTGGGCGTGGTGGCATGCTCCTGTAGTCCCAGCTACTTGGGAGGCTGAGGCAGAAAACTGCTTGAACCCGGGAGGCGGGGGTTGCAGTGAGCCGAGATTGTACCACTGCACTCCAACCTGGTGACAGAGTAAGACTCCAACTAAAAAAAAAAAAAAAACACGAATTCAAACTGACTTAAAGAAAAACAAAATAATGTGGAGATAGGCTTATGCTACTGAAAAATCTAGGCATGGCTGGATACAGGGTCCTAGCTAATATTATCACGGTCTATTTTCTATCTCAAGCCTCTACCTTCTTCTGTGTTACTTTCATTCTCAGGCACTATCTTAGCATGGGCTGCCATAGCAAAATACCATAGACTGGTTGGCTTAAACCATAGAATTTTATTTCTCACAGTTCTTGAGCCTGGAAAGTCCAAGATCAATGAGCTGACAAGATTGATTTTTCCTCCTGAGGCCTTTTCTCTTGGCTTCCAGGCAGTCATTAGCTTGCTGTGTGCTCACGTGACCTCTCTTTGTGCGTGTACAGAGGGAGGAAGCTCTGGTGTCCCTTATAAGGGCACGAATCCCATCATGGGGCTTCCCTCATGATCTCATCTAAGCCTGATCAGCTCCCAAAGGCCCCATCTCCCGATACCATCACATGGGGGCCATGGCTCTAACATATGAATTTGCAGGGTATATAAACACTCAGTCCATAATAGGCAGTTGTTGTTTTGTTTTGTTGGCAGCATGAGGCTTCCATGCTCAAAAAGCAAGAAGAAGAATAAGGGCCTCT
This sequence comes from Homo sapiens, assembly GCF_000001405.40. Taxonomy (NCBI): domain Eukaryota; kingdom Metazoa; phylum Chordata; class Mammalia; order Primates; family Hominidae; genus Homo; species Homo sapiens. Next base: position 126,131,359 of record NC_000010.11, on the reverse strand, counting down.
CTCCCAAGCTCAGTGGAGGTCATCTAAACACATCCCAGTGGCTCTGACTAGGCCACTGGCTCATCTGTGAAACAATCAGAGTTGTCAGTGGGGAGCTTAGTAGTCTGATCAAACAGGTTATGGCCCTATATCCTGGACCAGGTTGAGGGAAAACTGCACCCAGGGTCCCCGAGGCAGGGAGCAGGGAAGGGGTGAATGTACCAAAGAAATGCAATGAGCTTTTGCCAAAAAAAAAAAAAAAAAAAAAAAAAAAAAGAAGACAGCTGAGAGCCAGGGACACTCAGAAACAAATAGGCCTCTTCCAGCAACAATTATGAAGAAATTCCCAATTATCAAAACTGAGATCAGCCATCAATGGAAACATCCAGGATTGGCTGGATAATTTTCAGGTTATCTTTATAGGGCTATCAGATTCTTGATGGGCAAAGAGAAAAGGATTCTCTACAAGGAGTTCCTAATAGCTCCTATTTACCTTAATAAAACAACTTATAAACTAGTGACATTAACTCATTAGAGTGACAACTGGGGAAGGTATTCCTAGAGTAATATCCAAGCAAGACAAATCCTCCCATAGGGCTTGGCCTTGCCACTCAGTCACAACCCTCCATCCCTCTTCCCAGGCCAGCCCTGTAGTCACCGTGTGCCAGGCACGCTGCCTTAGCTCTTTCAGCCTCCCACAAAGGTGCAGGGCAACTGTCAGGGTTGCCAGTTCCTTCCGCATGGTGGTGACGACCTCGCTGGCCAGACTCTGCAGTGTCTGAGTCTCCACATCCACCCCGCATCCCCAGGAGCAGGCACAGACTCATAAATTTGGCAGAAAAGAATATTGTGAAATCCTTGCAGCTGGGATTTCAGGAAAAGTCAGAAGAGTAAGTGCTGCATTGTCTGGTGTCAGCCACCAAGAGGGAATGGGAATGGTGATGAGGAACGCTGTGTGGGTCTAATGAACTCCTCACTGTGGGCGCTTCTGAGAATTTTGACTTCCCAGATCTTTGTGCTGTTGTTACAAAAGCAGCAGACCGTGCATCAACAGAGAAATTCCGCAGCTGTACAGTCAACTTTATGATCTTTCAAGTCAAGAATCAGACCAGGGTGAGGGGAAGCTGTATCTGATCAACTGCTCACTGACAGAAGAATTGATTGAGACTGGAAGTAAAAGGAAAAAAAAAAATGCAACTAGAGTAGCCCCAGCCTGCTAGCTGTTAAGAAAGAAAATGGGGATTAAAAATTGTGTTAAATGTGGTGTGCTCCAGAAACATATTAAGATCTAGGAACCTGGAGGGAAGCTGGGGTGTCCTAGAAGACACATTAATTACAGCCCAACAGATTCCAGTTTTGCAGCGAAAGAACATCCCACATTGCTTCAAAAACACAGGATCACAAATCAGCAGGAAGAAAAAAACTCTGTTCTAGAACATAGAAGAAGGAGGGAATTAACAAGTTGTTTTTCATCATTTGAAGCTTGAAGCGGAAAGCACACGGAGACAAAAACAGCACAAAGATCTCAGTAGAAAGGGACATGAAAGAGGAGATGGCTCTTGAATGGAGGGAATGAAGTACAACATGGAAAATGGGTCGTAAAAAGGAGTTCAGCCATGGAGTTTATTCTTACTTTGAAATGACTCCAAGTCGAATGTGAAGTTGAGGCCATACGTTAATTTTGTCCCGTATCGTATGTCTCCCATCGATGCGCAACTCCCAGTTAATACGGTTTCGGTGAAGTGCTTGTGATTCTCCTCCCCCTTTTTACATTCTGGTTCCCAATTTGCTCTGGTGGCTTGGTGCTCTCATTCCTGCCAGCCAGGGAGCCTGGAGGCACAGCCATGAGCTTCAGATAATCTGCAACTCTGCAGGGCACAGACATCAAACTGTCACTGAGATGGGAAGAGAATCCAGCTCCTGGCCCAGAGGAACCGACCCACTGTACTTTGTAATGGGATAGACGTCCAGCCCTGTCATGCTCCTGCTGGGGCATCAAAACAGCCATGCACCCGTCTTCTGAGTTTGTTCCTAAATGCCACGTTCCCACTGCTTCAGCTCCTGGCTGGAGCATGAGCTCCTGGAGGGAAAAGGTTGTCTCTCTCTAATTTTTCTGGTTCTCTTGCCCCGCTCTCTCAGCTCTGACTCAGGTATCTGGCAGGAGGAGTCTCATGGGCTCTTGGCATTGGAATGAGCCCCAAGTCTTCATCACCTGCAGGCACAGAGGTTCGACTGAAGCTGAATTTCTTCAGGGCCTACCTGTGCTTTAAAAGACCTGAGCCAAGCTCACTTGCTAGATGAGGAAGTGGTATCTCGATCAGATCGTACACTAGAGACTGGTTGTCATCATAGTTATTTCCTTTTTAAATGGGGTTGGTGACACCTGAGCACGAGGTGTCCTCACACTCACATGCGCAGGCTCCCACTTGCACACATTCCCACACGCGCACCACACACTCCCATGGGCAGGTGCCCACTTGCACACATTCCCACACGCGCACCACACACTCGCACAGGCGCCCACTTGCACACATTCCCACACGCACCACACACTCACATGCGCAGGCGTCCACTTGCACACATTCCGACACGCGCACCACACACTCACATGGGCAGGCGCCCACTTGCACACATTCCCACACACGCACCACACACTCGCACAGGCGCCCACTTGCACACATTCCCACACACACACCACACACTCGCACAGGCGCCCACTTGCACACATTCCCACATGCACACCACACACTCACATGCACAGGCCCCCACTTGCACACATTCCCACACGCGCACCACACACTGACATGCACAGGCGCCCACTTGCACACATTCCCACATGTACACCACACACTCACATGCGTACCCACTCTGTGGGGTGCTGATGATAGTTGCAGTAGGTCATACTTTATTTTTCTTCATTGTTATGATTCCTGTTTTCATGAGAATGGGGCAGATGTTATTGTCACCTGAGCAGCCAACTAAGGCATGGCATCCTCAGGGGCCTGGAGTTCGTTTCCCAACCCCCAGCATTGCTGTCATGCAGTTTGCACCTTGAAATCGCCACCCTCTCAAAGCCCTTTGCCCCATCCCCATATCACCAGGTACTGACCCAGCTCACTTCCCTTCCTCATCCCAGCTGCAGACCGGGGCCTCTCCTGAATTGGCACCTCACCTTTCCTTGTCCTCATGGGAAGCTCACACAAGCCACGAGCAGGTCTCATGCTCCTTGGTTTACAGGTAAAAAGCAGAGACCACAAAAGTGACTTCCTCATGGCCTCTCAGTGATAATGGGCAAAACTAGATCTTAAACCCAAGCCTGGCTGACCCCCGTTCAATTTTTTTTCTGGTAAACCTCTTGCATAATTTGGATCCAATCTTCTTTTTCAGTCCCACCATCCCCTTCCTGAGGAAACCACCCTATTCCCGCCATGCTGTTTTTTTGGCTGTTTCCAGAGCATGCCGCCACATGCGTGGTGCTGCCCCTCTGCCTGGGACACACTACTCCCTGCCCTCCCTTTTGACTTTGGAAGATCCACTCTTCCCTCAAGGCCCAAGTCAAACACTGCTTCCTCCTCCAAGAAGCCTCTCCTGGTGTCCCCATCTCCTCACCATCTGGCTCAGCCATGTGCTGTCATGCATTTCCTCATACATTGTAGTTCTGGTAGCATAGCAGGTGCTTTGTAAATATGTGTTTACGTCCCTGTCTTAAGGCCCCTATCCTTCCTTGCCCATGCCTTGGTAACTGCCATACCTCATTCTACGAGGTGCCTGCAACGTATAGGTCTAACACCCAGAAGGTCAGGTGCATGGAGGTGGCCTTGCCTTCACCTTCCTGTCTGCTACACTGGGAGTTCCAGGAAGGCAGGGACTGGGTGCCCCAACACGGCTGTGTCCTAGACCCTGGCATGTTACAAGTACTCAGTAAGTAGTGCAGGAATAGATGTGCCCTCCCAAAGGTCAGGCAGTTCATAAACCTTAATTTTGGCCAATCCACTTTTTAAAAACTATTTAAAGTGCAGTAGAACATATGAAGGAGGAAATTGGCATGGAATGGCGGTAAAGCCACTTTGACCTTCACCTTTGCACTTGTGGTGCTCGCTCCATCAGCACCTGTCTGACTAGCCCACCTGGCTCTCCTCCAACCTCTGGCCAGGTGTCTCTAGCCAGGTTTCCACACTGCTTCCCTTCTCCCTTCTGCTTCCTCCCATGGAGATCTTTGGACATCCGGGTAAACTCCTGTGAGAGCCATCCCTGGGGGCCCACCTCAGCTGTTTGCAGATATTGTTGGACATGTGCACGAGTCAGCAAGAAGCTTTGACGTGCATGCCACAGGGATCCACTGGCCACCAGCCACGGTGGTTTTGCCAGGTGGCATCTGCTCTGAAGGAGATCCAAGGTCAAGTCTCTCAGCTCTCCCCAGGCCCCACTGTCACTCAAAACTCAGGATGTCTCAATCTAAACTCCTCTGGGTAGGTCTCCAGACTGGCTCTCCACCTGACCTCTTGTCCAGAAGGTCCACAACACCTCGAGTCTATAAGCCTGACCCCAGGGAGATTTCTGTAACCTATTGTATCCACCCAGGCCCTGCACGCTCTCCCCTATAGCGTCTCCTTCATCCCTCTCTTCTATCACCATCCTTGTTCAACCCCCCTCTTAGATTTGAAAATTGCCTCCCCCACTGTGCTTCTGTCTCCACCCCTCCTTTCATTGCCATGTTGCACATTCTAGAAGGTCATGTTTTAAAAACACTACTAGATCATGTCATAAATCCTGCCAACCCATTGCACTCCAGCCCACCTTGGCTCTCCATGGCTTACTTGTCAAAGCCTCTAGTTCAGTCTTATGCTTGTTCAATAGTCCTGCAAATATTTAGTGATCACTTACTCACCTACTGGTCACGTGCAAACTGCAATGCTGGTTCTAAAAAAAACAACGAAAATAAGGAAACTATTCCCTGGGTGTGTAAAGGGAGCCAGATATCAATTTAATAAAATGTTGTTAGTGACAGGAAGCAGGTTGCACAAAACCACACGAGGAATTCCGCAGAAGGGCCCTAGATGCTGGGGATCCTGAAGGAAGGGTTGGCTAACCTGGACCTCGAAGGTCACTCATCAGCCTCGAAGGTCATCCCCAGCATTAGTGCTGTGCGTGACCCTGAAGAGGAGGCTAACCATCCAGTCTGATGAGGGCAAGTGACCAGGCCCAGGAGCCAGGTCCCAACTGGGACATCTTGGCTCTGCTGCTGATTGGCTGTATGGCTGTGTCTGTTTCATAGGGCTACCTTCACAAACTGCCATAAACTAGGTGGCTTCAAACAACAGAAATTTAGTCTCTCACTGCTTTTCAGGCCAGAAGTCTGAAATCAAGGGGTCAGCAGGGTTGGTTTCTTCAGCAGAGTCTACGGAAGAATCCCTCCCACATCTCCCTCCTCGCTTTGGGTGGCTTCTGGCCATCCCTGCTATGCCTTGACTTGTAGATGTCACTCCCGTTTCTGCTTGCATCTTTGCTTGGCCTTCTTCCCTACGTCTGTGTGTCTCCTCTTCGGTCTCTTCTAAGGACATGTGTCGTTAGATTTATGGCCCACCCTAGTCCAGGACAATCTCATCTTGAGATCCTTAATCTAATTACATTTGCAAAGTCCCTTTTCGCAATAAGGTCACGTTCACAGGTCCAGAGATTAGGACTTAAACATATCTTTTCTGGGGGCTGGGGGGGACACTATTCAACCCCCTGCAGTGACCTGGGGACTCTCATCTTTATTTTCCTCATTAGTAAAATGGGCTCATGTTATCTGCTTTACAGGATTGCTGTAAATATTAAAGAAAATAATATATTCCTGGCTGAGCACAGTGGCTCATGCCTGTAATTCCAGCACTTTGGGAGGCCGAGGCTGGCGGATCACGGGGTCAGGAAATCGAGACCCTCCTGGCCAACATGGTGAAACCCCATCTCTACTAAAAATACAAAAGCTAGCTGGGTGTGGTGGCACATGCCTGTAATCCCAGCTACTCAGGAGGCTGAGGCAGGAGAATCCCTTGAACCAGGGAGTCAGAGGTTGCAGTGAGCTGAGATCACGCCACTGTACTGTAGCCTGGTGACAAAGCGAGACTCCGTTTCAAAAAAAAAAAAAAGAAAAGAAAAGAAAAAAAAAAGGAAGTAATACATTCGAGAGCCTGGCTCATGGGGGCCATGAAGGATCAAGAGTGACTGCTGATAGGTCCAGAGTTTTGGGGGGAATGATGAAAATGTCTGCAATTAGATAGTGGTGATGTTTGCATGACTCAGTGAATAAGCTAGAAACCATTGGATTGCATGCTTTCAAGGAGTGAACTTAATGCTGTGTGAATTATTTTTCCATAACACTGAAATTTAAAAAAGGAGCCTGACTCAGGGAATCTTTTCATACATCATAGCTGCTATTATTATTATTGATGTGCTGGTAATGCTGGTAATAACACTTTTCTTTTTCTTTTTTTTTTTTTTTTGAGACGGTGTCTCACTCACTGTGTCACCCAGGCTGAAGTGCAGTGGTGCGATCTTGGCTCACTGCAACCTCCGCCTCCCAGGTTCAAGTGATTCTCCTACCTCAGCCTCCCGAGTAGATGGGATTACAGGCACGCACTATCACACATGCTAATTTTTGTATTTTCAGTAGGAATGGGGTTTCACAATGTTGCCCAGGCTGGACTGGAACTCCTGACCTCAAGTGATCTGCCAGTCTCAGCCTCCCAAAATGCCAGGATTACAGGCATGAGCCACCATGCCCAGCCCTTGGTAATAACTATTCTTAATGTGTTTTATCACAGTTTAAACTCTTACCTCCTCTGTCGTGCTCCCACACCCTGGTCATGAGATATATTTGAAATGGGAGCCACGGGCAAGGGGTCTTTGTATGTCTAGCCTAGTGTCTCGCGCATAGTAAAAGGATAAAGAATATTTGTTTTGACTGTACCTGAGTAGTTCACATGGAAATTACTGAAGCCCTGTGGTGCGTATGTGTTAAGTAATACTGCTGCCACGACTGTTTATCAAACATGTATGGGGTGAGATATTACTTTTACCCAGGAGTTGCTCCAAAAAAAAAAAAAGCCGAAATTAAATTTCAAGCCAACTGCTTTTCCACCACATGATTGACAGCACCACACTGAGACCAAAAGTCTTTTTCTAGGAAATTCAGTTAGCAGTTGGACACTGAGCTAGCCAGGATAATTCATGTTTTCTAATCATCATCTTATTACAGGCAGTCAAAATCCATGTGCCACTGTCCTGCTTGCCGGGTGCAGTCAAAAAAATCAGGATCAGACATTAAGCGGCCCCGGTGCCTGCTGCATCGTGGCTTTGGAGATTAAAAACTAATTTTCAGAAGGACAAAAACTTATCTTGAGGAAATATAGGTCTCTTGAGTGTCCACTTTGAAAGCTAAAATAATCAACTAATAAAATTTTAATAGATTCCTCTTTGTTTCCTGTCAAGGAAAAACAACAGGATTTTACATGTTAAAGGAAGGCCGCTGGTTTTCAAAGCAGCGGCTCCATTTTCTCTTTCTAATTCTAATTCTAGTCCTTTTCATTTTTAATTCTGCTTTTTTCATGCTCCTGCTGGTTCTGGGCCCCTCTCTCAAAACTGCACAAAGGGAAGCAGGCGAGTGTGGGGTTGAGAGGCCCAAGCCCGGGGCACACAGGTCCCGCCTGGGTCCCCAGCTCTGCCACCTGCGCACCTTGGACAGTGGGGTCATGGCGGGAGCTGCAGCCATGGTCAGCAGAGTGATCAGTGTACGGAGCGCAGCCCAGAACCTGGATCCTAGAAGAGTGCCACAGGGGGGTGACCCTGACCACCCTGAGAACCCCCTTCTCTCTGCCCCAGAACTTGGCCTGAGCCTGGGGTGATGGCTGGGCCGGCCTCCTCCTGTCGCTCTAGAGAAGGGACCCACGGTCTTCATCTTTCCCAAACATTGGAGACTTTCTTCTCATCTTTTCCCCCTACTCTACCTAGGGAGAAAGAACCCCACACGCAAAGTCCACTGGATTTAAATTCCATGCTCTGAGAGTCTTCCAACTTCAGGTTTACAACTAAATATCTGTGACATTCAACTTAAAACAAATTACATTCACTTATCTAACTCAGGGCCAGTAAGGGCTGTGAGAACATCAAAATGTATCTCAGAAACCCTGAATGCTTCAATTTTGTGTCCACTGTTGTTTCCAGCAATTCTTTAGAGCTAAATGATTAATTATACCCAAGACAGTCCAAAGCAATTATTTAATTAAGCTTATTATAGGCTGCCAATTGTTTGCAGTAAAGGGAAGGCCTTCATCCTGATTTCTCAACATCTGGCCTTTGGATGACTTAAAAGATAAAAGAAGATAAGAGAATATTTTTACGACTAAGTAACAATTGCTAGAAATATTCCACTATGTAGAAAAACTTTTTCAGTAATTTGCTTCTCATGATTAGAATGTGGTGACATGTTTTACAGTTAAGTGTTCAGCTTATTTAGATCCGATGTAAAATAGAAAATGTTGCAATACAAAATGAAATGTTACTGCCATTTTCTTTTTAGGGCAGAATTGATGGTATTCATTTCCACTTTCCCCTTGCCTGTTTTTGTTTTTTTTGTTTTTGAGAGGGACTCTCGTTCTGTCACCCAGGCTGGAGTACAGTGGCACATCTCGGCTCACTGCAACCTCTGCCTCCTGGGTTCAAGCGATTCTCCCACATCAGCCTCCCAAGTAGCTGGGACTACAGGTGCGTGCCACCACACCCAGCTACTTTTTGTATTTTTAATAGAGATGGAGTTTCGCCATGTTGTCCGGCTGGTCTTGAACTCCTGACCACAGGTGATCCACCCACCTCGGCCTCCCAAAGTGCTGGAATTACAGGCGTGAGCCACCGCACCCTGCCTCCCTTTGCCTATTTTTTTAAGTTCGCATCCTTAATAAAATCAACTTTAATAAACAAAAATCCTCTCCTACCTATTCCAAAGTTAGAAGTCTACATTTTATTTCATAAAGAACATCTCAGAGAAGGAGACACAAGCCACCCCACAGAGTTGATGACCAAAGTAATCCCTGAATGATCTGTTTGGTGATATACGTGGACACCAGTGTGGGGGAAGGCAACACTTCATAGAATGACTTTTAGTCAATCTGGACTTTGGATGACTTAGAAGGAGACATGAGAACATTTTCATGACTAAGTAACAATTTCTACAGATTTGGGATTTGAAAATATTGAAAAATGTTTTAGTTGCTCCAAACCACATTGGACCCCTTCTTCTCTGAAGGATTAAGTGTTACGGTTCTTCAAATGCACATCTTAGCTCTCACAGGATTTCTAATTGTCCCGGATATCTCGATGCTGCCTTGTCTATTAGGATACCAGTATCCTGAGCATGATAGATCTGTTTCTCCCATTGCCCATGACAACTCATAAAACAGGATTGGTGGAGTAAGCCAGTTAAATACTAATGAGTTGATTAGTCTGTATTTGCTTACCAGTTGTGTTCAAAATAGATACTTGACTAACTCAAGCCTCTTCCTTCCGTATCATTTGAGCGTTGAGATACTGTCAATCTATTAAAATTTAAGAGTTGTTAAATACTACCTACGAATGGGCCATCAATGAGCATAGGATGATGAATGACTGAACAAATATGTAAGCAGTAATGAATGACATAGGAACACCTTACACAGTCCCTTCTTTGGAAAGAAGCTTAGATTGAGGAAAACTGATGGAGTTTGCAACTTGACCAGCTATTCCTCGAGGATTGATGTATACCTAGATCCTTGGGTTGCTGCAATATAAATTATATATTAGAACTAATTATTATATAAGATTATATATTATTATATAATTATATAATATATAATTTTCTATTATATTATATATTGTTACATATTATATAATTTCTGATATATAACATATTGCATATTATATAATATGCAATATATAATATATTGCATATTATATAATATGCAATATATTATATATTGCATATAATATATAATTGCATATGTAATATATAATATATGTTACATGTAAGATAATATATATTATGTATTGCATATATAATATATATTACATGTATAATATAATATAGTATATTATATATTATATAATATATAGTATGTATATACTATATAGTATATATACTATAGTATATAATATATATAGTATATAGTATATATATAGTATATAGTGTATATAGTATATATAGTATATATAGTATATATAGTATATATAGTATATAGTATATATACTATATATATACTATATATAATATAGTATATTATACATCTAATATATAATATATTTAATTATATTGCATATAATATATTATATTGCATATATAATATATAATATATATTATATTGCATATGTAATATATAATATATGCTATATTGCATATGTAATATATAATATATATTATATTACATATGTAATATATAATATATAATTATATTGCATATATATTATATAATATATATTATTATATATTGTGTATTATTATATATTAGAACTAATGCCCTAAACCTCATTCCATTTACATAGACCTTATCCTCACTCCTGAATTTGCTAAAATAATCTGCAAAATTTTGTGGTTATGTATGTTGGGGCTCAGAAAATGATACCCCAAAATATGGATCTTTGACATGCTGAACTGAAGGAAAACCCTCAAGGTCTCTCTGGCCCCTGGCACCCACCTTCACCCCATCTGACTCTCCAAAAGCACAGGATGAAGTTGTTCTCTGACATTCCCTTATCTGCCTAAACTATAGACCCTCCAAAAAAGAAATAAATTACCTTGGTCCCTCTCTGAGTTTTCATTAACTAATGTCACAGGAAGAAAGACTGAAGCCTGTCAACACATCCAGACAGACTTTTGTCATAAACCGTTGTCTGTTCTGCAGGCCCAACAGACTTTGTCCCAGGCCATTGTATGTTCTTCCAGCCCAATGAATTCCCCTAAAAATCATTTACTCACCCCCTAAAATTATCCATACTTCCCTATCTCCCTTTCTCCTAAGAAGAAGGGTGTATAACCATCTGTGCCCCCATTGAGTAATCATTCTTCTACAATTCACCTGTGCTATGACTGTTAAAATAAAATTGTATGCCTTTTCTCCCATAATATTTCTGCCTTTTGTCAGTTGATTTGTAGTGAACTTTCAGAGGGCAAAGGAGGACATTTTCCCTTAGCCCCTACAGGTATGTATGTGAATTATTCTAGGAAGAGTCTAAGGAGGTTCATGTCTCACAAAAGGTTAGTAGTCACTGTATTAGAAGGGTCCATTTCCAGTCAGATGAATTTTACATGAAAATTTTGTGTCTTTCTAAAGTGGAGAGATAGTGGTCACCTCGCTAAATAACATAAGGTACTAGACACATGGGAATTCAGAGATGCCAGTTTGCTGTTACCCAAATTGTCATTTCTCCAAAGAAAACCTTTCTCTCAACATCAGGAAGCACCTTTTAAATTAAAGCACTTCACTGCCCCACCTTAGCAAAGAGAGAAATGAAAACCAAGCTGCAGGCCGAGGTTCCCATCGTTTGAAGGAACCCGACAGCCCAAGGCTAGCATTACTCATTTCCAGGCAGTGGGATGTGGCCTTAGCTGTGAGCTCCAGAAGGTCAGACATGTGTCATGGTCCATGGCTAAATGTCACCTTCTATCTCTGCAAGTTAGAGTCTTCAGCAAATTTGTCCATTTTTAAAAAGAATCTATGCTTTCTTTCCCAAACCTAAAGACTGGCTCAAAAGGTTCTTTCTTAGTTATTGTCATTCCCAGAAATGTATTTATATTTTTAATGCTATATTTTATATCACAGAGCCATGAGTGACCAGTATTCCTATGAGCAGATGGGTTAACAAAATACAGAACTTTCCTGAAGTTGTCAGTCTTTCAGTTAACCTGTTAACAGATGCCTAATCCATGAATCTGCCCTTATTAATAGTAAAGAAAGCTACCATCTCTCAAGCACTGACCTGGGGCCTCCCCTGGGCTAAGCGTTTTGACTCGATGACATAGCAACCCTGAGAAGTAGGTACCATTATCCCCATTTTACAGGTGAAGAAACCAGGGCTCAAAGTTAAGGTCACATAACTAGTAAGTAAAAAACTGGAACTCAAACCCAGAGCTTCCAGACTCCAGAGGCCACCCTTGCAGCGTTGAGACTGGCACTTCTCCCTGTAGTGTTCTTGATTCCAGAAAGAGCTGAACACAGGATCCAGAGGCCGGACCTCAGCCTCCAAGAAGCAGTGCTAATGTTCTGTGTACTTAAGTGGGTTCCTTTATTCACACATCTCCCACAAATTAAATAAGTAAATAAAAAAATATAAATTTGTACTCATGGTGCTTATAATTCCATCAAATATTTAGGGAATAGGGCTGATCAGGATAAATAATTAGATGTAGGAATTGTCCTTTTATAAAAAGATTTCCTAATGGCTTTTGGAGCAACTTGGATGGAACTAGGGCCATTATTGTAAATGAAATAACTCAGGAATTGAAAAACAAATATGGCATTTTCTGACTTCTAAGTGGGAAGTAAGCTATGGGTACACAAAGGCATCCAGAGTAATATAATGGACATTGGAGACTCAGAAGGGGGAGGCCAAGAGGCGGGAGAGGGATGAAAGAATACCTGTGGGGTACAACGTACACTACTCAGATGACAGGTGCACTAAAATCCTAGACTTCACCATTACACAATTTATCCACGTAACCAAAGGCTACTGTACCCCTGAGGCTATTGAAATATTTTAAAAGTAAACATTTTCCTTTTGAAATGTGTCTGCTAATTCAGATACAGTTATCTTCTAAGCAGTTAAAACATCTTTTTCCTCATTCTTCTTCCCGGCAATATATCTTTGAGACATAAAAAGAGATAAAAACATACAAAAGCAAAATGCACTGTATTCTTTACCATAAAATATTTCAAACAGAAGAAAATTCCTAGGCTAACTTTCCAAAAGATTTGCCAAATGAATCAATGCAAACATATGTCACAGAAACGTCCTTTCCAATCAAAATCTGAGAATATAAGTAAATTGGTGTTTCTGTTTTCATTCTCTCTCTTGTTAAGAACTGTGTCTTGGCCATAAACAAGAAGCTGTCCTTAAAATTATATATTTTTTCTTGTTTCTTTTTCAACAGGGGACTTATTGTGTTTGAAAATGAAAGCTATGTCTTAGAACCAATGAAAAGTGCAACCAACAGATACAAACTCTTCCCAGCGAAGAAGCTGAAAAGCGTCCGGGGATCATGTGGATCACATCACAACACACCAAACCTCGCTGCAAAGAATGTGTTTCCACCACCCTCTCAGACATGGGCAAGAAGGGTAAGGGGGATACCTGATTTTGTGTTTCTGGAAAGCTAGGAGCTCAAGCTACGGATACCCCACACTAGGACATCTGGAGAAATGTTGCCATCTAGATGATGCGGCATCTGGGGGATGGAAGTGCCCAGTTTATCTGGAGGTGGTAGACATTATACAGTGGGACACAACCATAAGCCAAATCCCCATCACTGTACTGCAGATGTCAGTCTCAGACTCATTAAAATATGCTGAGGAAAGTCACACAGTTGGGATCAAAGGATGACAAAATTACGCCCCCCCAACTTCTACCCCCACAAGCTCAAGATTCATGGAATCTCCCAAGAGACCCTACTATGGTCCTAGGCCCAGGGTTGGGCGCCACCATGACAAGCAAGACAAGATTGGACCCTGACCCACTCTCTAGCAGCTCTCCATCTACTGGAGGTGAAAGACTACATAGAGCCTTCCTTATTAGCAAGTTTGGGTTCTTATAATTTGCAGAGAATTCTCACTCTTTGCCTACACACTTATGCAGAGGTGAACTGGGCCTTCCTCCACGTGATGTGGCTCAGGAATCTTGCTTATCCACAGTCCAAGCTGCAAATGCTTGTCCTAGTTCCCTCCTGGGACCGTCCAAGCAGTCTGTGTTTTCTGGCCACCAGCCCCTGGATCTGCTGATAAAATGTCTTCCTTTTTGCAGCAGCACTGGAAAGAGTAGTTGCCTAAGGGAGTCTGTGCTGCAGACAGACTTCCCTTCCTGACACGTGTAGTGTCACACCATGAAACCTCCACCCCTAAGGGTGGCCTGCCCCTTTTCTCTCTGGCATTATGTGGGCAACAGAGGCTACAGTAGAGCTCTTTTAATAAGGATTAAAGGCAATCGTTCCCAACATTTGGCTGGAGGCCCTGAATTTAAATGAGCAGAAACAGATAGGAAATTATCAACAATTTCCTGATTTTCCATTTCTGGATTTCCTGTTCCTCTGTTGACAAGAAATCAAGAAAATTTATAGATAGGATGTCGCTTGTGCTTATATTTGACTGTCCGAGAACATTTCTTCTAGGTTTCTCCTAACCCGTTGTTGTCTCCTAACTTGAATTTCAGTAGACCACTGCTTAGCACTCAATATTTAATGAATATTATTCTTGGTTCATTCTAAATCATTTTTCTAGTTGGAAACAGTAGGGGTTATCCCAAATGATACCTTCTAATTCTTAGAATTCCCCTCATACCTGTGGATAGATGTCTGTTCCCCTAAAACTGCTCTTATCGGAACCAGTTCAGGACTTTTAACTCTAATTTTACATTCATTCTTTCAGTCCAGGTATTCTACTTGTGTAACCCTCACGTCTTCTGTTTGCTAGTATGTTTCTAAGACTTTCTATGGCAGGTGCTCACAACCTCTTTTTCGTTTCCTGCCCCATCACAGGAAGGGGAGGAACTCTCCCATCTGGTACTGTGGCTCACCTTGACATGGCTGCTTGGTGGCAGAACACTGTATCCTAATCCCAAGGAACAGAGCTTGAAAATTACCCCCCCAACCTCTACCCTTACAAGCTCAAGAGACTTTTCAACTTGTGCTTCTCCCCGCAACCTGTCTTAGTGGTGGATTTAAAGATCAGCCTCTGGGGTCCCACGGCAGGTTTATTTTACTCTTCAAATGCTTTTGCCTTTGATTCCAAACCTTGGAGAAGATGTGATTAAGCTGTAGCTTTACCGGTCATAAACAAGTAGAACATTTGCATTTTGTTTTCCAGGCTCTTTGCTTTGAGTACCTTGTTGAATGCACGTTGCCCACGTTACAAGATTTATAATTTGATGGCTTAAATGACACTCAAATATGTTTGTCGTTTCATATAGAAGTACACACTTGGTCTGTACTTGCCAGCCATATTTTAATTCTTTTAGCTTACAGCTTTCTAGAAGCATGATTGTAATTTCCAGTCATTTTGACTTGTGGAGAAATGGGGAGAATGGGAATAACAACGGTGCTTTGTTAATAATGCATATTGAAGTGCAAATGAACCTTTAAATTGAAAAGGGAAGGCATCAATGCCGGTCAACTCAGTTCTCAATATTTCTCTCTAGAAAGCACTGTGATGGTTTTTATGGAAGAGAAAGCATCCTGGACTTAAAATGCATGTATATAATGAAAATGGTGCGAAAAATAATTTCAAATATGTGGAATCCTTGTGAATTGGAATTATATAGTAGATTGTTTTGGTTAGCACCTACGGTAAATATGAAAGGGACATTTCCTGCCCCACTTATGCTGCCTTTATTTCACTCTTAAAAAAAAATCAATAGAAAGGCTGCTAACTAATCTTGTTTATGCAATGCAGCAACTGCATTTGCTTTTTCCCTGCATTTTTCTGCCCCCACTAAATGTTAACTATTGCAAAGACTGGTTTGCAGACTCTGATTTTTCTGCAGATGTTTGCGTTTTTCTTCACAGAGCATCAGGAATAAATCTGCACTCAGGGTATACACTGGCTGTGATATAAACCTGAGCTATTGTTTGTCATTTTTACAAGGCTCCACATTAGATTTTAGTGAGAACCCAGGCTGCCCCTCGAAGGGCACAGAGAAACAGGGAGCGTCACAGTCAGCTCGTTCTCTCTGTGGATTTTTGAGTCTCCATCCTGAAGCCTCCTTACTGTTCAGCTCCCCCACAGCAGACTCCTTCCCTCTCCATCGGCTACTCATTCAAGAATGCAAACTAATTTTAACATCATCCTAAGCAAGCTCTGAGCAAGGCAAAGATGGTAAATCTACTGGAGAAAATCACATAAGACATCCCAAAGGCAAATGCAAATTATTTTTGAATTGCCTTTTCTTTAGGGATTATCTGTGCCATTGTTCCCCTCCGTTAGTATGGATAATTATGAGTCAAATAGAAAAGTTGCTGCCTTCTCTGAAAAGAAATGTTTGCTTGGGTACTGTGTACATATAGGACAGCGAGTTGGGGAGGTGCTGTTTTGCTTCCTCGAAGGTGGCCATTCTGAAATGAACTGGTGCTATTGCTTTTGTGTTTCTAGACAGCCTATCGTATTTGTTTAATAGAAGGCACAGTAGTGGTGGGGTATTTGTAGCCATAGCAGTATATAGCACATTATATGTAGAGCCTAATGAGAGTTGAATATCAGGAACTGGCCAGAACTGTTTGAAAACTCCTTAAATATGACAGGCATACTGAATTCCTCTCTAACAACCATCCTTGCTTCCATGCCTCTTCTAAGAGACTATCATGTTCTTTTACTACCTTAGTTGTTCTTAAAGCTTGGTGGTGGGGGCTCACGCCTGTAGTCCCAGCACTTTGGGAGGCTGAAGCAGGCAGATCACCTGAGGTCAGGAGTTCAAGACCAACCTGGCCAACGTGGTGAAACCCCATCTCTACGAAAAATACAAAAATTAGCAGGGCGTAGTGGCAGGCACCTGTAATCCCAGCTACCTGGGAGGCTGAGGCAGGAGAATCACTTGAAACCAGGAGGCAGAGGTTGTAGTGAGCTGAGATCATGCCATTGCACTCTAGCCTGGGCGACAAGAGTGAAACTCGTCTCAAAACAAAAAACAAAACAAAAGAACCGCTTGGTGGGGAACGGGGCAGCACCACTTCCTTGGCCCTGGGCTTTGAATATCTATTTATGTGAGTGGAGGCTCCAGTTTTCCAGGTGTGGATTCCTAGTGAGTTTCAAATCCACTGAAGCTCTGGATAAATAAATAATAGATCTCACTTGTGCCATTCGTTTTTAAGGCTTAATTTCAATACTTCACATTTCTCCCTATTAACATTCAGTTTGCCGGATTCAGCCTGTTCTCCTGGCAGAATGTCTCATTTGTTTACTTCTGCCCGCCTACATGTCGGCCAGGTGTCAGAGGCTGTATCCTGTGTGGATATGATCAGTGTGTGCTGTCCCCATGCCAGTCACGGTCAAGGATGGTAGAGACAACCTTTCCTAACCGAAATTGGAGCTCAACTTACAAATACGCAGAAAGTGATGTTAGAGTCAAGGCATGGAGCGTTGCTTGCTTGAGCTAATACTGATTGTTTTCTTGCCTAGAGGAAGAGAAACCAAACTTTTGATTCATTTCATTTGCTGATATTGCTGGCGATGGACACTTTGGCTGTGGTCTCATTGTGATTGTTGTTTTCTCGCTGTCAGGTGATAGCACAGCTGGCTTGCATGTGGCTACCCATGTCCATCATGACTGTCACCTCTCACCTGGACGACTGCATGGCCTCCTTGCTGCACTCTCAGCTTCCAGTATCATCCAATATCATCTCCCTAGAATCCGTTCTCCTTCCAGTAGCCAGAGCAATATATTATATATATATATATATATATATATATATATATATATATATATATTTTTTTTTTTTTTTTTTTTTTTTTTTTTTGAGACGGAGTCTCACTGTGTTGCCCAGGCTGGAGTCAGTGGTGCCATCTCGGCTCACTGCAACCTCCACCTCCCAGGTTCAAGTAATTCTTGTGCCTCAGCCTCCCGAGTAGCTGGGACTACAGGCGTGTACCACTACACCTGGCTAATTTATCTGTTTTTAGCAGAGACAGGGTTTTACCATGTTGATCAGGCTGGTCTTGAACTCCTGACCGCGAGGGATTCGCCCACCTCAGCCTCCCAAAGTGCTGGGATTACAGGCGTAAGCCACCACGCCCAGTTGCAATATTTTTAAAATCTCACATTCAAGGCCCCCATGCTCTTAGATTATTAGGCTATCACTCAACCTCCTTGCCATGGCCCCAGTGTCCTGTCCCCATCTTCCACCTCCTCTCGTCCACTCTTGTCCGCCATTCGCCAGACTCCAGCCATACGGCCTGTTGCCAACACCCACAAGCTCTCCCCAGCCTCAGGACATCTGCTGTTGCCATTCCATCTACCTGAAACACTGTTCCCACAATCTTTCCACACATGCCTCTTTCTCATCCTTCAGGCCTCAGCTACCTTTGGCCTGCCCACTGCCCAGCTTCATCCTACCTGCAGAACCCTGTTTATTTCCTTTGTTGTACTTTTCACAGACTCTCTCTTTCTTTCGTTAATTCTGCATGGGCTCACCTTCTCCCAGGCCCCACCAGAATATGAGTTTCAGGAGGACACTGGATTTCCCGAATATGGGTTTCCTGAATATGAGTTTCAGGAAGACACTGGGTTTCAGGAATATGGGTTTCAGGAGGACACTGGGTTTCAGGAATATGAGTTTCAGGAGGACACTGGGTTTCAGGAATATGAGTTTCCTGTCCACACTGTATCCCCAGCACCCTACACAGGGCCTAGTGCAAACAGCATCCCTGGTAGATAGCATGGGATGAATAAATGTTATACAAATGGTCTGACCCATATGAAGAAAGAATTGCAATGAGGATTTATTATAGCCCCAATGTCAACTTGCTTTTCTAACTTGAGTTAAGTTCCCATTGCCAGAGTCCTCATTGCAGGCTGATCGGGGGTTATTTATCCTGGGGAACTTGGCTGTGATGACTTTGAGAGGCCCAGGAACTGGTTCTTTCTTGAGCAAGATTCAAAGAAGGCCTCTGCCTCCACCTGGGAACGGAGACTTTTGGGCTAATCCCAGAGGCTGATGTTCCCGTTTGAGGAAGGGCTTTTGTTCATAACCCCCCAAAATGAAAATCCAGTAGAGCAACCAGTTTCTTTTTTTAAATTTTTTAAAATTATTATTTTAATTTCTTCTTTAAAAAAAAAAAAACAGGATACATGTGCAAAACGTGCAGGTTTGTTACATAGGTATACGTGTGCCATGGTGGTTTGCTGCACCTACTGACCCATCCTCTAAATTCCCTCCTCTCATCCCCCACCCCTCAACAGGCCCTGGTGTGTGTTGTTCCCCTCCCTGTGTCCATGTGTTCTTATTGTTCAACTCCCACTTGGTTCTCTGTTCCTATATTAGTTTGCTGAGTATGATGGCCTCCAGCTTCATCCATGTCCCTGCAAAGGACACGATCTCATTCCTTTTTATGGCAGCATAGTATTCCGTGGTGTATGTATATACCACATTTTCTTTATCCGGTCTATCAGTGATGGGCATTTGGATTGGTTCCATGTCTTCAGCAACCAGTTTCAAATGTTGCTCTCCATATCACAAATTTAAAAACATGATTCTTTGTTGTTGTTTTTTTAACTGGACAGCCAGATAGGTGGAAATCACGTGGGGATAATGTAAACCTCTCTCTGTGTGTGCAGCTAACAGGAGAATAAACCTCCGCCCTGAGCCGGCGACTCCCCCAGTGCTTCTCTTTATTATGTGGTTAAGCTTCCCTCTGAGCTTGCAGTTCTCTGAATTCATGAGAAAATGTAGACTTCTCTGAAAATTGCAGAGACAGGAAAATTGTGTTCACATGTTTGTTTTTATTATCTGGAATTGTGTATTTTCTAAATGGGGATCTTAAGCCAGTTGGAAATATCCCATGGTCGTTTATTTCACCCCTCTGCAGGCTGAAAAGTGTAAACGTCTAAACAACCAGATTCCTTTCCATGAGCTTTTCAATGAGAGATTAGTTTTTCATTTCTAGAGCTATATTTTCTTCTGCATAATTAGCCAAATTTTTTTAATGATTAATTAGGGAATTATGGACAACAGAGAGGGTTCTGCCTCTTTCACGCCTCAATGAGGAAAAAGGGCAAGATCTTCACACTTTCAGAAGGTGTCTCATTTTGTGTGCACCCGTGGGCACCATGGGGGCAAATGTCTTTTCTTTTATAAGTAACGCATAGTTATCACCATAAAGCATGCCTACAACATATAGTTACAAAGCGTAACAGTTTCTTCTTGTAACATTGTAAAGATATGAGAAATTGTACCTTTCCTGGTGCTTTATTTTTCCTTTTCCATAAGGTTTCCAGATATCTTTAGGAACACCTAAATTCATGAATTAGCACAGCTGGGCAGCAAGAAGGAACACTGCTATAATACAAACATTTTTCTTGTAAAAGTCTGTTTGGAAGATCCCGGACTGATGGGGATTTGTTTTATAAAAGATGTTTCCCTCAGGATTATGTGACTGGAAACCTGATTCAAAGCATACTTTTGTGATTTTCTTTTGCTTTTGTCTGAAAGAGTGGTTATAACATGCAAGTTTTAAACTTGAAGCAGTGTGTGTAGTTAACTCATAAACCAGCAATATCAGTCATCAGGACCAAAGACCAACTTAACCCCCACTTCCTCCAACTGCATTTTATGGCAGAAACAGAAGGCTTTGTTTTTTGTTTTTAATGTTTGCTTTTTGAGACCACCCTCCACGAACTGCTTTATTTCTCTTAAAAATGCATTTGGAATTCTTCCAGTAATTCACAGAAGAGTGTGAATGCTTTTTGAGGAAGTTTGATTAAAATGTGATCCACTTCAGGAGCTGCCTTTGTGGGGGACGGGGTTCCTATTTCTGCTGCCTGAATCATCTCCATTCATCCACTTCCATATCCACTTTCCATGTTCTCTCAACTGTCTCACTCTTACGAAATCCCTGTTCTCCAGGGGCATATTGCAGTCTTAGTTTTTTCTTAACTCTGTTTCTTTCCGTTCTCTTTCTCTTTGCTCTTTTTTTTTTCTCCTCATACCTTTCTCACTTCTCTGTTCATTAGTCTGACAGTTTCCTTTTCTCCAGACCACCCCGGTCTTCCATTGCTTCTAACTAGATTTTTACATTATCATTTAAAAAATGATTATACAGTTCCTGTTCAAAATGTATTCTCCTCCACTTTTCTTAAGTCTCAAAACAGGTACACTTGGACCATAAAGACAAAGGGAACAGCCACAGTGCATTGAACTCCGTCGTCTTCTCTGATGACCTTCAAATGTGGTCATCAGAGAAGACCTACACGTGGTCTGAAATAAATGACTTTTGACTGGCTCCTGTTCTAGAGAGTGCTTTGGTTTTGTTTGTTTATGTGCTCGTTTTGTTTAATAATCTTGATTTGCTGCTCCAATAATCCATGATTCAGCAGAAAGCTTAAACTCCTTTTTAAGGGTTTTCCAAGTGGAAATGGAAGCTGGTTACTCATGTTGAGAAGGTTTTACAAAGAGTTGGTTGGAGTTGGGGTAAACTTCTAGATGGAATGGAGGTGTGGGGGCCTGGCGGGGATGGGGGATATACATTCTCAACCTAAAGTGTTTAGATTGAGAGACATTGACAGTCTTAATGCCAGAGAGGCATTAAGAGAGATTAAGTGCATGTTTACTCTTGGCAGCATAAAAGAGAGACCCTCAAGGCAACTAAGTATGTGGAGCTGGTGATCGTGGCAGACAACCGAGAGGTAAGAACTTTTTAAAATTTCTCAGTATGGTTGGTTAGAGATAAAAGAAAAAAGGACATGTTTTGCAAGTTATTACTTGCTTTAATGAACCTCATTTCCTATGTGCTCTTAAAAGCAATGGAAACAACCCATTGAAACAATGGTTTTCTGATTTTATAAAGCATACAATATTAAAAATTTATTTGATATATAAAGTAATGGCAAAGCCTGCAGGAAAAAACAGAGTTGCTCTATAGCTCAGCTCTCCAAACAAGGAGAATTAACTGAGAGGAATGACAGAAGGCTTTAGATTATATTCTAAAACATTTTGGGGAAAAGTTTAGTCTTTAAAATGGGACATTTAAAAAATATCCCATATGTCATTAATCAAAATGAATAAATGAAGGTATGAATGAAGGCTATAGAGACACAGCAGAAAAATCCTCCCCTCTGAGCTATAGCTTGATACTACATTCATTTTTTATTTTAATTAATTTTGAATTAGTTTTTCTAAAGATTATCTTCTCTGTATTTACTGCCTCATTGGCATATATGAATTGGGTGATTGGGTGATATTTTCTCATAGACTCTTTCAACACCTATGAATGAAACAGGCTTGACTATTTTTCAGAAAATGATTCCCATTCTGGAAGGTCAGATTAGAGAGGGGAATGGGAAATTTGTTGATTTTTTTGTCTATTCTCCTCTGTATTGTTTGACAAGCTGCCATGAGCTTCTATGACTTTTACTTTTTAATTTTTAAAAACAAATATAAAGAAAATTTCTCAGGAAGTTAAAATCAAGTTGATGATATGAAAAATGGCTTTGGACTGACTTCTAGTTGTCTGTTTCCTCTTTGCCAAAACAAGTCACTGCCTCCATCATTTATGAGGCTGGAAAATTGCAGAAGTTGCTGTCTTGAGAGCACTTGGCTTAGGCAAATTTCAGGGAATTTCAGGGAGTCCCCAGCCGGGAAAGTTAGTCGGCAGGATGCAAGCTCATTTTACCGTGAACTGTGGAGGGTCCCCAGTGGTTTGTAAAATCCCAAGACTTCACATTTCCAGAAGCCAGGAAGATGAAACGTGATTGATATTCTTGCTGGTATTAATGCTGCCATTTAAAATTGTTAAGTTTCAGAGGCAAGGAAAAGATCTGGAAAAAGTTAAGCAGCGATTAATAGAGATTGCTAATCACGTTGACAAGGTAAGTTCTTTTTCAGTAGTTAAATCATTCAGATCATGTAAATGTTTGGAAATGAGGTTGGGGGACCTCATCTGACTTAGCAAGGAGATGAGGTTCTGCCTCTGGGCCTTGGTTTGGAACTGTTTCCTGTCCTCTGAGTGTGTAATTCCTGGGTCCTGGGGCAGCTTCAGGAGATGCCAAACCACAGCAGTCTGGACTATGGTGGCCTTGGTGACATGTCTTCCTCCAGGCTCTCTTCCGGTCAGGTGGAATACCAGTCTGAGGGTGTTTTGGACTTCCCGATTAGCTCCAGAACCCCTACAGAGTTCACCTGATCCTTTGGATTCCTCCTGAGCCGGGCCTCTCCCAGGTCTCCCGATGACGGATCCCACAGGCCCCTTCAATCTGTCCCCATCATTGCAGGCCTGTACCAATGTAACCCTGAGGGTGGGCTTGCATTTATAAGGGATCCATAGGCTTCACTGTCCTGGAACACAGAAGTTGACTTTCAGCTAAATCAGCTATTGGAAAATCCCTCGCCAAGAACAAGTAGGTCAGAAACTCACCTTTCACAAAGATGATTTCCTTGCTGGAGGAGCCCCTGCAAACCAGGTCCTACTCCTGGGGTACTTGTTCACTAACCGCTCCTCACACTGCGGGCCGGCAAAGAAAATGGCAGCGCTCTCTGTCTAAACCACCTGTCCTTCCTCAGTGTATCCTGCTGGAGAGGATGTTGGCTATTTGCTGCTGACGACCCTTAGCCTAAAATAGGCTTCTCACAAGCCCCGCATATTGGAGTTGCCCTGTGAGCTTCTGAAAGCATTGCTGCCCTCAAGGGGCAGGGCGGGGGGGAGGTTAGACCTCGAATTTTCAGAAGCTCCCCAGCAATTCTCATGTGCAATGTGGATGGTGACCGCTGTCCTAAAGCAACCATAGTCTCTCAGCAATACTGAGTCTCTTGCCTGTGGGGACAGTGTGAGAAGGGATCTGGTCATGGCTGAGCCTTTCACATCCATGGTCCTCTGAAACAGCAGATTTTACACATAGTGGTTTGTGAGGGTGCCTCACTCTAGCCTTGTTTCCAAGCAATCTTATTCGATTTGAATTGCATTCTCTAAGTTTTCAGAAAAATGAAGGCAAAGGTCCTTTCAGAAATTCGGCTCCATATTACAAGACCTTATGCACTCTGCATCAATAATTCAGAATGAATCAGATGTGGTCCCTCCACTTGAGAACGTCAAGGCTGTGTAGGGAAGCAGACATGCAACCCACACAGCATGGTCCAAGGCATTAAGAACTAGATCCATGCTATGAATGGAGGTTTATGGGGATGCAGAAGAGAATCACTTACTTCTTCCCAGGGCCAGGGAGTCTTTGCAGGGAGAGGATCCTCAAAGGTAAGTTCAGTTTCACTGTGAGCATAGCAGAAGAAGGAGTATGTGTGATGTGGACATGTATGTGCTTCATGTACATGTACATGCATGTGTGTTCCTATATGTGTTCATGTGTGTGTTCATACGTGTGTGTGCCCTGCATGCATGTATGTGTGTTTGTGTACATGCATGCTCATATTGTATGCAAATGTATGCATGCAGAGCTAGGGCAGGAGGAGATGAAGCTGCAAAGATTCACGGTGCTCAAGGCCCCGGCTGTTCTACGAAGCCATCTTGATGTTATTCTGCAGTGAATAGAGAGCTAGGTGAATGTTTTTAAGCAGGGGAGAGACACACATGATAGTAGAAAAATATTCCTGCAGTTAGTGTGGAGGGTGGGATAACCAAAGACAAATAGGGCTGAGAGGAGCCTATTGCATAGAAATGATAAAGGCCTGAGCGGGCGCGGTGGCTTACGCCTGTAATCCCAGCACTTTGGGAGGCCGAGGCGGGCGGATCACGAGGTCAAGAGATCGAGACCATCCTGGCCAACATGGTGAAACCCCGTCTCTACTAAAAATACAAAAACTAGCTGGGCGTGGTGGCATGCGCCTGTAGTCCCAGCTACTCGGGAGGCTGAGGCAGGAGAATTGCTTGAACCCGGGAAGCAGAGGTTGCAGTGAGCCGAGATCACGCCATCGCACTCTAGCCTGGTGACAGAGCGAGACTCCATCTCAAAAAAAAAAAAAAAAAAGAAGAAGAAGAAAAAGAAGGGATAAAGGCCTGACCTGACCCAGGGCAGGGGAAGTGGGGAAGTGAGAAGGACAAGGATTGAGAGAGGCTCGAAGGGATGTGTTTCCTGATTATTATTTTTACCAGTTACTGTGTGCCGGGCTCTAAGTGCTTTGCACACACTCTCAGGTACACACTATTGTTCTTATTTTTAAAGCAGAGGAGGCTGAGATGGGCAGAGGTTATTCATTTGCAGGACGAGGGATGAGTGCTAGTCTTGCCAACTCCCAGCAGCAGGGGCTCTTGGCTTTGACTCTACTCCCCCTACTGTGAGTCCCGGGACCTCATGATGACCAAGCAGAGGCTGAGGGCGAGTGGGAGACCACATGACCGCCAGTTTCGTTGGAGTGGAGGGGCAGGTAGACGATGCTTCATACCCCAGGAAAGGGGGAGCAGGAAGAGGAGTTTGAAGGGCACTCTGAACAGTCAGAGATCTGGGTTTGCCACTCAGAGAGAGGCTATGGCTACATGGAACTTTCTGGAAGTCAGAAAAACCCACATGGCCGTTGATATCCTGGGATGATATTGCCCTTGTCCACCTTTGAAGCAGGTCAAACTTCCTGGCAACCCCTGCCTGTTGATGTGTTTTCAGTAGTTACTCTTTGCAGATTCAACTTTATCCCATAGTCCAGGTGCAGGAGAATCCTGGTGAAAGGCAAATCCTGGCAGGGGGGATGAAGGGTGGGTCTTAGAGGAGACATCAAAGATAGCACGGCAGTTAGAACTGGACCTCGGTCTAGACTGGACATTAGAACCCCTGGAGGGGAGTTTGTTTGTCTATTTGTTTATATGTTTACTTTAGGAAATATTGATTCCCACACCTTGGCCCAGGGATTCTGATTTGATTGACCTGGCACAGGGCCTAGGCACAGATATTCTCCAGGGTCCTCCAGTTATCCTAACATGAAGTGGGACTGAGACGCACTGGCCTAGAGGGCGGAAGGCTTAGGTGCCTGAGCTGGGAGCGCAGGTGCCACTCCAAGGTGAGCGAGTTGGACCATTGCCCCAACGGCCTCAGGCTATCCTCAGACTGTCCAACGAGAAGAAAACACGAGTTCTTCTTAGACCTCGGGAGCAAAAGGAAATGATAAACTATATTAAACCCAAACTGGAAATTGCTGAAGCCCCATTTTAAAAAAGGGATGTGTTTGGGTCCTCTGTGTTTGTATTTCTTCACATTTATTCTAGGTTATATCTTGCTTCAGTTTGCAAAACCAAAAATGAGCAATTAGGGGTTTGTTAATAACTTGCACTGGTAATTAAAAAACACTGTGCCTCGGAAAAGTCCTAACGGACTCCGTGGAGTTTGCCGGCCTGGCTGTCCTTGTGTTTCTGGCAGGGAGAGAGCCGATTTGCTGAGCACACAGCTACCCCTGGCCCTGACATCCCTGTCCATCCCCAGCAGACGCCAAAGACCTTGGAGGAGATACCCAGGCCCCCTGGGAGACTTGGTGCTTCCAAGTCTATGAACAGATGACTCCCAGCTCTGTTACACAATTCTAAATTTCAGTTTTTCAACTCTACAAATGAAAGTGTCTCAGTCCAGAAAACAACGACTGTGCCAGTGGCAACTTCCTCATTTGCTGAAGTCTTGGCTCTCCTGGACCATTCTAACTTAATAACTGCTTGCTGCGTGGAGAAAGAGGACATCCTAGACTGGAAAACAGACGAGTGGTTTAGTGATGAAGGTGACATTCTGGAATGTTCAGGAAATCCCCCCATGAGCAAAACACAGAAGGCATGTCTGACACTCATGCTTCTAGGCCAGACGCTGAGAATTTTCCCCGGGTCCTCATTACATTCCCACAGGAGCCCGGGGAGTGCACCTGCCCATGGAGCTATCGTGGAGTTTGCATCTTCCACCCTTCACCTCCAGACTGTCCTCCTTATTCATTAGGAAGTTAGTGTCAGCTGCAAATTCAGGGACCTGCTTCTGAAAGGACTCATCGTCTATGTATTTAATTTCTTTTCTTTCTTTCTTTCTTTTTTTTTTTTTTTTTAGACAGAGTCTTGCTCTATCCCCAAGGCTGGAGTGCAATGGCGCCATCTTGGCTCACTGCAGCCTCCACCTCCCAGGTTCAAGCGATTCTCCTGCCTCAGCTTCCCGAGTAGCTAGGATTACAGGCACCCACCATCAGGCCTGACTAATTTTTGTATTTTTAGTAGAGATGGAGTTTCACCATGTTGGACAGGCTGGCCTCAAACTCCTAACCTCAAGTGATCTGCCTGCCTCAGCCTCCCAAAGTGCCGGGATTACAGGCATGAGCCACCATGTCCAGCCTCTGTGTATTGAATTTCTTAGGATATTTTCACTCATGTGACAGTTTTCTTCTCCTCCTGTCCCAAACCAGTTGCCTGAAGGATGCAGTTTCCTTCATTAGACCCCAGGGGATTCCGCCTCACTGTTTCTTCCCAAAAGTCTCCAGTGCAGCGTCCCTGGACTTCCTATGTGCACCACTGCTTGGCAGTTCACTGTATTGGAGTTAACTGAACTGACAGTTCAGTGTGCCATGCCTTAAGCCCCTGGTGACCTCTGAGCATTTGGGTGGCAGGAGCGAGGGCATCCAAATCTTTGCTCTCTCTGCCACTGCCGGCCCAGCCCACAGCAAGAGGCAAGAAAATATTTGTTGCTGTTGTGTAAACAGGTGAATCGCTTCAGCTGGATCTCTGACTGTGTCCACATATGTTCTGGGCTTTGTAAGTCAGGCAGGCAGCTGCCAAGCTCCATTTGTACAGCAGAGGCCCGTGAGCTTCTCTCCGGGCCTGGGGTCACAGTGGGCCGTCTTGGAAGGGAGTCTTAGTGCTCACAGAAGATGGCAGTGTTACCTAGTGGGTTCAAACATGAGCGTCAGGGTTAGCTGGCCTGTGTTCCAACCCCAGCCATGGAGTTGCAATCTTAAGTCACCTGACTTCTCCAAGCCTCCGTGTCTTTGACTATAAAATAGAAATAATAATAATTCTTAACACATGGAGTTGTTTTCAGGATTAAGCCACAGCACAGAAACCACCGTGGCATCATGCCTGTGATGCAGTAATGCTCACTAAACATTAGCTGTGGTGGTGGTTATTAGGAAGAATCAAAAGGAACCCGTCAGCAGCCCTGGAAAGAACTTTTAGAGCAGGCAGCAAAGGCATCATGTATGATGACTTGATGTGAGTTTAGCATAAATGACAGTCAAACAATGGCACTAATTTTGGAGAGGGGAGGTTGTCTGTTATATTACTACTAAGTATGAAATCTGTTCTAAGGATGTGGTTTGAGAAGCCTAGTAGGTGGAGATGCAAAACCCATCATTATCATGAAAAGCTCCTTGATGAGGAAGCAGCAAACCTAGCACTAAGGAATGATGACAATTAGTCCTTTGCTGACCTTCATTACTGGCTCCATGCAACACTCCTGGGAGGCAAACCTAGTGTCTCCTTCCCAGATGCCAACCCTGAGCCCACGCAAGGTGTCTGACCCCAAGGACATCTCTTAGCAAGCTGGTGTGAGCATCAGCATTGGATCGCCTCCGTTTCTGCTTTCTGATCACTGTTACCTTTGTATATAATAGAGCTGAAAATGTAATCTCTCAGTGGACAGCAGCCAAACATGTGCATTCAGAGTTCCAGAGCCGGCCAGGAACTTACTTTCGCCCCGGAAGCCTGGGCTGGGAGTTTGCAAGTAGATAGCGTGGGCCATGCAATTCTTGATTGAAAACAAACTGTTGGGCTGTGTTGTAGTCATGTAATCGTCTCGTTAACTCATTAATGTAATGTCTGTAATTGTGATCTGTTTGAAACCAAGTTGGACCAATGCAATCAGCATATATTCTGTGATGCACTTTGTATCCTGGTCATATTCTCCTGCTAACCCAATGCTCACCAGATGACTGTGGGGACCAGCAAGGGAAAAGATGAGCTCACCTTATGTGGGTTAGAATCTAGGGTCAGATGTTCAACTTTGAGCAGTTTCTTCTACTTTAGTTCACCATGTTGGAATGGTGCCTAACTAGCAAATGCAGAACTTCTATAAGTTTTGTTATTGGCCAGATGCTTCCAGCAACTGAGAATAGGACCTGCTTTCATCTGGTGCTTGGCTTTGGCTGCTATCACTAGCCACCCTTTTCTCCGTGGCTACCTGGGATCTCAGAAGATGAGGGCTTTCTCCCTGTGTGCTGCCTCATACACTAGGGGCATTGAAAGATTTGACAGCCCACCAGGTGACACCATGTCCTAGCCCCCTCAACCATGAGTACAAAGCCATCTGCTTGTCTATGTGATGCCTATGAGGACAATGGGTAGGTCATACCTCTACCCTGACCGCTCATCCTGGCCCTCTGAACTCCTATGAGACAAAGCCATCCCTTAGTCCCTGGAGGAGTTGCTTTTCCCTGCCCTGACCCAGAACGACCTGCCTGTAGGTGTAGTCAGGTATGGGCCATAGGCTGAAGTCAGGAACACCCAAAGATGGTGGGGGCAGGCAGGGGAGTGAGAAGTCTTGCTTTCAGTGGTGTGCCGGATGCTTTGTTTCACAGGCGCATAAAAGAGGAACTTCATTTAACAGACCTTTCCATGACACTGTTGGTGAGCTAACTTCTGGCTGTGGGGAGGATAGTCATTAATGTTCCTGAAGAAGGGCTCTGTTTATGCCTTTGTTATTCTGAAAGATATTGACTTCTTTATTTTATTAAAACCTGCGTTGATTATAGGTGACAGAATATGATAGTGTTAGCCAGAGCTGAGACTTTGCTGAAAAATTAATACAGATTCATTTTCAGTAACTAATAAGCAGAACATTTTGCTCAAAATGAACAAGTTATTGTCCTTGGCAGAAGTGTCTGAAAGATCCTAATTCACTTATTGTTTCACTTGCAGTGGATATTAACTGGCCATCTTTAGCTATAATACACATCTGTATGTACATTTTAAATCACCAGTGAGTCATTTGAAATGTATGCTTCCATACAAATGCAAGTAGACAGTAAAAAAGCTGATAACTTCAGCATCTAATTGGTCAATCTTCGAGAACCTAGTTAACACATCACTTTGCATTAGGCACTGCAAATATTTCTTAAATTCCAACACCACAGGAACCAAAGAGCACAGAGATATTTTTCTCACCTGTGTCAGTGACCCTCAAATAACGCAAATCTGTTCTAATTTTCATTTCGAGTTTTTATTAACGTGATCCCAACTCCAATGCCAGTTTTGCCTGTTTTGCCCAGTTTTACAGACCACTGAACATTCGGATCGTGTTGGTAGGCGTGGAAGTGTGGAATGACATGGACAAATGCTCTGTAAGTCAGGACCCATTCACCAGCCTCCATGAATTTCTGGACTGGAGGAAGATGAAGCTTCTACCTCGCAAATCCCATGACAATGCGCAGCTTGTCAGGTAGGGAGTTACGTCTTGTCTGCTTAAAAAAAAAAGGAGTGCTCTCGGCGAAGCCCTTCGTTTCACCTGCACAGCCCCAGGAGCTGCCACCTTTCTGCAGAGCACACTGCCTTGTGCAAGGGGGCTTCTCAGCTCACACCAGGGGGGCAGATGCCACCCTCACCTGGAACTGAAGGTCTGCTAGGAAAGTCTCCCTCTGAACACCCTGGAAAACCTGTCCCTCTACAGAACTCTCATTTCCTTCTTCTAGAACCCGGACATTTTCTTCTATACCAATTTTTCTGATTTTAGCTGTGATGTAAAGTTGTTCTGAGTAGCCTATTTTTTTGTTTTGTTTTTTGTTTGTTTGTTTGTTTTTGAGACAGAGTCTCTCTCTGTCACCAGGCTGGAGTGCAGTGGCATGATCTCAGCTCACTGCAACCTCCAGCTCCCTGGTTTAAGTGATTCTCCTGCCTCAACCTCCCGAGTAGCTGAGATTACAGGCACACGCCACCACGCCCAGCTAATTTTTGTATTTTTTTTTTTTTTTTTTAGTAGAGACAGGGTTTCACCATGTTGGCCAAGATGGTCTCAATCTCCTGACCTCATGATCCGCCCACCTCGGCCTCCCAAAGTGCTGGGATTACAGGCATGAGCCACCGCGCCAGGCCGAGGAGCCTGTTTTTAAAGATTCATCATTATTAGTGGAAAATGTATGTTTATACAATATCTAAGGACAGTACTTTGGGTGAATACTGTCAGATTCCTGGAGGGAAAAAAGACTTTATTCCTCCTCCTGTTGTGGCTGTGACTCTTTGGTTTTCTAGATCAGAGAATACCGGGAAGCATAGCACATTAACCTTGTGTTCCCTCTTTAAATCAATATGCATCACCCGTTAGGAACCAAAGAGTGTTTGGGGGGCTTTGAACACAGTGGTGACCAACACTGTAAATCTCCCTGCTCTCAGAAGTCTCCACTCTACTGAGAGACAACAATAAAGAGGACAATTTCAGCAGGATCAACTGGAAGATGATAAACTAAGGCAAAGCATAGCTCTATTATAACACAAAAATTGTTGAGATGTTGCCGATGCTTTTATACTTAAAAAAAAAAGGAACAATCTAAATTAGTATGAAGTAGATGTTTCTAGAAGTGACAAATTTTTATTTAAATCTTTAAATACTTTGTGCTATTATTCTTTTGTTGTCATGTGGCTTATAG
The DNA here is from genome assembly GCF_000001405.40 of Homo sapiens. Lineage (NCBI taxonomy): Eukaryota > Metazoa > Chordata > Mammalia > Primates > Hominidae > Homo > Homo sapiens. The sequence continues at coordinate 126,099,870 of NC_000010.11, read as the reverse complement.
CACAGAAAGGAAAGCTTCTGGGACAGAGACTTTCCTTTGACAAACCCAATGTAGCTATTGAACATTTGTGGAAAGTTAAAAAACCAGTCCTACCCCATTGTCACTTCAGAAAATGCCTACGTCTGAACTGAGGCTGTTGGCATTCTTTGATAATTTACTTCGGCCATTTTCACAGGGTTCCCCCCTGCCCCTACCCTTGGATATTTGTGGTTGCCTCACATTTTATGCATTGATTAGTCTTGAACTACTAAAAGTACATTTTATGTATTTTGAGTCAGAGTGTTTTGATATTTTTCCCAAATGGAGTCTGTCCAACTTGAACATCTGGAAATAAATTATCATCTTATGTAACTTTATTATTTATATACATGTATAATTATATCTGTTCATATAGTCTATATAGATGTAAATAAAGGCCGAAATTTCTACCACTGTAAATATAAGTATAGTGGGATAGGTGGATAGAGAGGGAGGGAGGGAGAGAGGGAGGGAGAGAGGGAGGGAGGGAAGGAGGGAGAAGGTTTTATATACACTTACCACTTTCTGTTCAATTGACCATAGCTAAAATATCTAACTTTTCAAACAATATATCTGTATACATACATGGCCAAGATAGCATTGGTAAGTCATTTGACTCCTTTAAAGGAAATTCAACAAATACAGCGTTTTGTTTTTCATGCATGAGGTTGGAATTAACAGCACTTGTGTTCAACAGGCCCTTGGTGTCATTAGATTCATGATCAGGTTAAGATTCCAGATAGAAGGACGACTGCATTGAAGCCATGAAGTCCCCTTCCAGAAGCTTCCTCCCTAGGTGCCAAGGCTTTGTGGGTGCTCACTTGTTCTACACCGGCTCCAGGGTTGATAATTTTTCTGCCCATTTCAATTTTGCAAGCTATCTTAGCGGGACAATTTGAAAGAATTTGGGTGTCTGGCAGAACTGTAGTAAGTTACCCAGGAAAGCAGTTAAGCTATGGTGAAAATCTAGTAAACCATCTAATGCATTTCTTTTAGTTAACAGTGATTCTCTGTGACTATTTTCAGCCTTTCCATCAGCAGACATTGTTTAAATGGAGCAGCTTCCTACAGTCCATTAGGAAATAGGCAGATTACAACTCATAAGTACAAAAGTAATAACTAGTTGTCATCTGAGTCTTGAAAACAAAACTCTAAAAAATGACAGAACCATGACGCAACTGCAGAAATAAAATTTTCAGGGAAAAAAGATAAAATCACATGTGAATATACCCTCATACAGCTATTTTTATTTTTGCGTATTTTATTGCAGGAATATCCAACAGAATTTTTAAATATTAGAGAATGCCCCCGTTCTAATTTGATTAAAGAAAGTCCTCTCTTTTATTTCCTAGTGGGGTTTATTTCCAAGGGACCACCATCGGCATGGCCCCAATCATGAGCATGTGCACGGCAGACCAGTCTGGGGGAATTGTCATGGTAAGCCAAGGGCATTGGGAGCTGGTTCCCCTTGATAATGATTCCCCAGGAAGTCACTACTTTTATCAGACTTTGTGAAGATAGATCCTTTCCTTTAATGCTTTTTAGATTTAACTCTATTTTTACTGTAGCTGTATTTATAATTTTATATATCCCACAGTGTTTTAGGAACCATTTAAAAGCAAATTGCACACAGGAAAGGTGGGCATGTAAAATAGCTCAGCAGAGGCAAGCCTACCTCTTTTATGGAGAAACATTTTCAACCAGGACTTTCCAAACCAGGAATTCCTCGCAGCACTGGGGTGAGCCAGGGCATTGGGGTTGCCCTCGTCATGCAGCTGTTGGGACGCCCTGTGGTCTCACCAGACGTTCCCGTTTGGATGGTTTTCTGATGGTTCTGTCTCCAAGCCCAATGGCCCAAAGTCTGAGGTTTTTAGCTTTTTACCACTGCAAATGCTTTACATGCCTTCTGGCCAGTATACAGTTTGTCTTTAAAATAACCTTATTCTTGGAAGTCAGAAACCCAGGTTTATTGCTTTACAAGGACCATTTTGTCATATATAAGCTATATATGTTTGTGAAAGGAAATACAGTGGGAAAACTATTTGGGTCTCGTTATGAATGTAGGAGGGAGGTAGCTTTGATAGGCTTGCCAGCAGGGGGCTTGTGCTCCACTTCATCAGATAATTAAAGGAGAGGTTTTCACCCTATGCTGTCCCTGCTCTGAAAATTTAGTGTCTCCTCTGCACCAGACCTCAGACAGGGAGTATCCTCAGAGACCATTCTTCCATCTCCATTAAACAAATAGAACCCTGCCCTCCCAAGAAACTGTGAGTTCCTCCATGTTTTTTAAACAGAACATGTGTGAATGTTCAGTTGTATTACATAGTGGAAGGAGTTATGTTCTGCTGATGATTACTTTCTCTCCACCTACTGCCTAATCAGATATTCTTCATGAATATACGGAACCAACATTTCCCTCTTCTGTGGGTTCAGAGATTGGTCATTAATGTAAGCCTGCACTAAGGGTCAAAGCTGCGTGGAGGGATTGCCCCCACTTACTGGATTTCTGGCTTGAGTGGTGACTGCCTTGTTTTCTGTGGACCTGGAGGCCCTGCATGTGATCTCCACCATGGCAGGTCCTTGGCAAGTTTGGTTTTTGTGATGCCAGGTTCACTTCAAGTCAGATCCCAACTCTATTTTTACAGAGCAGACTGTACATTTTTAAGAGGGAATAATTTTCTGTTTCATGGTTCCATGGTCAGTTGCTACTGACTTTGCCACTTCAAGTTGGCATCATATTTTTTTTAGAGCTGGAACTCAATTCTTCATAAGCATGGTAAGTTCTGCTGCTGTGCGGTGCTGAAATGGGCCTGTAACCCATCTCACCAGAGTAAGCGGCTTTCTTCAGCTCGTGTCCCTTATTCCATTTCCATACAAGCATTTGATGAAAATTCCTTCTTTAAAAGGATACAGGGAAGGCTATTTTTAAAAAAGGTATATGAAAATGAATGTGGGAAATATAAGCAAATTATGTGTCATGCAATAAGATTCAATTGAAGATCAAAGTTAATTATCAGGAAATATGTTTTAGCAATTTGACAGCAGTTAACATCATCCTTAGACACACTGCTTACACGTTCCACATATAACAGAAACATCAAATAGGATAAAAATGCCTCAGCACCTTTGATTTCTACAAAAGTCATGAAATCAGCAAGATCAACATCTTGACCAGACCAAAAACTTCTAGACTCACTTTCTTCTCCTGTGTCTGTAAAGTTACATTCACGGGCATCCCGTGTGACTGTGCTTCATTAGAGGACCACAAATCTAAGAGGAAGGAATCAATGTAGCAAGGAAGCAGAGATCCTCATAAAATTGAAAACAGGATTGTAGTACCATTTCTGTATTTTCCAATATAGAGCAAATCATTAATTTTAGTGACTGAAAGTCATTCCTTTTTATCTAACTGGCCTAAAACAGCCTTGCTTTGGAAATAATATTAATAACATGAATAAAGAGATATTTTTTCTTACTACAAATGTAAACTGTTTATCAAGGTCTTTTAAGAGACATTCTGTTTATAATCATTGATGCATGAAAGAATGTAAAACAATCTGGCAACTAAAAACCAAGACATTCAATGACACAAAAGAATCAGAAGAATATTTTTTAAGGGTGAATTCCTTGAATTTTGTGCCAGAGCATGGTAACTTCAGCCCCTATGTTCTTAGACTGACTACATTCTCTTCACCATTGTGTTATTTTCGAGAACCGATTTCCTGAAACATATTTGTAAACTTCCTACAACAGGAAACTCTAAAATCTAAACAAAGTAATTTATTAGGAATTTCATCTACTGTAAGATTATCTTGGTTCCTTGATATGCTATTGTTTTCTTAGACAGAAGCCTCATTGTAAACACTGTCAACAAACCTGTAAGATCTTACATGAGCACACTTTTATCCAGGAGCCTCACACAGACTGTATCAGTGTGCTCTCTGAAATTCAGTATCATATTTGTTTTAGCCCATTTTCTGTTGATTCTAACAGAATACTTGAAACTGGATAATTTATAAAGAAAGGGAATTTATTTCTTACAGTTACAGAGGCTGAGAAGTTCAAGGTAGGGGGGCACACCTGATAGGGCTTCTTGAGGGTGAGGACTCTCTGAAGAGTCCCAAGGCAGTGCGGGGGATCACATGGCAAGGGGGCTAAACAAACTAGCTCAGGTCCCTCTTCTTCTTATAAAGCCACTGGTCCCACTCTCATGATAAACCATGAATGCATTAACCCATTAGTCCATGAATGGATTAATACATTATGAGGGCAGAGTCCCCATGACCCAATCACTTTTTTTTTTTTTTTTTTTTTTTTTTGAGACAGAGTCTCGCTCTGTCACCCAGGCTAGAGTGCAGTGGTGGGATCTTGGCTCACTGCAAGCTCCGCCTCCCGGGTTCACGCCATTCTCCTGCCTCAGCTTCCAGAGTAGCTGGGACTACAGGCGCCCGCCACCACGCCCGGCTAGTTTTTTGTATTTTTAGTAGAGACAGGGTTTAACTGTGTTAGCCAGGATGGTCTTGATCTCCTGACCTCATGATCCCCCTGCCTCAGCCTCGCAAAGTGCTGGGATTACAGGCGTGAGCCACTGCGCCTGGCCTGACCCAATCACTTCTTAAAGGCCTCACGTCCAATACTGCCATATTGGGATTAAGCTTCAGCATGCGTTTTGGAGGGAACAAACCTTCAAAGCATAGCAGCACTGTTTCTTGGAAGCCTCTTGGAAAACATCTTATCTCTTTCCTAAGTAGCACAAAGCAAGATTCAAACAGGGTATTTTCCTTACTCCATGGTATACAGGCCTTTTCAGAAATGTTGTATATAGGCACTGTTTCTGTAGATCATATATGCTAATTAACTAATTTCAGTTTGTAAAAGTTAAGTAACTATATTTTTTAGTTAATTTCTAGTATCTGTTTGAGCCAAGCCATCCAGGCACTCCACTAAGTTAGGGGTGGCCAAGTAGTGCTTGTTGAATGGAGAAGCCGCCTTCCATATCCAAGCAAAAGGTTAATGAACCCCCAGCCGCAAGAGTCAGAGAATCGGGACACCTCCCATTTCCAAAGTCTGCCTGGCAACACAAAGAGCCAGCAAGAATAAGATATAGCTGGTTTATAATCTTAAATGAAATGAATGGCTCTTCAAACAGATGACTCAATGTGGTCAGATTTATTATGAAGTATTGTGAATTTTCCAACTGTCCTCCCCGACCAAGCACACAGGAAGAGGCAGGCTCAATGACAACCTCTCAGGGCTCATTTAGAATGTCATTAAGCGTGCTTGCACCTGTCACCTTTATATCAGCATCATCTCAATCAAAGGTAAAATGATACTTCTATGGCCCATGAAGGAATGAGCTTTTCCTATGATGCAGGATGACTTTTTGCTTCATTCAATGGAAGAGTTTTGTGGGGCAATTGTAGGAAGCAGAATGGAGACCCTGCCTTGAAGATGTCATGTAAAAACATAAAGAATCACACATGTATACGTGCGGCATACAGACATTCCTCAGCCGAAAGGACCCCAAACTGGCTTAATGAAATGTCAAATTATATCTTTTTAAGTTTAAACTAAATGATAGCGTTTTACCTTGGTCCCTTATAAGGAATTACATTAAGTCAAATGTTAATGAAAGGTATATTTCTGTGGGGAGGGAGACCTGGGAAATAAGGCCAAGGAGATATGAATTATACACCTGTACTTTTGTGTTTTCTTTGAGGACCATTCAGACAATCCCCTTGGTGCAGCCGTGACCCTGGCACATGAGCTGGGCCACAATTTCGGGATGAATCATGACACACTGGACAGGGGCTGTAGCTGTCAAATGGCGGTTGAGAAAGGAGGCTGCATCATGAACGCTTCCACCGGGCAAGTACCATTGCTTCCATCTGCTTTGACAGTGTGCATGGCTTGAAGTGTGTGTTGGGAACCAGATGAGTCAAAGTGTCTCTGGTTTTCTGGTCAGAGCACCCAGGGAAGCTTCCAAAAAGTAATTCCTTCCCAAGAAGCAAGGGTGGCCTGTGCTACTCTGGAGAGCCATGGGCAGCCAGATGGCAATGCTACATGGTGTGTACAAGGAAGAGGGCTGACCTTTTCCTTGAGGAATGGTGGGCATGGATGCTGTCTGTGTTTAGAAATCGCTAATTATCTTCCTGTCCCAGCAAGTGTTTTTTATTTGAGCCTACGGCTCCAGCTGCCAGGCAGTCCCAGGAGCCAGCCATCTGAAAGCCTGGGCAGTGGAGATGGGCCACATGTAAACTCACTGGGCAGAGTGGAGATGGGCCACATGTCTTTAGAGGGTGCTGGGTAGAAGGTATTTCTTTCCCCAGGGTTGGCCCTAGGGTGTCTCTGAAGTCGGTAGCTTGGGGGTTTGTAGTGTCTCTGCCCTGACATCACCTTACCAGATCTTAGAGGTTTAAATGAAATGATTTCTCTGCTTTGGTATATTACAATGCTGTTCCTTATTTAATGCTTTCCTGACACTCCCGACTTGGTTCAACCAGAAAAGAGCAAGACAGTTCCATTATTTGGAGTGTTCAAACGAAGTGGAAACAGATGCACCTTGGAGGGATTAGAGATTCAGATGTGTTCTTATATCTATAAAGGGCCTATCCCAAACTAGAACTTTGTGCTAGTTTAAGAAGATTCTCATTAGTAACGGGAAGCATGCGCTGGATACAATGCTATCTTCTTTATTATACCTTGAAACCTTATGAACACTGACTTTCATGGAACATTCCAGCCCAAGCCTGCTCTCTGGGTTTCCCAAAAGGAGACACTGGGGCAAGAGGCAAGTGCTCTGAGCAGCCCAGTGACTCATCTCTGTGAAGACTTGCTGGCCAGGGGACAAGCGTGGTGTGAGGGGATACCTGCTACTGCGGTTTAAAAGACCCAGTAGAGGGAGGAATTGTTAAAGAATGTGTCTGTGCTTTTTCAAGCAATAGCCTTGTGGGCCTCCTGGGAAATAGTTTGTAGGGCATTGAGTTGCCCTTGAAACAAGAACTGAGCAGAACCACACAGCTCATCAGGGGATTGTCCTTTCATGGGAGCCATCAGGAGGCATCTTCTTACAGCAAGTGACTGATTCCTCATGTTCATCGCCCCCATTTGGGCAGAGGCTTCAGGGGCATCTTTCTGTTTGTGGTTCCCTCTTAAGCATAATTCAAGGGAGTCACCAAGACTTTGTTGAGGAAGTTGCTTTGTGAGTGTGTAATGACAGAAACCAAGGATCTGTACACAAAGTCAAAGTACTAACCGATAGGAAATGAAATATTGCAAAACTCAAGATACTAACATGTGTGTCTCTCCAAAAGGGAGGCCACCCTAAAAAGTAATATGTTCCTAGTCACTAAAGGTGTCTGAGAGGAAGCACAGTAATTGTTTGCTGGACATTTGGGGCAAGGATTTCCTTCTTAGGGTATAAGGTTGGGCCAAGGGCCTATAGATGCCTTCTGTTTCCAACATTTCACAAGCCCTGATCGCTATGCTGGGCCACACGCTGGGTGACTTTCAGACAGTGAGTTTGGCAGGAGACTGATGTGCAACTGAGTGGCCTTCGTGTTTTCTCACTCTCAATGAACTCATAGCCATAGAAAATGCACTGTGTGTCTAATTTCCCTGATCATCAGATGGGCACAAATACATTAGCCTATGGGCCTCCAGAAATGGTTTCCCATGACTAAGAAGATCATATTGTTAATATTGTTAATGTTTTTTAATTATTGATAAACCAATGGAAGAGAGGAAAACCTAGATCAAGAACACTGGACTTGAAGAGATCTGGTTGTCCCAATTCTCACACCATTTTTTAAAATAATATAGGCAGTTTAGTAACCCCCTGGCTCTTACATTCCTCATCAATAAGATGAGTGAGTCAGTCTTCATCCACCCATCCAACCATCTATCCATCCACCCATCCACCCTTCCTTCCTCCTTTCTTTCCATCTGTCTCTCCACCCACTTGTTCACATATTAAACAAATATTTTTGACCCCTGTGCTCGTGGGGAGGAATGCACAGATGATGAAGACTCTACAGCTCTAAAAATTATATAATTCTGAAGGCACAATAGCAAGGCATATTTTCTGGCACTCTATATGGTTTTATCTAAATCCTTTCCAATTGGAAAGTCTTCATGGCAGTGCTGAAGAATGCAAGCCAGATCGCCCCAGAGATATTTGAACACCGTAGGTAGAAATGGTATTGTTAAGAGCTCGACAAATCATTTAAAAGGCTTTTTTTTCCCCCATTACCAGGGGTTTGCTAATAGCCTTTATTTGATTTATACCATATTAGCAATTTCTGAGTTTTCTCTTTTGCTGAGCTTGTGCTTTTGTATAAATCTTTTCTATTTGCTTCTCATTTATGATCCCACATTCCTGTCCAGAGAGTGGTGTTTTTAATTTTCTCAGATGGAAAGCAACTTCCTAAGCAAGTAGGTGAATTAATCACAAAAGCCCACAGTGAGGGGGAGGTCGAGCGGCTCAGTCAACCCTCAGTCATCCATCACCCGTGGTGGAGTTTTCCCGGCTGCTCCGGTATTATCTCAAAATGGTGGTTCTCTTACCTCATAGTGTCTCCGAGAGAGTGGGAGAATGGACTCAATGAGATCACATGTCTGTAAATTGTAAATCATTCCACAAAGGTAGTATATTATTACTTAGCTTACAGGGGTTTTGGAACTATCAAAAAGTTAAAGGCTTTTTTCAGAATTCCTACTCATCATTGCTGGAAAGACTCCCAGTGCCCTTAGCAGTCACTCAGCAGCATGTCCACAGTTTCCGTGTGATGGCTCACTTTAAACTGGCCCACATCCAAACACCAGCCAGCCTGTGTCTTCCTCCTCCCACCACTGATGGAGGCTTGGGGATGTCAGTTAAATTCAGTCTCAGCTCCAAAGGTGATTCAGAGATGAATCAGTAACTGCTTTAATGATATTAACATCTCAGAATCAAAAAGAACCAAGTATTGTAGATGGCTTAAAGGAGAAAAGTATATCCCTTCATATACCTTGTTTATTCTTTATCAAAACATTCCAGAATCCTAACTCTGAAAACATTAACCAATTGCTGTCACTGACAAATGGGACCTGAGGCCTGTAAATACAAGGATAGAGTCCTATTTCAACTTAAGACTTGTGTGACTTCAGTTGCACATTGCAGGGATGGTTGGAGGGGGTTCCTTATGGATTGTATCATTAATTACTGCAAGGCTTTAAGTGTGTGTAAGAGTGTGTGTTTTATGTCTCTAAACATTTAAGACCTGTCCTGGAAATGACTCTTTGGCAAAAGCAGTATCTGGGGATTCATGTGGGAGTTTAACTCAGTTGAGTTTATCCATTAATGAGCTTGGAGCCCTTGGTCTTAGGGAGGTGAGGGCTACGTATGCTGCATTTATAGGAGTAAGAAAATTGTGAATGACTTGAACACTCATAGCAAAGAATATTTAGCGTAATAGTAAATGTCACTTCCTAGAGTAGGAAAAAAGGCAATATTAACATTCAAAAAATGACTCTTACAGATTCCTTTTTTTTTTTTTTTTTGCAGAAAGTTTCTGTTAAATGAGAGTTGGAGGAATAGGGCCATCTCCTCGGGTGGGGTAGGTGAATCTGCAAGTCATATTCACCGAGCCCCTGCCACTGTTACACACTGATAGGTGTTAGGGACACAGCTGTGAACAGGACAAGCCTGTTTCTTGCCCTCTTGGAACTGGTGTTCTAGTGGTGAAAAGAGTTGAAAAATGGAAAATTTAAAACTTGCAGTTTGGGCCAGGTGTGGTGGTTCACACCTGTAATCTCAGCACTTTGGGAGGCCAAGGCAGGAGGATTGCTTGAGGCCAGGAGTTCAAGACCAGCATGGGCAACATAGCAAGACCCTGTCTCTATTTTTAAAATAAAAAAATAAAAGTAATAAATTGCAGGTTGGAAGGAGTGCTGTGAAGGAAGCAAAGGAAGAGGACAAAGAGAGGAAACATGGGGTGAGGGAGCCCACTTTAAGTGGGGGTTTGGGGGAGGCCAAAAGGAAGACAGGGATGGAGAGCCTGCAAAGCATGGAAGGAAGGGAGTTCAGGTGCAGGGGACCATGGGCCTGTGGGCGCTGTGGGGACACCTTGCTGCCAGGAGCCTTGGGGCTGTGGGGGGCTGGAGGGAAGTGATGCTGGGTAGAAATGGAGGAACCAGAGCCAGCAAAGCCCAGTTGGCCAGAGCAGGAACGTGGATTCTTATCTGCAGAGCAGCGGGACATCATTGAAGCTTCTCAGGCAAGATAGGAATATGATCTGATTTATCTTTTAAGGTTTCCTCATTTTTAAGAAGACCATGCAGCCTCTGAGATATTGTAGTTTGCCAAGTTAAGGGGTTTTCTGTCTGTACAAAAAAGAAGAGGGAGGCTTCCTTTAGAAGAACAAGTAATAATAGTGTGTGAATTCTAGTTTAGTTCTGGTGTAATTCATAGGCATTTGGAAACTGTGAAGAGGAAGGATCCTTCACCAGCACACTCGGTGCTCATCACGCCACGCTCCACACTCACCTCTCCAGCCTTGTACACTTGATGTAAAATATTTCTTTTGGTTTGAGATTTCTTTTTCCTTTTCCTATAGTGAGCATCCTTTAGGGATTCTGTCAGAGAGCCACCAAGGAGCACATTCACATTTTCTTCATGTGTATCTGAAAAGAATTGTTGCCACAGTTGTCACACGGATGCTGAAATCAGGAGTTTGGGCCTGTCTGGGTTTTGCTGGGTCTATACTGGCAAATGGCTTCAACTGACGAGTGTGTCCCCAGCTGCCAACTGGGAGTTGGGGCGGGCAGCGTGTTCGTGTTGTGCACTGAGGATAATGTGGGATGAGAAAATAAGCAAATGAGGGTTACCCCCTGCTCTCCTGGGGTGCAAATCATTCACATTAAGCTGAGGTCAGACCTTCTGCAATCTACACCCAGATCAAATGACCACGTTTAAGGAGAATGTGTTGCCATCCTACTTCCCCGCAAGCATGTATAACTGGCCCATTCGATTACATTTAATTCCATTCAGGACACATTCATGGCACACCTGCCTGGACACGGAACACAAACAGATGTGTCCCCAGGTCTAGGTGGCCTCCACCCAGGTCAGCCTTCTCTCTCTCTTTTTGTTTTTGTTTTTTGAGATGTAGTCTCTCCCTGTCACCCAGGCTGGAGTGTGCAGTGACACAGTCTCGGCTTACTGCAACCTCTGTCTCCCAGGTTCAAGCAATCCTCCCACCTCAGCCTCCCGAGTAGCTGGGATTACAGGCACACACCACCATGCCCAGCTAATTTTTTTTTTTTTGGTATATTTAATAGAGATGGGGTTTCATCATGTTGGACAGGCTGGTCTTGAACTCCTGACCTCAAGTGATCCGCCTGCCTCAGCCTCCCGTAGTGCTAGGAATGCAGGTGTAAGTGACCATGCACAGCCTCGGCCTTCTCTAATGACATCAGAGAAGACAGCAGCCCTGCCCCTGACTCAGGACAAGCTTGCTACAGGAAATGAGGTCAACAGACGCGCAGCTGGCCACCAGGCAGAGCAAAGCCACTCATTTACTCCACTAGTATTTACTGTGTACCCTCTAGAGGCCAGATCCTGGGGAGCAGTTTCGGAGCAGGCACAGAAACACAAGGCAGGATCCTTGACTTCAGGGACCTCACTGCAGGGTACCTCATCAAATCTGCTTACACAGTCCGGGTATCAAGCACCATCTAGAAGTGATTTCAGTGTGGGCCTCTAAAAGACAGAGAGAAAAATCTATAACCATAACATCATTTCACATCTTTTAAAAAGCGACCAATAATTTATTGCAAACAGGGAGCAAAGGTTAGAAGAGGCAGCAGGCAGAAAAGATATCCTGGAATAGAGTCCAGTCTAAACCGATCTCGGAAGAATTAAATACAGGCTGGGCAGACCGCTCCCTGAAAATTCCTACCTCATACTGTGGGAAAACTGGATTTCTCTTGGAAGAGATTTCTGCCTGAAAAGGTGTTTTAAGAGGGTAAAATGAACTGCAATTTTCAGTGAAAAAAATCCCCCAAGGGCTTTGGAAGTGGTAGGAATTGATAGAAATTCAATGTAGCGGGAAAGTCCACACTCTGTAGAACTTGCTTTCCTGAAAATCAGTGGACAATACATATCGTTAGAATTCTCCCTCGAACTTTGGGGTGCTGTTGGAGATTATGAAATACATTTGTCATGCTGGAATTTTACCAAGATGGAATTGAAGGGAATTATTTTTCCATCTTAACTCTTCATTTGAGAGTGATAATTTTTTTCTCAATGAAAAGTTTAAGAAAATCTTCATTTCCTTCCTCAAAGTGTTAGGTGAAAAAATGGAAATCTTTATCCAGAGAGAGAGAAAAAAGGAGGAACAGCTACAGAATGAGGAACTCTGGTAAGATGAAAACACTACTAGTTAGAATCAATTTAATTACTCAGCCAGAGTAATGGAGTCAGCTGTACCCCGACATTATCACAGGGAAAAATGAACTGGCAGGAGGGATTCTTGAAAACAGTTCAAGAAGGGCGCATCAATATGCAGCCTGTTCTTGTTTCTTCTCCATGTAATTAGATATTGCTCACTGGAAAATGAAAGAATTTGTGTGCAATTCCATTAGAATATGAAAAGCTGCTGCCCAAGTTAGAATTGTCCTCCCCGTTAAGCTGTACACAAAATAGAGGTCAAGCTCGGGAGGCTGATTCTGTGTGGCCACTGATCCTTGAATATCCAGTTTAGGGGATATTGACCCTGAAGGACTGCATTCATGGTGTCCTGTTTCATCGATGAACTTTTTAAATTTAATTTAATTTTTTTGAGCTGAGCCTCGCTCTGTCACCTAGGCTGGAATACAGTGGCACGATCTTGGCTCACTGCAACCTCCACCTCCCCAGTTCAAGCAATTCTCCTGCCTCAGCCTCCCGAGTTGCTGGGATTACAGGTGCACACTACCAAACCCAGCTAATTTTTGTATTTTAGTAGAGACAGGGTTTCACCATGTTGGCCAGGCTGGTCTGGAACTCCTGACCTCAAGTGATCTGTGAGCCTCGGCTTCCCAAAGTGCTGGGATACAGGTGTGAGCCACGCACCTGGCCCATGGATGAACTTAGTGAGATGGTCATGACTATACCTATTTTATTTTATATATATATATATATATATATATATTTTTTTTTTTTTTTTTTTTTTTTTTTTTTGAGGCAGAGTCCATTGGGGCCATCTCGGCTCACTGCAACCTCTGCATCCCAGGTTCAAATGATTCTTGTTCCTCAGCCTCCCAAGTAGCTGGGATTACAGGCGTGCACCACCACACCTGGCTGATTCTTTGTATTTTTAGTGGAGATGGGGTTTTACCATGTTGGCCAGGCTGGTCTCAAACTGCTGGCCTCGAGTGATCCACCTGCCTTGGCCTCCTAAAGTGCTGGGATTACAGGTGTGAGCCACCGCACCTGGCCAACTATACCCATATTACTGGAGCTCAGAGTGTTAAATGAACTGCTTGCATTTTTCCAGACCGACCTAAGTAGAAGCCCCAGGACATAAAGTCAAGCGGCTTTTTCCCAGTGTGTTTGACACATGGAAGTGGCCGTGAACACATCTGGGCTTTATGAGAGAACTAAAGCTGCCTCAGTACAGAGCCATGTCCCTGTGCAACCTCTGGGAGGTGGGAGGTAGCCCCATTTTTAAGCCATTTAATTCTGCAAACCTCCTTCAATTTATGTTCCAACAGCAGAGAATGCTTTCCTGTCACTGGCTCGTTAACCCAGCATTTTATTTGTTGTACAGCATGTGTGAAAACATTTCAGCTGAAATCCTGCCAATCCTGCAATCCCCCTCCCACACACTTACCCCCATGGCTTCCTCCTCTCCCCAGGCACAGAGGCCACAGTGTAGGGTAAAGGATTATTTCTAGACTTCTCTACAACAGACAATATCCAAAAGGACTCATTTTCAGCTCCACAAGGTCAGGAATTTGTGTTTTGTTTATTGCTGAATCCCCAGCACCTAGAACAGTGCCTGACACATAGTAGAGCTCAATAAATACTTCTTGACTGAAAGGATCCATGAGCGGGTGGCTGGATGATGGATGCATGGATGGGAGGAAGGAAGGATAGATAAATAATAGGTAGATGGGTCAGTGGATGAATGGATAATGGGTGGGTGGAATGATGGATGGATGGACGGATGGACAGACAGACAAAGGATGGATGGAAAGAAGGAAAGATGGGTAGATGGATAAATCAATGATAGGTAGGTGGATAGGTGGATGAATGGATAATGGGTAGGTGGAAATGGATAATGGATAGATAGAAATGGACAGATAATGGATAGATAGATGGTACAATGGACAGATGGATAGACGTTGGCTGGGTGGGCGGATGGAGAGAGCGATGATGAGTACAGCACAATTAGATAAGTGCAGAGTGAGGTTTTCTCTTCCTTATCTGTGTAATGGCAAAATCTCTGGGGAGAACGCTCTGAGGCCACTGTCTTTTGTACTAAATCTAGCAATTGCAGCAGCAGCATTTTCATTTTTTGTTTATTCCACATCATTCTACAATGGATTTACAATAGTTTGCAATGATACACACAATACAATAAATAGAAGAAAATAAAAACAAAATAGAGCAGAGAAAACCCAGATAAATAGGAGGCAGAGTCCACTGCTTTTCTGTACATAATCCATGGAGACCTGGGTGAGGGAAACAATTTGCTTTCAAACAGTAGAGTCTTTCCAGCAGGGCCTTCCCCTGAAAGTCTTTGCTTAATTTAGCTAAAGTGGGAAGAGAGAGATCAAAAATATCAAATCTAAAAGCAGTTGTGAGCATAAGACTTTGTAGAACCATTCTCCAGTTTACAAAGATCTTTGGCATCTCCTTTCATTGTCACAGCCCTAAAAATAAAGAACAGGTACAATCGTCTCCATTTTACAGGTGAGCACACTGAGGCTCAGGAAGGCCAGAGGGCCCACAGGTGGTCAGGGTCATTCTGGATCTCAGCCTGCAGCCTCAGGCTCCTGATCCATTCTTTGGCCTTTCACTGGGTACCTGTGAGCCTTTGGCTCGCAGGCTTGGGGATGGGGAGGGTTGAGAGGGACAGCTCTTTCCCATTCTTGAGTTCCACATTGCCCTGGTGGTAACTTCAGTGTCAGTTGCTCAGTGGGGCAAGAACTGGGCACATGTAGACTTCAGCCCTGGTGGCAGGCTTGTAGATATCTACCGTGACTGCTTTTTCTATCATGTTTGATTAGAAGCCTCTATCCTGTTACAGGCTTGCTAAGTCAGCAGAAAGAACTAGCGTATTCTGTGCAGGTCTGTCTACTGGGCTAGGAAGAAAGGGTGGTACCATTTCAGACATGCCCACTGTCCATTATTAACCACTGCATCTGTCCATGTCTACGAGAGTCTGCTCCTCCAACAACCCCCACACAAATTCAGCAGTCATTTCTTGCAATGAAGCTGAGTAGCTCGTCTGATACATGGCCTCTGATGGGCTGAGGTCCTTTTAATATGGACACTGTGTCCCCCGCCCCTGGGTTCTTGGTCTTTCAGGACTTGGTGCAGGAAGAAATAGCCATCGTAGCTCAGAAGTGAAAAGTCCACTTTCTGGTAACGTCCAGAAGCTTCCTGTACATGTCTCAACTGACCAGAGCTCAGTTGGTGACTTTATTAAAAATTCTGGGAAATTATATTTGCACTTAAATTGGTTTCAGGGAGGAGGAGCAGAGGTCAAAGTTCACAAGTTAAGACCATGAATTATAATGTGCTGCAGATGGCTGCATTCTGGGGCCCAGGTGTTTGCTATTAACAATGGAAATGGCCTACTAAGGATCTTTCTGGTCATTTGCTCCTGGCCTGGTGGTTTTCTTAGCTTTCTGTGGTCCGTCTGGTTGGCCCACTGGCTCAGCGTCCAGTTATAAGGCAGTCACTTTCTGTTTCTGGAGTGGACGTGAGGATGGATTGCCCCATTAGCTTCAGCCTCGGTTCTGTTCTATCGTTTGAGCCTGTGTGGTCAGAGCTGTGTCCCTGTGCACCGCTGGGCAGGCAGAGTGGGCTGACTCAGGCCCAGCTCCCTCTCCCATCACACCATGAGGAGGAGTCACGAGGCTTTTGAGGCGGGGCGCCTATTTCCCCTGCCTGCAGCTCATTAGGGTCTCAACAGGCTTGCAGCCCTCCTCAGGTGTGCACGATCTGGCCCAGGTATCACCTCAGGCTAGCTGGATGAATCCCAAGACTGGGCCTTTGTCTTCTGTTACACCAAAGACCTTTAGGGAAGTCCTCTAAGGTACACCTGGAAGGAAGTGTAGAACCTTGGGTGTTCCTTCTGTTTACGTCTGGCTCCAGGGAGTCCCGAGGCATCGGAGCAGCTGCCTCTCCCAACCCATGGATACTACTGCTGCTGGCATAGCCATTTGTGCTGGGTCATGCCTGAGGCTGCCCAGAGGCCCTGCCCTGGGGCAGCTCCTGATAGCCCTCGAGACGGTGTGGTTGAGTGGGAAGAACACAGGCCTTCTAGTCAGATCTGTGCTTTCAGTCTCCACGCAGGAACTGCAGGGTCCCGGCAAGGAACCCAAGCTGCCTGCACTCAGCTTCCTCATCTCTAAAATAGGAGTCATAATTGGCTCCCAGAGGTGTCAGTGAGAGAATGTCTGCCAGGCTTCTGGTCCCCAGCAGGGTTTCACTAAACAAATGGTGGCTCCTGGCCAGCCCCGCTCCAGGCAGCATGGAGTAAAAAGCCCCTAAAATGAGATGACCTCCTTGCATCCACAGCAGGCCTGCCACGGCACTGAACATGAGGCCGGTCACCTGCGAGTACAAATGCCACCGCCCTGGCCTACCAGGCGTGCTACTTGGTTGCACATAAATTCTGTGTGTGGTGATTGAAAGTTTTTATTGTTGGGCATAACTGGGGAAAGACCTGAAGATTTTCCTGAAGATGGCCCTAGAATTTTTGGTCAGCAGCTTGTCCAAGCAATGTCCATTCCCCACACTGTGGTCCCCTGCCCCCTCATACTGTAAGAGGACCTCGCTCTCACTTGGGAAGAGAAGAGGGAATTCATGTTGGGCTTATGCTTCTCAAGGGACTAGGAATATGTAGAACTGGCTGTGAACTAAGAATGGCTAAGTTGTTTTTGGAAAAGCTCAGCAAGCTAGTTATGGAA
Organism: Homo sapiens; assembly: GCF_000001405.40. Taxonomy (NCBI): domain Eukaryota; kingdom Metazoa; phylum Chordata; class Mammalia; order Primates; family Hominidae; genus Homo; species Homo sapiens. The sequence goes on along the minus strand of NC_000010.11, from coordinate 126,082,686 downwards.
TGAATGATAAAAGTTGTGGCCGGCATGGTGGCTCACGCCTGTAATCCCAGCACTTTGGGAGGCCGAGGTGGGTGGATCACCCGAGGTCAGGAGTTTGAGACCAGCCTGGCCAACATGGCAAAACCCCATCTCTAATAAAAATACAAAAAAATTAGCCAGGCATGGTGGTGTGCACCTGTAATCCCAGCTACTCAGGAAGCTGAGGCAGGAGAATCGCTTGAACCCGGGAGGCGGAAGTTACGGTGAGCCGAGATCGCACCACTGAACTCCAACCTGGGCTACAGAGCGAAACTCCACATAAAAAAAAAAAAAAAAAAAAAAAACAGTCATTAGATTGTCTTCTCCAGAGAATGGATCCCACAATTTGTGGCCACGTCTCACTCTGAGCTCAGTGCCTGGACTTGGCTGTGGCCAGGAAATGGACGGAAGATGTGGGGTGAGCTCATGTGACATGAGCTTTATGAAAAGGGCCAGAAAAAAGCTTTCAGGAACAGAAGACAACCACAGCTGCGTAGCAGGTAACAGCCATCTAAATGGCGTTTTTGTTTTGTTTGTGGATTGCTTCATTGGTTGGTTGTGCTCCTAACTACATGCTCTTGTTGAGCTAAAGAAAAACTGGCCCTTCCAGAATGGAACAGGCTGTTTTGCTTCTTTGACACCATCTATGTATTAAACGGAGGGAATGATCTTTAACTGTTTGCTCATCCCTTCGCCTCCTGAATCATCTTGCTCTCAAATTTACTTGTATTTGTGGTTTTACAGTGTAAAGCGTGCTCTATTTTGGCTACAAGTACTACATTCTATACCATATTGGAAATGTTCTTGAGCACTATCATATACGGGGGGATTCGCAGTCAGGGCAACTCCCAATGGGAGAAAGAAAGACACATCTTTTGCCTGTCAGTACTAGGAGCTAGCATTTCACAGTGCTTGGAAGTTAACCAGACTTTGATCTTTTTGTTTGAAGCTCGTTTAGCCTCCACTTCAGTGCAATGAGGTAGTTGTTATCCCTATTTTATAGATGTGAAAACAGAGGCTCAATGAAGTACAGATAGGCTGCTCAGACATAGGCTTCGGACTTGAGTTCTCACCACACGCCCAGGTAAAGAAGAGCCTCCTGGGTCTGCCCAATCTGTGGCATCTGCTGTCAGGAGAAAAACAAAACTCCATTTTGGTCTGCAAAAAGAAACCAGTGGGAAGCAGAATGTCAGCAACATATTTTCCAAAACCAGTTAGCCCTTTACCATCTAATCATTTGTCAGCTGTGGACGATATGAGGTTGTTTTTTGTTTTGTTTTGTTTTTTTCCCCCAATCAGTTTAAACTGAAAAATCTGGATGGATTCCCATCCCCGGTTCCCTGCAACTTTGGCTTTTCCTATCACACAGTTATGTCGGCTCCAAGCTGTTCTCAGCCGCTGCCTGGCTGTTCCATCCTTCTTCCTCGGTCACTTCCACTCCTTTCCTGCCGTCAGCACTCAGACAGATGTGAGCCCCTGAGCTTGGAGGTGGGGAACCTAGACTCAGTGCGTGTTTATTAATGAGGCCGCAGAGTCACAGGAAGCAGCAGGACCCTGACCTGCAGCCCCCTTGAATCCAGCCTGATTATAGCTGGTTTCTCCAGACGCCTAATTTCCAGCAAGAAAAGCAGTTGTCTCCGAATCATACCCAGAGAGCTTTTGCAAGTCAGATAACTCCCGACTTCTACTGTCGAGGTTGATAAATTGGCCTAGTGTGATTCACCCCCAAGAATATAGCAGTGAGACGCACAATAGGCTCCTACAAGAAAAGAACCTTCTGACTGCAGATTTTTCAAAGTAAAAGTAAGCCCTAATAATATTTTACTTGGCAGCTTTGTGATGGCTAAAATATGAAGCTGTGACTGCCTTTATGGTGGGGAGCTGTAAGTGGCATTCCTCTTTTTAAAAGTGGTGTTTTTTTCCCCAAAATCACCCAGCTGTCTGTTTCATCCTCTTTTTATTTTTAACCTTGCATTCAACATGGTAAACTTGCCTCAAGTGTCCCTGGTAGTTAAATATTAGAGAAAAAGGAAAGCAAGGCTAACAAAAGAGGTCACATCGTAGCGGGGGCCACAGTCACCCTGCCACGGCTTTGGAGATAAATTCTCTGCCTCTGAGCTGAAAGCAGCACTTTTTTTTCCTGGGCCGCAGGTATCACCATTTTAAAGCATTCTCACGCCAAGGGAAAGGATCGTGCTAAAGGGCTTCTTTCCTGAGTAATTCTCCAGTTTTATTGCTTTGCACCAGTCTCTCACTGCTATAGGTCACTTCAGTTAGCTGCTGTCCTGGCACATGTGGGATAATTTATTAGACATGTTAAAAAGTACATTGTGATGAGCTTGCCAAAAGCTACGGAAGAAACTGAGGCTTGTCTTTTTAACCACAGACGAGGGGCTGTATGAGATCTTTGATGTCATGAGCAACTACCTGGCCCAAGTCAATGTTCTTTTCATGGATGCTCCGGGGAATAAAGCTGTTAAATAAGAAAAATACAAGCACAAAGGAGGCACAATGACCATGTACCATACTTTGGATTTGGAAGCAGGTGGAAGGGAAACATCACTCTGTTCACAACCAGAACTTTTCCTACACTTTAATTACTGTGCAGTATGAGGATTAGTCAATTTCACATAACACTTCCAGGTACTTGAAAATTCATTTCTGATATGAAGTTTGTTTATAAGACAGATACTCTTGGGATTTTTAGCACATGCCTAAAATCAGATCAGTAGCATCTTGCCAGCATCCTCTCTCTGGCATGGCTAAGTGAGCCATAGCAGTCTTATCAACGATCGCACTGACAGATCCTGCCTATGATTCCTTGCCTTGCCTGTTGTCCATTGGCACATCTTTCATGTGATCACAAAATCAGGTCAGGTTTTCAAAATGCCATACATTGGGCTTTTCTTAGAAGATGGGACAAGAGAGCAAAACAGAATTATTTTTTAGGATATGACAAGTGGCCCATGGTGAGTCTAGATTGCATTTTTTATTGTCACGACACAAATAGGTACAACAGCATTTGAATTTTAAATCTAGGGAAGTTGTTTCCAGTCTCTAATGGGCATCAAAATCACCTGGATCATTAACAGATGAGCAGATAGCAAATTGTGGTATGGTCTCACTTGCAATGGAATATCATCCAGCCATAAGAAGGAATGAGGTTCCGATGCATGCTACCATGTGGCTGAACCTCGAGAACACTATTCTAAGGGAAAGGAGCCAAACACAAAAGGCCACATGGTGTAGGATTCCGTGTACATGAAATGAACAGAACAGGCGATCTGTAGAGACAGAAAGCAGATTCGTGGTTGGCAGGGGCTGGGTGGGGAATGGAGAATGAGGAGTGATGGCTTCATGGATGTGGGGTTTGTTTGAGGGGTGGGGGGAAGTTCTGCAGTTAGTAGTGATGGCTACACAACATTGTGAATGTGCTGGAAAAAAACATTGGATTACATATTTCGAAGTGACTTAAAGGATGAATTTTATGTTGTGTAAATTCAACATCAATTTAGCAAATCGTCTGCAGAGCTTATTAAAATACAGGTTGCTAGGCCCCTACCTTGAGTTTTCTGACTTAGTAGGTCTGAGTGGGGCTTGAGAATGTGCATTTCTAGAAAGTTCCTGGTGCTGCTTGTCCTGGGAGCACACTTTGAGAACCACTGGTCCAGGCATATGTGGGATCACAGCAGGATTTGTCTCCTGTGTTTAAATCGGTACATTGAGGATTAATCAATCACCTTCTGTGTTTCAGCATTCACTGCTGGTCATCCAGTGCTGAACTGGCACTGGTAATAAAGAAAATGGTTTTTAGTACCTGAACGTGGAATCATAAGAATTGGTGAAATCTAGTACTGCCATCCCCTAACTGTGAACTGTCAAATCCCTTCACCTCATTTGCAAATGGAGCAATAATAACTGTTTCATTGGATTGTTCCAAAATTTTAAATTCAAAAAAAAGTATAAAAGAAGAAAAATATTACCATGAGAAAGCACCACCATATCACCTAGCTAAAAGCAGGTACTCCATAAATAGTTATGCCAAAAAAATTATATATTTTAACTCAATTACTAGTCTTGGGAATTTATAATGTTGTGGCCAGAATATGGTGACACATGAAGGCAGCGAGAACTTACAACACAGCCTTGGACTGCACAGTTCCACTCAGACTCCATTTATGTGGCATAAAAGATATGTTTCTGGGGGTTTGGGACTTCAAAGACCGTTTCTGGAGGAGTGGAATTATATGGGCCTTGGAGAACGGCTGGAGAGGAAATGAGATAGGAGGGTGGGCACATCCCTTAAGGAAGGAGCTTGGCAAGGGGGGCATGGGACCAGGTTCAGGTCATATTGGAATTGGGATCCTCTTCAGTGCTTTGAGTATAATAGACACTTGAAAACTATTGCTCCATAAGTGAGTGAATAAATGAGAGAGTTGTGAATTTGCCACTCAAAGTTGTATTCTGCCATCATCAGAGGTATGTAGGCAGAGTCAGCACCTGGGGAGCAGGTGATGCACCTGGCCTTGCTGAGCATTGGCACCTGCTTTGCTCTAGGCACTAGGTAACCAGTGGCTACTTAGGATGTAGAAAATATTCTAATATGTGTGGATTAAGATGGTGTTACCATTAGAGGAATCTAATATTCGCTACTGGCAAATTTCCCTTATCTCTTAAGATTTGAAGTAATTTTCATTTATTAAATTTTTTGTATTGGGGGGCAGTCATTGGGTTTGCTGTAAGTTTTCCATACTTAGTTCTGTGTCTTGATCAAATGAGACTATCTTAGAGCAGCAAAAGGGAGATGAGGAGCAGACCTTTGCCTGCTTAAAAAGCAGTTTGCTTTAAAAAAATAAAAAGGTGGGGGAATAAGGGTTTGGAGTTCTTATGAAAAACACCTTTAAATCTTTAATCCATCTTGAGTTAATTTTTGTAAATGGTGAGAGGTAGGGGTTCAGTTTCAATCTTCTGCATATGGTTAGCCAGTTATCCCAGCAGCATTTATTATTGAATAGGGAGTCCTTTCACCATTGTTTATTTTTGTCAATTTTTGTCAAAGATTAGATGGTTATAGGTGTCGGGGTTTATTTCTGGGGTCTCTATTCTGTTCCATTGGTCTATGTGTCTGTTTTTGTACCACTACCATGCTGTTTTGGTTACTGTAGCCTTATAATATAGTTTAAAGTCAGATAATATGATACCTCTGGCTTTGTTCTTTTTGCCTAAGATAGCTTTGGTTATTCAGGCTCCTTTTTGGTTCCATATGAATTTTAGGATAGTTTTTTCTAATTCTGTGAAAAATTACATTGTTATTTACATTGTAATCTGTACATTGCTTTGGGTAGTATGAACATGTTAACAATATTGATTCTTCCAATCCATGAGCATGGAATATTTTTTTGTTTATTTGGGTCATCTCTGATTTCTTTCAGCAGTGTTTTGTAGTTCTCTTATAGAGAACTTTCCTCTCCTTGGCTAGATAGATTCCTAGGTATTTCCTTTTTCTGTGTGACTATTGCAAATGGGATTGTGTTCTTGATTTTGTTCTCAGCTAGAACATTATTGGTGTAGAGAAATGCTACTGGTTTTTGTACATTGATTTTGTATCCTGAAACTTTACTGAGTTCATTTATCAGCTCCAGGAGCCTTTTGGCAGAATTTTTAGCATTTTCTATGTATAGAATTATATTGTCAGCAAAGAGAGAAAGTTTGACTTCTTCTTTTCCTATTTGGATGCCTTTTATTTTGGCTTTGGCAAATAATTTATGGCTGAGTCCCCAAAAGCAATTGCAACATAAACAAAAATTGACAAGTGGGACCTAATTAAAGAGCTTCTGCACAGCCAAAGAAATTACCAACAGACAGCCTACAGAATGGGAGAAAATATTCACAAACTATGCATCTGACAAAGGTCTAATATCCAGAATCTACAAGGAACTTAAATCAACAAGTAAAAAACAAATAGTTCAATTTAAAAATGGGCAAAGGACATAAACAGACACCTCTCAAAAGGAGACATACAAGTGACCATATGAAAAAATGTTCAACAACACTAATCATCAGGGAAATGCAAATCAAAACCACAGTGAGATACCATCTCACACCAGTCAGAATGGCGATTATTAAAAAGTCAGAAATAACAGATGCTGGCAAGGCTAGCCACTGTGGAAAGCAGTTTGGCAGTTTCTCGAAGAACTTAAAACAGAACTCCCATTTGACCCAGCAACCCCACTACTGTGTATATATCCAAAAGAAAATAACTCATTCTACCAAAAAGACACGTGCCCTCATACTTTCATTATAGCGCTATTCACAATAGCGAAGACATGGAATCAACCTAGGTGCCCTTCAACAGTGGATTGGATAAAGAAAACGTGGTATGGAATACTACACAGCCATCAAAAGAACGAAATTATGTCCTTTGCAGCAACATGGATGGAGCCGGAGGCCATTATCCTAAGCAAATTAGTGCAAGAATAGCAAGTCAAATACCACGTGTTCTCACTTATAAGTGGGCACTAAACATTGAATACACGTAGATGTAAAGATGAGTACAACAGACACTGGGGACTATTAGATGGGGGAGGATGGGAGGGGAGCAAGAGCTGAAAAACCACCTATTGGGTACTATGCTCACTACCTGGGTGACAGGACCCCAGACCCCAGCATCATGCAATATATCCATGTGACAAATTTGCACATGTACCCCTTCATTGCTAATAAAAGTTGAAATTATTTAAAATAAATAAAAATACCTTCAGTCATTCCCAGTGCCTGGCCCATACAGAGGCACAGCTCCCAGTGTATTGACACTCCATGGGATCTTCTCACCATCAGCATGACCTTGACCTATCTAAGAATGATGCCAAGTAGAAAATGGGTTGCCTCTCTGGGTGTGTGTCTGCAGGAAGAGCAGACTGTTTCCCACTGTTGAGTAAGTTCCTCCAGGCCAGTCCTGTCTGCAGACACTTGTACCAGCTCTTTCCCGAGGTGCACTCACACCTTCTTCCCTTCGGGTGAGGGGCTCAAATGACCCTCTTACTGGTGAGGTTTCCTGGTGAGGTCCACTGTCCCTAAAAGTTCAATACACACCCTCTTCCCTTGCTCTTTTATTTTTTTCTCCTTAATTCTACTCTTTCTAACTCATTCTGTTCCCTTAGCTTGCCTATTATCTGTTGGCCCCACTGAATGCAAGCTCCATGAGGGCTGAGATTTTTTTGTTCTCTTCATTCCCATATCCCCAAAGCCTAGAACAATGCCTGGCACCTAGTCGGTGTTGAATAAATACTTGGGGAATAATGGAATGATGTGTGATAGGCTGTTCTGATTTTCTTCCTCTAAAGCCTGACTTCCTCTAACTGCCCAAATAGGGTTCATAAATATCCTATCAGAGTGAATAGTCACCTGCCTCCTTGCTGAGAAATCATGAAAGGATGGGATGAGTAATGACATCCTACAGGTAGAAAATACTTCTCAGCCTCATCACCATTCGTCATCAAAAGTAAGTTCTTGAACAATAAACGAGGCATTTTTTTCTTCATTACATAGAGGAAATGGTAGCGATATTGGCTGACCCAGTCCGAGGAAATGGCAGGAATGTTTGTGGAAGGGCTGCTGGACTCCCCATTGACCTTGCTGGGTCGCCTGAGCAAGTCAGAAAAACCCCAGGTTGGTGGGAAGAGAAGCCACTCACACCTGCTCATGGCTGGAGCTGTCACCCATGGTCAGGAGTTGCTGGAAGTTTGAATTGTCCTGACCTGGAAGGCAGGCGGCATGCTGGTGAGCTCAGGCCATGTGGAAAGGAGCCCTGAGAAAGGATCTGTTCAGTGTTGGTGAATTCATCAAGACCTCATTTCGCATCTGAGGAGGACATCGCTACTTTCCTTTTAAAACAGAGGCATCCCTGAAGAATTAATGCTAGGATGCTGTTCCTCAGAGCAAGGTTGAAAACCCGTGAATTGGATGACGACCATTTATGTATGCATGATTCTAAATGAGAAAGAATTTTGTTAACACTTGGGAGTTGTCCTTCAGCAGAATGAGGAAAAGCTAAGGGAAGTAGAAATAGATTATTACACAGATCACTATACAGTCTGACAACACCCAATGCAGACACAAAAATACAATGATGATCTTTGCCAATGATGATCTGTTCTGTTCTCCTCTCCTACACATTCTGAAGTTTAAATCCTGGACTTAAACTGTTCTCCTTCATCCTATTTGGATGGGAAACCCCCAAAAAACCCAATGTTTGTGTGTTTGTTGCTTTGAAAGGAATGAGATGGGGAAGGCATGTCTGAGCTTAGTGAACGGAGCTGGTCTCAGCTCTCCAATCCCTGGGGTCTACGGACGTTCTCTGCTCCTTTGGGAAACAGGCCAATTCAGACCACTCTTTTCCAGGCTTCTCTTAATTGCTGTGATTCTGGCTATAAACCCTTCCTGAGACTTAACATTTATCCTAGAGTCTTTCCTAATTAACTCTAATATTTTCTAGAAATCACTTCCCTTCTAGAATGAACTGATAATGGTTTGTCACAGAACTAAGTTGCGTATCACTGAGTGAGAATGATGTTTCATCTCCTAGATCAGGCCTGGAGACATATATGTCCTAGGAAAACTCTCAGATACAGAAGAAGTTTCCATCTGTACCTCCATGAAATTGATTTTTATTTCTTTCTTTCTTTCTTTTTGCAAAGAGAAGAACTGCTCTTAAGTCCCTGTGTAATATACCAATTACTTCAATATAATACCCTTCTAAATTGCAAAAACATTATCATTTTTCTTGTGAATCATTGTTTGAACCTAGTTAGTATATTTTGATACCAGGAATAACCAGTCTGTCTGCCAGGGGAAGTTACAAAGATTTCAAGATTGTTACAGCACTATGAGTAAGTCCTGGTATGTTGCCTTTGCATCCACAGAGGAGCACTTTCATTTATTAATTTATTTGTAAATTAGAATTATTAATATACTCCAGAGTTAATAGCCCGAGGTTGATAGAAACCACTTGGAGGGAAAACTAATGCAGGAACAGAAAACCAAATACTGCATGTTCTCATTTATAAGTGGGAGCTAACATTGAGTACATATGGATGCAAAGAAGGGAACAACAGACACTGGGAAAGGAGAGGATCAAAAGACTCCCTGTGGAGAACTGTGCTTATTGCCTGGGTGATGAAATAATCTGTACACCAAACCTCGCTAACATGCAGTCTACCTACATAACAAACCTGCCCATGTACCCCTGAACCTACAATTAAAGTTAAAAAAAAAAAGTTAAGGGCCAGGCTTAAAGGCTCATGCCTATAATCCCAGCACTTTGGGAGGCCGAGGCGGGCAGATCACCTGAGCTCAGGAGTTTGAGGCCAGCCTGGCCAACATGGTGAAACCCCATCTCTACTAAAAATACAAAATTAGCCAGGCATGGTGGTGGGCGCCTGTAATCCCAGCTACTTGAGAGGCTGAGGCAGGAGAGTTACTTGAATCCGGGAGGCGGAGGTTGCAGTGAGACACTGCACTCCAGCATGGGCAACAGAGTGAGACTCGGTCTCAGAAAATGAAGTTAAGAAAAAATAAATACCTGGTCATTAAAAATCTGTGCCTAATAGTATGCCTTATATACTTGGGGAAGAAAAGGGAAACCACTCGGAGAGGATGGTGCAGTGTTATCAGTTTGGTCCTGGAAATCAGCATGATCTCAAAATTCACCAAGCTCAATCATTAAGTGGCCGCTGGTCTACCATCATCAGGGGAGCGTAGCAGCTTGCGTTGGTTTGGCCAATTGATTGAGATCCAGTTCTAATGTCATCCTTATAAATGTCTCCATTGGGAGAGGGTGCTTGGGTTTGCTGGACAGCAGCCCCTGCTCCCTCTCTAAGTAATAAAACTTTCTGGGTTTCTGGCATGCTTATACCTTAATAATCCTTGCTGCCTCAAGACATGGGAAAATGCATTTGTAAAAAGTGAGACACTCTGTGTATGTTGGATAACACTGGCTGCTTTGGAATCAAACCCCAAATGCTCAGTGGGTTACCATATTAGAAGCGTGTTTTCCTTCTGTATGATGCTCTGAGGCTCTAGGCTGCAGGTGGCCTTCCTCCATACAGTGAGTTAGGACCAGATGCCATGCCTGACACCTCCATCTCCTAAAACCGTGGGATACTCTAATCTCAGCTGGCAGATGGGGAAAGAAAGGATATGAAGAAGGAATACTCGCTTAAATACCATCAGCCAAAAGTGACCTATATCACTTTTGTTCATGTTCTAGTGCCAAGAATGTCATACAGCCCACCCAGGTACATGGGGGCTGGGCAGCCCTTCTAGAGCACAGAAGGGGAGCATAACTTTGCTGGGGAGTTGGCTGACCCTGCCACACCCGGTTGTTTAGAGGCACCCGGTTGTTTAGACCCTGCCACACCGTGGAATTTAGAGACAAGGGTAAGACCTGCATTTCTGGATCACCTCCATTCTCTTACAACTGTGCTGGGGGAAGATAGGGACTTGGCCTTTATAGACCTGAATGCCAGCATCAGCAGGCCCTGCCCTACAGTGGAACCATGTGTCCTTGGAACCATGGAATTAATAAACACCGTCATTTGTACTCTTTTCTTCTTTGCACTTTCCAATAAGGACATTGTTATGTGTTTGTATTACAAGCTACAGTCCCTACGAATTCACTTTTCGTAGCATCATTTCACCCAGAACTATTAATAATGTCTTTAATGAGACTCTGCCTGAACTTATTGATTTGAAAACCATCGAAAGATCATTTCTTTTTTGATAAAGCACTTCTTCATCAGCCGCGTTGGCACTGTACGGAATGGATGTCGGGATGGAACTGAATGTGCCTCACTTGACACTGCATATCTGAGTTTTTTGATATGCATTGTTCATTGAGACCACCAGTGAACACCTGGGCAGATGTGGCCAGTGGGTGCCTTCTTGTGGGCACAAGAAGGGCAGACAAAGCCATTCCATGCCCTGTGACTTACTGTTCTGGGCTCTCCTTTCTCAGGTACCCATTTCCCATGGTGTTCAGCAGTTGCAGCAGGAAGGACTTGGAGACCAGCCTGGAGAAAGGAATGGGGGTGTGCCTGTTTAACCTGCCGGAAGTCAGGGAGTCTTTCGGGGGCCAGAAGTGTGGGAACAGATTTGTGGAAGAAGGAGAGGAGTGTGACTGTGGGGAGCCAGAGGTAAGAACCATTCCCAGAACAAGGATACAAGAAGACTTGTATCCTCGGCTAGGCAAAGAAGAGAGAACTTGGAGGAACTGTACAGCCAGATGAAAGTACTAGAACTCAGGAAGGAAGAGTCCTATCTGCCCATCCTGAACAAGCCCCGTGAGCTAGGGTGGCTTTCTTGAATTTTAACTATTGCATGGAATAAGTGATCACTTCATTTAAAAAGATAAATAATCTTATCGAAGGGTACAGCATTCTCAGCAAGATGAGGCCAAAAACAATAAAAAAAAGTGTTTAGCTTTGAGTTTGACAGAGAAGAAAGCCCTGGAATTCTAGCTTCAAATAGCTAATAAGCACCATTTCTTTTTCTTCATAAGGTGTGCTACCAGAGGGGAATCTGAATAAGCAGCATTCATTTTTAACCAGGAGCTTCCTCTGCAGTTGAAATTCTGCCTTGCTGCTGCAGACGCCTCTGTATGCATGACTTGAGGCTTCTGCCTCTCGAGCTTGTAGCTTTCAGAAGCAATAAGTGAAGGCAGGGAACGTTTTTATCTAGCACAGGGCTTAACCCTGTTTTCCAGCCAATATCAGGAAATGTCCTTGTTTTAATAGGGCCCAAGATAATCACTATAAAAATTATAAAAGTCACTTTTTAATCTCTGAATAATCTCAAGAAGGAAAGAGAGAAGACAGCATGAGACCTCCTAGTAAAACAGGTGCCCCCTCGAAGTCTGGAGGAGGTTGTGTTTAGAATAAATCAAAGCAAGCAGTTGTACAGCAGGCAGCCTCCATGTGGGACTCCCTCCCCGAGAGTTTATGCAAGCTGAAATAGTAGACAAGTTCAAGGCAGGCTTAGCTAAATTCACAGATGGACTTAATGAGGGCTTAGGAAGAGCATCTCCAAGGGCTGCTCTGAAAGAGGGAGTTTAGGGTGGAGGAGAAATCGTGTTGAGACTGGCGCATCCGGTATATTCCTGTGTTCATCACACAAACAACTGGCAAACAGAATGTTCATCATATCCCCATCTTCAAGTCTCTGAGGTTTTCCATACCAGGAGGAATGAGCTTGGTCTGACAGTTTCTGCAAGAACGCTGGAAGTATGTAAGTATTGGGTGGGAGTAAGGGGGGATGTGATGTAGAAGTGGTTTCTTCAAATGTTTTTATGCCCTTGCCAAACTCAGAACTTAACCATGATAATGACATTGTCTGGAGGGGTGTCTAATTTTGCTCACCATGAGCAGGGAATGGTTGCTGTGTAGGAGCAAGTCCTAATTATAGTGTTACAGAAACTCTTCTCAAGATTAGCAGAGGAAAACTTAAAACCATCATGGGTTGGGGTATGCAAAGGGGAAATTCCTTGTAGGCCTTGTTAATTTCTTAAAGGAAAAAATGAATTAGTTTAAGTTTCTCACCTTTCTCAGGAGAGGCCATGTTGGCTGAAAATGGTTTGTCTTTGAACTTCTTATGATTGTTTGTTCATCTAAATAAATTTGACAGCTCTTCATGAAGCCATGAACTCTCGGGTTTGGAATGATTTCGTTAGCAGTCATTTACTCCATATGCCACCAGCAGCAGCCACATCACTGCTACAATCACGACCACCATTGCTAACATCACCATCTCCACAATCGCCACCACCACCTCCTCCACCCAACATCATCACCATTTCTCTCATGACCATCATCACCATATCACTGCCACTGCCGCCACCGTCATCACTACAGCCCTCACCATCACCCCACTATTGTAACCACTGCCATCTCCACAGCTACTGCCACCACCGTGGCCACACCAGTATCCACATCGCTACCAGCATCACTGCTACCATCCCCACCCCTATCATTATCCCCACCACCACCATCACATCAGCAAATGCTTGAGTGCCTAAAATGTGTCAGCCACTCATATTCTGATCCTCCCTCTTTTCTCCATGAAGGAGTCATGCGGCTTGACAGGGTGCTGTCTCGCCAGGTGGCATGTTGCATTATAGGGTAGCTTTGATTATTACAAACTCCCTCCTTGTACAGAGCCAAACTGCTTGCATGCAGTTACCAACTTTGTATTTCTGCGGTTAAGGTCCTTATTTTGTAGGATAACTTCTTGATATTTGAAGATAGCTCTCATTCCCCTCATCCAAAGTTCTTTCTTTGAAAGTTACAGGTGAGCCTTTTGCCTCACTTTTTAGATTTGCTTTTTTTTATTTTTTGCTTTTCAAAAAATAGTTTCAAGTAGTTATTATTAGAAAATAATAGTTTCAAGGTTCAAACTCAAATTGTGTTTGGCAGTGTGACAACCTATTTACAGTTTCCAAACTGCTTTGCCTAAGAATTTTAGGCAAAAAGACTTGTTAACCTGGGTTCTTTATCCCCCTACCCAGTGCTCAGGCCCTGGTTATTCTGCATGCCCTTACATCAGATTGACCTGGCCATTCCCTGGCCCACAGAGGGACCCAGTGTGTTACGACATCAGGGAAGGAGTAGTAAATGGGATCCGAAAAACAACTGCCAGCACCCAATGGAAACCAGCTTCTCCCTTGCTCCCAGAAATAATCTCCATCATTTTCAAGAAGATGGCTTCTAGTCTTCTCCCAGTTCATTGTGATTAAGAATCTGTGTCTGCTACCTACAACCTGAGAATGACAATTAGGGCTTTGCAGAGAATTCTCTAATGCTTTCATTATTCTTTCTTCTTTGGAGACTTGGTATTCATTGGCTCTGTTGGACTTCTCTATTGAGGACTAAAATAATCAATGTAGCAGCAGATGAAGAATGTGTCTCTTCTGAGAAATATGGTACTGCAGAAGAAATAGATCCTGGGTGGTTTGAAGGCAGGTTGATTGCTGAAGCCTTCCCGGACAGGGCATTGGATTTATATCAACATAAGGAAATCCTGACAACTCACTCATTCTTCCAGCTAACAGGATTGGGAAAGCAGCCTTATCTCCTTGTTTAAAGTCAATAGGATGCCAGTAGCTTGCGAATATCTTTTAAACTTAGTTATCTTTCTCACATTATCATCCCCTTTGAAGTCAGAGCCATTTGGCATGGCTGCATTTCCATTTGAGCTGCTGCTTATATTACTGGGTGATTTGAGAGAGGGGGGAAGATATTTCTTAAAGAATTTTAGGACCCAGATTTAGGATGGCTGATTTAACATGGAATTTCAAGAAAACTTGTAATTTGGTAAATGTGTCATCCATAGAGCCATTTAGACCATAAGGACCAGGATAGCAGTGGTGTGCATTTGATGACACTGATTTAAAAATGCAATTAATGGACTACTTTTTTTAAAAAAAGTTCCTAAACTCTTTTAGAATTGTAAGTCCACAAGTTAGAAACCCTTACTGTCATAAAAGTTACAGCTATGACTTCTGGTTGACAGTTTTATCTTATTGTATATATTACGCATTCTGGATGTTTATAAAGTCCTCAAGCAAATTTAAAATTTAATAACTTTGGAAGTCTGTATAATAGAATCAAATGGAACATCAAATGAGAGCATAATTAGAGTTTTACATAGGATATAGTTTCAGTATCTGGGTTTGCCATAAATCTTCTGGATTATTGACAAAATTTTATTAATTGCATTTATAAAACTCATGATAAATCCATTCAAGAAAGATGGTTTTCAGGAGTAAAGTATTATATTATTAAACTAGTATGTGATTAGCTTCACCCCAGCCAATGGTATATAAATTTTTCAAAGCATATCATATACTGGATAAAATAAAAGAACATTGATAAATTACTCAGTATTAAAGATCTATGAACTGTTCCATCTTATGATAATTACATTTCTTCTAAAATGTGTAAACTGCAGTTACTTGAATGTTCTCAAGTACAAGGACTTCACTTGATAAATGCGTGCAGGCCTTTTGTTGAGAACTGAGCGAAAAATGTCAATCTCTTGTTTTTGTTAGGAAAAAATGGAAGCAATGGGTACGTGTGGAGCACAGCATTATAAAGGAGTTACTTTCTTTTCTCACTTTTGTTTCAGAGAGGACAGTACATCTAATGCTTGAACTATCCATTTAAATCCCTCGCAAATCAATGGGCACAGCCCACAGGCCTCCTGCCGGCCACTTGCTTGTTATAAGGTCCATTTCTGACTTTCCGAGTGATGGAATTGTCAGGCCAGACAACTTACCCGGGCTGCTCAAGGGTCTCATCCACAACCCTGGCGAGATTGCAGGGAATTGTGGTTGAAACCACTGGTTTGACTTCATTTCCTGCCAGTACTCTCTAAATCAAAAAAGGTTCATTTTTGAAGAGTACAGATTGTATGCATCTATGTATATTTTTGATTGGGTAATTTCAAAGTCCTCCAGGGATCCTGATGCAGTCCACTGCAATGAGATCCGCCTGGACACCCCTCTACAGAGCCCCAGTGTACTGCTGACTAGAGTGATGTCCCCAGCCGGCCAGCCTATGTTACAACTGCTTTACCTTTCATGAGGGCACTTGTGTGCTACTGGCTTTTTCCAGGGACTCGTAGACCCAGTTGGTTCATAAAAAGCAGAAGCTTTGCTTTCCTAACAGACGGAAACAGGCAGGTGTGCAGTTCAGGAGCTGGGCCCTCTTGGTCTTTCTTGCTTTTTGCAGCCATTTAAGGTGTGATGTTTGCATTCAGTGAGTGCATACTCCATAAGACCCTGTCAAACAAATGCCATTCCCCTTTCCAGGAATGTATGAATCGCTGCTGCAATGCCACCACCTGTACCCTGAAGCCGGACGCTGTGTGCGCACATGGGCTGTGCTGTGAAGACTGCCAGGTGAGTCACCGGAGCTACAACTTGACCCCCAGGTCGCCAACAGGTTCAGGTGGTTCAGATCTGATGCAGGGCAAGCAGTGTGGCTGGAAGGTTTCCCAGCACTCACCACAGCACGCACCATCCCTCCTTCTCACGCCAGTTGGTGTTACCCACCTCTTACTGTTTAGCTTCCAATCTTGGGGTGAAATGCACGCTTCAGTTGCCAGTCACTTGTGTTTATTTATTTAGGGGCTGACAACTGATCAGACCGATAAACCCTAGTTCAACTTTAAATGCTCCATTTGTGCCGTCAGAGGCACATGGGGTTCTACTATGCTGACAAGAAGAGCAAGGCGAGAACAAGTCCCCATCCACTGTCACTCAGGTTCCCCCAGGTTCATCTTCTTGATCCCGCGGACATCTGCCTGCTGGCTTGTCCCAGAAGTTTTGTATAAACAACTCAATCTTAATGTCCTCCCAAAAGAAGTTGCCACCAACCCCGCCCAGCCAAGAATGGCAGTTTTATACTCTCGCCATTGCTGCTGGCTAGGACTGCGTTTCTTTTGGCAGTTCCATTGTCTCATTATTCAGAGCTGATATCTGAGAGTAGAAGCCTGAGCTTTTGATTCAACAGTTCCAAGGGTAGAGTTTTATTTCATTTTAATTAAGCAATTGATCCTGACATTCTGCTTGCAGGAAACTCCCTCTTAGCTGCCCCACGTGAGCACGGTGATTTAGAAGTGCATTATAACATTTAATGTTCGGCTTTAAAATAGCCTTCATCCTCTTCCTAATGCTGATTAACTTCTGGGGAATGTTATAAGCAGCTGGCTCTCCCTGGCTCCCAGTAACTGGTGAAGGAAGGTGCCTGGAAGGGAGTCGGGGGAAGGGGGAAGCAAGTCTGAGCCTGTGCCCAGGGGATGCCCAAGTAAGGGGAGGGAGGACCACAGGGCAATGCCTGATTGTGGTTCACTTTTAGGTTATGACTTTTTAACAATTGCTTTCGACTTCCAGATCTTCTAGAAGTTGGCAGGGGTCTTATCTCTTTGCGTTTGAGGAGTATGCAGGGAACTAAGCCCAGGACTCGCAGGGTTCCCTAGCTGTGTAGCCTCAGACGGGCTACTCTGAGCCTTAATTTCTTCAACCACAAAAAGCTGAGCCATTGGTCAGATGGCTTCTAACATCCTTTACCTCTCCCTTGTTCTTCTCCTGTTCTTCCCATAAAGCAGTAAAGAGAGAGTTCCAGTTCTATGATTTGACGACTGACTAAAATTGCTATCGTGATTGTGACCTTAAAGTTATTTTTATTAACTTGCCCACACATGCCAACACCATAAATGCAAATGTCCCCTTGAAATGTGTCATAGTGTTGACACCCAGAGACCTTTTTCTTAAGAATCAACCAGGCCAGCAGCCAACGCTTCCCTCCTTCTTCTTCCTCTGAGGTGCCAAGTGCCAGCAGCCAGCTTGTGTGTTTCTTGGAGAACCCTGATGTTGCATGACATTAACCAGAGGCTGCTCTTGGTTGTCCCACCCACTTTAGAGTGGAACAGTGAACCCCAGAACGAGAATCTGATGATTTAATGAGGTATCTCTACATTAGAAGCAACTTCCTTTGAAATCCTCACCCCTTATGTGGGACTTATGGCCTTGTCCACTCCAGCCCAGGAGTAATGCTGAGAGCTGCCTCTCCCTTTCCCCGGGTGCATGTGTCATAAATGGCCCTCTCCTTCCAGCTGAAGCCTGCAGGAACAGCGTGCAGGGACTCCAGCAACTCCTGTGACCTCCCAGAGTTCTGCACAGGGGCCAGCCCTCACTGCCCAGCCAACGTGTACCTGCACGATGGGCACTCATGTCAGGATGTGGACGGCTACTGCTACAATGGCATCTGCCAGACTCACGAGCAGCAGTGTGTCACGCTCTGGGGACCAGGTACGTGGCCGCCACAAGCTCGGCATCAGGAGAGGCACTGGCAGACCTGGGCTGTGGGACTGGGGGCATGTGCTCTGTTTTGGTTAGCCCCCACTCCTGGCGGGCGCTGTCCACACAGCATCCGGTGTGTTCAGTCGGGAGTGATTGACTCCCAGGGAGGGTCTGAGGCCGCACTGGGCATGGGGTGCACAGAAATGGACACTGCCTGGAGCCTGGCCTTAAGAAGCTCAGTGCGGTCCAACAGGAGCTGCAGGAGCACCTACTGTGCGCCCCGGGGGATACAGAAGATGCAGGAGCACCTGTGTGCCCCGGGAGATACGGGAGCTGCAGGAGCACCTACTGCGTGCCCCGAGGGATGGCAGGGATGAATCCACCATGACTCCTGCCCTCAGATAGCATAGCACGTAGTTGGACAGACAGACAGAACTTTCCCACCACCACTGAGATTTTAGTAATGCCCCTTTGTACTCATAAGAGGACCCCAACCAAGTGAGGGGCCCAGGGCTCCATGGGGAAGGCCCTGATCAGACTTGAAGCATGAGTGTGTCTGTAATCAGAAGGCCTGAGAGCAGCAGTGAGTGGCTCTCAAATGGGAAAGTGGGGTGGTTGCGTCAAACAAGAGACCATCAGTTCACCATTTCACCAGTTCAGGCTGGGCACTTGGCACACTTTGTCTCTTCTGACCCTCCAACAAGCCCCTGAAGTGGGGACTATGAAGCTTTACAGAAGATGATGCTCAAACTCTGAGACCAAATGTCAGTTTCCCCAGGTCTCCGGGCTAGGATTTGAACCTGGGTTACTGTGACCCAATGCCCATGTGTTACTCCCACAATGCACAGTCACCCTGAAGAGGGAGGTGTTGCTCTAAAGCTCCACCAAAGCTCCAAAATGAAGCAGAAGCTCAGATGCAAAAGGGAAGAATCCATCCCCTGCGTGTCTCTCCTCCATGCCCCACCTTCTGGGGTCAGAGATCCAAGGCCTCATTGGGCAGCCCTGGACTCCAAGGCCCCGTCACCCCAGAACCATTTGAGATTCAATGCCTGTGTCCAGCTCCCAGGAGTCCAACCGTGAAATCCACAAGTGCAGGCCCCACCCTGTCCTGCAGTTCTCTTTCCCTTATGATAATGTGGTTGAGTCCTTTGTCACTCCCTCCTCCTGCTGGCTGCAGAAATGACCTCAGCCCAGGCCAGAGACCCCAGCTCTGGCAAGGCCTCTTGTGGTCGGCCAGGCCCAGGCTGAAAGCCAAGCAGAATCAGGCAGGATCTCTAGCGGGAGGGAAACCTGATAGGACCTTTGTCAGACTTTTGTTGTGAGGCTTTGGTTTTAGGAGTGATGAGGGAAATAAAGTGGAACAGAAATTGATGACTAAACCTCGAAGCCTGGGTTTTCAATGGAATGTAAAAGCCACGCCCAGGCATGGAAAACAAGATGGATGTCTCTCGGAGCTGGGTCCTGCTGGGAGGCCCATGTCCCCTGCCAGCCAGCGATGTCCTCTGTACTTGGAGCTTTCTGGGGGGGAAAAGAAAGGGCAGCTTGGTAGCAAGGAGGGACGAGCGCAGGCCTCTTTAGCTCGGCCTCTGAGGAGTTGTTCTGATGCTCCTCAGCACTCAGGGATGCGCGTGGGCAGGTGGGATGGGGAGGCCTGCAGTTCCCGGGCCCTTAGTACTTCATCCTTGGACCCTGAGCAGCCCTCAGTCCTGGCATCATCGCCTGCTGGGCCTTGGGGCACCCTGGGCAAAGCAGGGGGCAGGAGCAGTGGGGGACACCCTGTTGCAATGACAAGGACTAAGCCAGTACTCGCTATACACATTGAATGGTGTTTGGGCTTGACATGGTTTAGTGACTTCAGGCAGCTTTTAGCCAACTGAGGTCACTTTGGGACTGCGGCTACTGCTGCAGGCCAAATCTTCATGGCTTCAGGCATCCCTAGTGCCGTCCCCGTCCCAGCCTTTCTCCAGAATCAGCAGTCTCCTTTTCTTGAGTTACAAGGGCTGTGATGAAGCTCCTTTCCAAAAAGCATTTTGTGGCCAGAGCACACACAACACTTGGAGCTTTGGGAGTGAAATGTGTTCCTTAATGCCCTGCCGTATTCGAACAGCTGGCCCCGTTTCCAGAGTGAGGTCAGAGGGAACTCGACAGTGCTGTCTGAGCCACCCCCATTGTGTGACTCAGCTGGCTGTGTGCCTCTGATTCATGGTGACCAAAGCTGGTATTTATTATCTCATCAGTCTAGTCCTTCTGTAGCTGCCTGACCAGAGAGAGAACCAGACAGGCAGACAGACTGACAACCTGACCCACAGACTGAGCTTTTCAAAAGCAAGAGCAATAGGAAGTCACCTGCTTGGGCTCTCATCATCCCCATGATGGAGGGGGAGGCTGGAGGTCTGAGCACCCAGGTAGCCACGTCCTCTTCCTAAGGAGGGGGCTTCCCTGGGAGCTCCTGGCTTAGCTCTACTCTCTCCCACCCACTCTCTCCCTGGTAACCAGGAGGCCTTTGCTGGGGTGGTGGTGGGTGGTGTCGTGTGTGGCCACTGCACACAGCATGGAACATCCATGGCATCAGGACTGTTGGTAACAAATGTAAAGTTTTGGTGAAGAGGCTTTATCTTTGGCTCAGGGTTCCTGAAAGCCACAGCACAGAGACCAGGCTTGGGAAGCCACCTCGGGCTTGTGACTTCCTGGGTTTTGGTCTGTCCTGCCCGCCCCTCCTCAGTTCTTCAGATCATTATACAGACTTCCTTGGGAGAGCAGAGAGCAGGGAAGGCTGCAACCCACTGTGGCCCTTGATGCCAGGGAGCTCTTGGAATGGGCCTTTGACCACCTCCTTTGGGAGTGCAGTGTGCTCCTTCCTCCCCTTGTCGGTGTTTCCGCCTGGTTTCCAGTTTACAGGCGCTGTGTGAGTTTCCCATGGCTACTGTAACAAATTAGCACAAACTTAATGGCTTATAAATGCTTCATTTTACAGTTCTGGAGGTCAGAAATCCTGAAATCAAGATACTGGCAAGGCAGCATTGCTTTGGGAGGCTCTGGGGAGCATCTGTTTCCTTGCCTTTCCCAACTTTTAGAGGCCACTTGCATTCCTTGGCTCATGGCCCCTTCCTCCATCTTCGAGGCCAACAGCACAGCATCTGCAAGTCTCTGTCCCTCTCCGACTTCTGCTTCTGTAGTCACATCCCTTTCTCTGACACTGACTCTCCTGCCTTCCTCTTATAAGGACCCTTTTGATTCCATCAGGCTCACCCAGATTGTCCAGGGTGATCTCCCCACCTCAAGATCCTAAAAGTAATCACATCTTCAAAGTCCCTTTTGCCATGTCAGATAACATGTGCATAGGTTTTAGACAAGGATGTGGGCCTTTTAGGGGAGCCACAGGCATTGAACAGACCACTTACTAGCAAGGGACCTTCTGCAAATTGCTCAACCTTGTTATGCCTCATCTGTAAAATAAGGATAGTGATCTACCTACCCCAAGGGTCTGTTATGCTCCAACATAGCCTATAATCTATTCCATGTAATATATGTGGTTCTATGCTAGATGCAGAGCTCCTAGTAAATCTAAACTCTATAAATAAGATGCAGCTGCACTCCCAGGAAGCTTAGACTAGTGAGCAAGGTACTCAAATCCTTGGGGTCTGTAAAACGGGCTGTAAGAGGGTCATGGGCCAGATATGTTGGGGTGGAGGAAAGCAGCCAACTAGGAGGCTTTGAAGACAAGGTTGCCGTGGAATAGTGGTTTGCCAGGGGTGGAAGAGGATGGATATTTCCAGTATACAGAACAGCAACAGCTCAGGGCACAAAGGGACAGTGGGGCCAACCAGGGCAAGTGCAGGTAGTTCTGTGTGTGTAGAGCTTGGGCTGTGCCTTGAAGAGCAGAGATCCTCAACTGCCACACCATTCTCTCATTTGTCAAGTATTTGTTGATGTCCTGCTGTGTGTAAGATGCTGACTCAAGAGCCCCGACTCTGCCAGAGTGACACACTTCCCACAGTCCCTGTGCACTCCTGCCTGGATCTGGAGGGGAGGGCGGATGTGAATCCTTCACAATATCCTCCCGGGAGGCATGGATCCCGGACAAATGCAGTCCTGGGAGCGGAGGTGACTTCCTCAGCCAGGCCCCTGGCCAGCCAGATATACCATTGAGAACATTTCAATGCTTTGTTGTAGTGGTTGGTTTGAATTAGCTTTTCATGATTCAGAAAGGAAAACTTATTGTCAAGTTTGCATTTGCAGTATTTCCCCACCCAGGAGCAAATGCTTCAGGATCTGGATCACGTATGCACTGGGGTCATCACAGGCCTCCTGGGAAATGTAGGAACTCAGAGCTCTAAGAGTCCTTGAGTCCTTGCCCCACCGGCCCTTGACATTTGCACCCCAGTGACCTTGCCCGAGTTGCTGAGTTGCCCAGAATTCTCCAGTTACATTCAGGATGTCCATTACTCACCCTCCAGATCTGGCGACCCAAACACTGACTGGACGAAGCCCTTCCTTCCAACTAATGATTCCCTTTTGAAATGGGCTTTTCTCAATCTGGCGTTATATTTCAATAAAACAATCCTGCTTCCAAATCTTTCTACAAATAAAACAACAGAAAATTCAAAACACATGCCTGCAACTTCTAACTGGCAAAGCAATACACTTTGAGAATGCCTTTGGGTTTTTTGTTCATTTATTTGTTGTTCTAATTGTTTTTGTTGTTGATAACGTACGTTCTCGTTGGCTGAGAGTATAATTTTTTTCTCACTGATTTTTGTCCCACAAATCTGGTATCTCAAGACTTCCTATGTTGATTTCAAACATACAAATGTTATTCACAGTTCAAACTGTGTGGTTGGCGTTTAGCTCTCTTTGCCCAGTTTAGTCTTAATATCTACAAAGATTTTCTGTCAATATGACATGACCTTTACTCCTTCTGAAATATAGCTGGATATTTTTGTTTAGGTAGCAAATTTACTTTTACCAATGTTTTTTGTGAGAACCACCAGCATGGTTACTGAAAATATTCCTTGGCAATTAATCTTACAGATAACTACACATCTATAGTCACGAACAACTGGCATCAGAGAATTCCCGAAATGTGTTAGTTTTTTCTATTTTATCACTCACCAGAATGCAATGTTTGGTTTCTGCAGTGTGAGCTGACCAGACCATTTTTATGGGCTGGTGAATACTCAGTGTTTATTTGCAAATCTGGTTTACATGAGCTTGGTTTATTGTGACCCACTTGGGGCAGTGCATTTATGAATCACCTACAACTCCTGTGGCCACAGATGGGAAAAAAAGAGATTTTTGCCAGAAGTCTTATTGTTTAGAAGTCAGGAAAGTCTCCCTTTTGTCCCATCAAGTGAGAAAGAAATGATCAAATTTGTTCATTTGGACTTCATTTTCTGATGAATACAAAGGTCCGTCTGAAGAAGAGAGATGGGAAGGACAATACAGTCTCCAGTTGTCTGTAAAAATGCCTTTGTCTGTGGATGTTAGTGGCAGGGGTTAGGGAAATCAGTGACACAGGGAAGGAGGAGCTGATTTGACTGAACTGGGGAAGTACATTTGCATCGTGGAGTCATTTTAAGTAAGATTAGATTGAGTAAACTGTGGGCTTAATTCAAGATGCCATCATTTCTCTTTCAAAAAAAATATAATGACATTGGGAACTTCCAAACTACAATTACAAATATAAGTTATAGCACTCTGAAGATAAAACTGGTAATTAAAATCCATCACTTTCTACATCATTATAAAATATAGTATGGTATCAAAATTCCCTCTGAAAGGCTAAATTTTATCTTTTGATAATGGCAAAATACCTAAGTGTTCCATTATTAAGGACTCAAAGGCTCTACATTGATGTAATATGGTAGTGATAAGAAAACCATTGTCATTCTTTCTAAGAGATGTGAAATCGCTTGTCTTCATGAAGACAGACATTTTTTAATGCAGCAACTTTGAACCAAATCTCTGCCTTTGTAACATCTTACAAGTGGATAGAAGTCATTTGCACTTTTTAAATTATTGACCACTCTGTCTCTAAGATAAATGCCAGATGGCAGCTAACGCACAAAAGCCACGGGAAGCACTCTGTTGGCCCCTCCTCCGCTATCCTGACCGGGATCAGCAGGTTCTGGACAGGCAGGGCGCGCAGAGAGTTGTCTGCGGGCTCCGTGCCTTTGAGCCTCTTTCCTTTAATGATGTTTTCTTTCAGTGCTGGAGCTGCATCTGCTCCCAAGGTCAGCACTCAGCCCCCTTTGGTTTCCCTGCTTATAAGTTTTCTTCCTTAACTTTGAGGGAATAACAATTTACCTTTCCAGGAAGTAAAACGTCTGTCTTTTTATGACCTTACATAAGATCCCACAGTAATACTTCATTTGATGTCAATGAATAAGTGGAAATCCAGAGACATAGAAAAGATAAACCAGCAGACAGCGTTCATTTACCCAGGCTGCTGTGTTTGCAGAACCACAGTTGACTTCCTCCGGGAAGGGCACTGGAGACATGATGTGCTTTCCCCAAATGGCTTTTCACTCATTCGTTCTTGGAACACATCTGCTATGCGCTGGCCCGAGGCAGCATCCCTGCCCACAGGTAGGAGCCCTGGGGCCTCTCAGGAGGCAAAAGCAAGTGTGGTAAATACAAGAGGAAGACAACCTTGGGAGGAGGGAAAGGAGGGCCAATCCCTGCCTCCATGGCAAAGCTGGGGGCAGAGGAGAGCCCTGAAGGACACGGGAGCCCTGGACCCTGATCCAGCTGGCTCAGGCATCGAGTTCCAAGGAAGACACTGACTCCCCTGGCTTCGGTCATGTGCCCAGCATTGACCCGATCATATAACCTGTGGGATGGACCTCTCTGATTCAATCTTATGTGCATACCTCTGCCATTAGATAGGAAAGTTAGCTCCAATTAACTATAAAAAATGGATTTCCCATGGGGAAAATGTTCTCGTTCCTAGAAGAAGGGATATGGGAGAGGTGTTCAACAAAACAATAACCCTGTGTCTCCTACCCCACAGTCCGTTTTCACAAAGTGCTGTTGCTGCTCCAAGCTCCCAGAGCAACCTCCTACCACACAGGTAGATTTCACCCTGGAGGGGTGTGGCCAGTGTGTGGTTCTGGAAGGAGTTGTGCTGAATCACTCTGGCGACCACTAGCTGGCAGCTCCCTGGCCCCAGGAAGTGGCCCAGAGCCCACCATGGTACCATCCTACAACCTAACATTGGAGTTTGGGGCAGCAGGGGCGTGTTGCAAACAGGACCAAGTTCCGGCCGCTGCGTCCTTAGAAGTTTGGTTCATTTGAAACCCCTTAGCCTTTAAACATCCGTGTTCCTCATGGGAGATTTCTCATTACAGCCTGGAGACTCCAGGGTAAGGCACCCTGGCCAACTGGATAAGAGTAAGCATTGTTTTTTTTTTTTGTTTTTTTGTTTTTTTGTTTTTTAATTTTTTTTTTATTATACTCTAAGTTTTAGGGAACATGTGCACATTGTGCAGGTTAGTTACATATGTATACATGTGCCATGCTGGTGCGCTGCACCCACTAACGTGTCATCTAGCATTAGGTATATCTCCCAATGCTATCCCTCCCCCCTCCCCCGACCCCGGGCTCATCATCACTGGCCATCAGAGAAATGCAAATCAAAACCACTATGAGATATCATCTCACACCAGTTAGAATGGCAATCATTAAAAAGTCAGGAAACAACAGGTGCTGGAGAGGATGTGGAGAAATAGGAACACTTTTACACTGTTGGTGGGACTGTAAACTAGTTCAACCATTGTGGAAGTCAGTGTGGCGATTCCTCAGGGATCTAGAACTAGAAATACCATTTGACCCAGCCATCCCATTACTGGGTATATACCCAAAGGACTATAAATCATGCTGCTATAAAGACACATGCACACGTATGTTTATTGCGGCACTATTCACAATAGCAAAGACTTGGAACCAACCCAAATGTCCAACAATGATAGACTGGATTAAGAAAATGTGGCACATATACACCATGGAATACTATGCAGCCATAAAAAATGATGAGTTCATGTCCTTTGTAGGGACATGGATGAAATTGGAAACCATCATTCTCAGTAAACTATCGCAAGAACAAAAAACCAAACACCGCATATTCTCACTCATAGGTGGGAATTGAACAATGAGATCACATGGACACAGGAAGGGGAATATCACACTCAAGAGTAAGCATTGTAAACAGGGCTCTGCTCCATCTTCCTCCCACCTTCCTTGCAAACCCTCACCACCACTACCAAATTAAAGCAGCAGCAGTTTCAGAGGACTGATAAAAGGAAGCAAAAGATCGTATCTATTGGGGCTACCCGTGAGTTAGCCACTTTTCTTCATTCTCCAGGGAAGAGAATGAACAAAGTAGATGACAGGGGCTGGAGTATGCATTCGGGCCTTTGATTCCATAGAGAAATGCATCTGTCCTATCCCCGTGTTTACATGGCTGATGAAATCATAGCCTGCCTCTCCTGCAAATGCCCCTTTTCTTTGCCATGTGGCAGTGAGCCCTATCATTGCTGTGCCTCAGGGACATCACTTCCTGGCCATATTTCAGTGGTAAAGTATGATATGGCATCCCTCACTCCCTCATGTTTTGGGTGAAAGCTCAAATGAATGAAACTCTTAGAAGGTGACCGTTATTGCCTTCCTGGAGGTAGACAGAAAGTTAACCTTTAGAACCTCGCATCGTTCAAGCCACTGGATGAATTAATGGCAGAGTGGAGTCAGTTTTACTGGCCAAACTTCACTGAGATTTATTTCTTGAGGAACTGCTCCCTCAGAGGTTTCCAAGTCATTCTACTCCGAATTTTTCATTTCTTTCCCTGAATCAGTATAGATGCAACAAAAAGCATACAAATATCTGCTGCCTGCCTCCATTGTCCCAGTTTTAAAGGGAAATCTCACTAAGCATGCTCAGGTGCAGGGGGTAGGCCGTGACCCAGGTCAGTTCAGCACCTGAGACATGAGCATGAGGCAGCTGTCGTCCTCACCTGTCAGGAGATTTTTTGGAAAAAGATTTGGTGAAGAAGTTGTTGACTCCATGAGCAGCTGGATTACAGGAGAATATGTTGGTGGTTCCGAAGAGGAAAGGATGGCAGGGACAGGAGTCTATAGTCAAGTAGGGGGTTTCCAAGAGGAAGGCAGCACAGGATCATGGCTGGATCATGGGTTTTGGCTTTAAACCCATGAGACAAACCCAACTTTGCCATTTACATTGTGATCTTCGGCAAGTTGCTAAAACGCTGAGTCTAAGTGAAAATCTCTGAAATGGGGAGAATGTAGACCTTACAGGGTGGCTATAAGGATCAAAGATGATACCGCGTGCTGTATCCAGCACCATACTTTAATTACAAGTGGCCTGCTGATGATCTAAAATGTATCGTTCATTTAAAGTGTGTGTGTTTGTTAAGAGCAAGGAGAGTAATGACAGGAAAATGATCTTTGTTCTAGGGTTGAGTGGCATAAAGAGAAGTCAGACTCAAGGGTCTTTGCCCAGGGTTGCCTGCTGCCTCTTTCAATGTGGCACTGGGTGCTGACTCAGGGGGAGTCTGGAAGCCCAGGCCAGGAGGGTTCCCAGAACCAGCTGGGATTTGGGGGCCGTGGGGAACCACACTCATTGAAAGGAGTAAGGGGATGGGTGCAGGGAAGTTGAAATCCTTGTGCTGGATGATAGTTCTGATTTATATGCAAAGGATGTGCAAAAACTATTAGGGTTTCAGATGAGATTCTCTTCTTTCCTTCTCATTTCCTGAGGCATCTGGTTAGCCCACAGTCTCCACTAGTTGCCCTTAATGTGTAAGGCCCTGGAGACCATGAAGTGTGAGGGAGATGGATGTAAAGCCCCTACTGACGTGATCATGAATCGTTACAGGTGTGGTAAGTGATGCGAGCAGGGGCTGGTACAAGGAACTCTCTTCTCCCCACACACACCCCCAGCCCTAAAGTCCAGAAGCCACACCTTCCCCACAGTCCAAGGTGGTCTTCATTATCACTTGGGTTTCCTAGGGGTCTGCCACATGCCAGGAGCTCTACACACTGATGCACCTCCACAGCACCTTTGAGTCAGGTCCTTGTCCCCATTTTACAGATGAGGGGACAGAACCTCGAGAGCTTGTACAACAAGGCCTTTTGGACATTGAATGCCAGATCAGCCCGAGTTCCAAGCCTTTGTTCTTCCAACTCTGAAGCATGGTTACTGAGTAGATCAGTCAGACAGGAGGGGGCAATCTAAAAAGGCTGAAGACTGATAGGCATTAGGTATTTTTCTTAGACCCCATACATGCCCAGCTATAAAACAAGGCTTCCCCCTGAAAGTAGCCAGCAAAAAGAATCGCTAACCACTGACCTGTCACTCTCTCAGCCACACCTTTTGGATGTCGCAGAGCAGGTGGGAAGGCGCTTTGGCGCTCATCATCCTGCATCCACGCAGGTTCATCAAGGCTGCCTGACAAAATCAGGTTTAAAAAAAGGCAGGTGCATCTATCACATGCTTAAATATTATTCTTCGGCTGTGACTTCATCCCATTTTGGTTATTCTGGTAAAAGAGCTTTTAAGGGTTCACTTTCATAAGCAATAGAGTGGGTGGTTCAGTTGTGGAGGTTATGAATATACACCCACTGGGCTAATAGAGAAAGTGCTCACTTTCTCTATTAAAAAGTGTTGGAAGAGTGGGTACTTGAACCTAGAAACAAGATTTCCAGTGATAACATAACAGAAGAAAAAATGTCAGCATCTTGAGAAAGCCGGAAGTGCAGGGAATGTGCCATGGAAAGCAAGAAGACTGAGACCAGGCCAGGTACGGTGGCTCACGCCTGTAATCCCAGCATTTTGGGAGGCTGAGGTGGGTGAATCACCTGAGGTCAGGAGTTCGAGACCACCCTGGCCAACATGGTGAAACCCCATCTCTACTAAAAATACAAAATATTAGCCAGTCGTGGTGGTGGGCACCTGTAATTCCAGCTAAATGAGAGGCTGAGGCAGGAGAATAGCTTGAACCCGGGAGGCAGAGGTTGCAGTGAGCCGAGATCACACCATTGCACTCGAGCCTGGGCAACAAGAGCGAAACTCTCTCTCAAAAAAAATAAAAAGACTGAGACCAAAGGAAACGTCATCTCAGTAAAATTGTTCCACGGTGTGGGAGAGGTTTTTTTTTTAAGACAATCTAAATTAAAATGTGATTCTTTTAACTGTTTCTCATTAAGTTAATTGACAGCATATTATAAGATGATGCTTGACTGTGTCATCTGTGTTGGTAAAAATTCACATATTCGAATTGGCCACAAGCCTTTCTGAGGGTTTGTCTTTGGGAGAATGGCGGTGCTCCTGAAATGCCAGGTGGCCTTCTGCTGGGGCGTGTACCATGCTTCTGCGTTATTGGTAAACAAGGCATTGCATCTTACACACACCTGGTTTTCTGAGCTGTGCTGCTCCACCAGCATTTGGGGCATTACAATCATAAGCACACCCTGTATTAGTCTGTTCTCACACTGCTATAAATAAATAAATACCTGAGACTGGGTAATTTATAAAGAAAAAAGGTTTAATTGGTTCTTGGTTCTGCAGGCTTTACAGGAAGCAGAGTAGCTTCTGCTTCTGGGGAGGCCTCAGAAAGCTTCCAATCATGGCAGAAGGTGAAGGAGAAGCAGGCACATCACGCGGCCGGAGCAGGAGCAAGAGAGAGAAGGAAAAGGGAGGTGCCACACACTTTTAAACGACCAGATCTCAACTCACTATCCCAAGAATAGCACCAAGGTGATGGTGCTAAACCATTCAAGAGAAACTGCCCCCATGATCCAATCGCCTCCTACCAGGTCCTACCTCCAACATTGGGAATTATAATTCTACATGAGACTTGGTGGGGACACAGATCCAAACCACGTCACACTCTGACCCAGAAGGCTCAGTGTGTTTCAGCTTTGGATTCCCAAGTAGAGATCCAGTGTTTTCACTTCCAGAATGCTTTTATACTTGATTACACACTGTTTCCATGCCTTTGCTTGACTTCCTATCATAACGATAGCCCTTTATCTGGTATTCACGTATCAAGCTTCCCCTTTGCTTTGCCAGTACATTTGCAGCGTCTTCAATCCCTGTTGAGGTTGGTCTCTTTCTCGTCCTCTCTCTCTCCCCCTTCCTCTCTTTGTTTTTATCCTTCTGTACTCCCCAGTCCAACCTTGTCCAACTCTCCTCCCAGGCTGCTGTTGAGCTGTTTGTAAGCTCACGTGTCTGAAACTGCCCAAAGTCTCTTTAGAGCTCCCTATAAGGAAAACAAATGTATCAACTGACATACTTGAATTGTGTCATGGTATATGTATTTTTTAAGTGGTCACAATTCCCAAGAAAGAAATTACTTTATAATAAAGGTAGCAGAATCTAGGACATCAGAATAGCATTGCGTGCAATGGCACAGTGATGTCAACTCCACCCACCCATTTCCTAGGAGCTAAGCAGTCACTAGGAGCTGCTTGTATTTCCGAGTCCTAGCCTTATGAAGTAGGGAAAGAAGCAACAAAGCCATTTCCTGCCCCATTTTCTTAGCCCTTCCACAGGCAGCTGCAGCAGCACACCCCACATCCACTGAACCTGTTGTTGCTTGGGCTGCAGGGCCAGGTCTTAATCTGCTCTCTACACCTGAGACCCAGTGCAGGGTCCAGCACCTGTGAGGATGGAGCACAGGAGGGAACAGCCCAGAAGCCTGGCTTCACCCTTAGATGATCCTGCCTTCGTTACCTATGTGAATCTGAGAAATATATTTAACCTCTGATGTGCTAATTTTCTTGTCCATAAAATGGAATAATGAGACCTACCTTGTAGGATTAAATGGTAGGATTCAGCTCATGATGTCTTCTCTAAGAGGTCTTCCTTGACCAGCCTGCCTTTAAAAGCAACAGTCCCCTGAACCCTCCTACTCTGTTTCTACCTTCATAGCATTCCCTAACACTGGGCTTTAGAGGAACATAATCATTTGGGTCTTTTTTCTGTGTCTCCTTGCAATTTTCAAGCAAGCAGGAGGTTTGTCCAGTTTGGTCCCTCTTATACTCCCAATGTCTGGAAGATAGTAGGTGCTGAATAAATACATGTGTCTGATTGAAGCCTGCAACATGATGGCTGGCTGGCTGGCTGGCTGGATGGATGGGTGGCCGGCTGGCTGGCTGGATGGATGGACGGGTGGCTGGCTGGATGGATGGACAGGTGGCTGGCTGGCTGGATGGATGGATGGATGGATGGATGGATGGATGGATGGATGGATGGATGGATGGGTGGCTGGCTGGCTGGATGGATGGATGGATGGACGGGTGGATGGACGGGTGGCTGGCTGGACGGATGGATGGACGGGTGGCTGGGTGGCTGGCTGGATGGACGAGTGGATGGATGGATGAATGGATAGATGGGTATATAAATGGATGATGGAAGGAAGTAGGAAGGGAAGGAGGGAGGAAAAAGAGGGAAAGAAGGATGGTTGGGAGGGAGATAGAGTTAGGCAAGCAACAAATACATAGGGTGTGTGCAAAAACACAAACAATTGTTGAATTGTTACTATTCTAGATGCCAGTTTTTCCAAACTGCTTTGATCAATCAGATCCCAGTACTTTGATCAAAAGTGCTGCCAAACAGGATTAAATTAAGCACAAAGTGCAGGTTCCACACTGAGGCTCTCCCTCCCCATCCTTCCCTGCTCTGACAGATAGACGAAAGAGAAAAAGAAGGCAGAATGCGGACAAATCAGGTCCCTAATAGGAGCTGAGTGTGTCGGTGGTGTCATCCTACTGTGAGCAAGGCAGATGTGGAACAGATGGAAGGAAAGGGCATGTGATGTGAGGAGCTAGGGACCTCATCTTTCTCCATGACAGAGAATTGTGTCCAGTCTGGGCTAATGCCCCTGAAAAAAGAGATTGCAGAGGCTTCTCTAACATGGCTTATAAAAGAAATGAGAAAAGGAGAGGTGCAAGGCTGGCTCATTGCAGAGATTGGAGCGCTGAGCACACTGTTCACATCAAATGATGGCAAGGTGGTGTGGCACGTGTGTGTTGAATGAGATGATCATGTCTGCTAGTAGCTGATGAGAAGGGATCAGGTGCAGGCTAACGAAGGGGGATGTTTTTAGTAAGAAGAACATCTTCTGTTCCCTGGGACGAGGTATCTTAAATAAATCCGTTGTCACCTTGGAAAGCAAAGCCTCCCCAGGGTGGAGAGCAGAGAAGGGCAGGAGTCAGAGTGAGGCTCTGGAGTGTCGGCATCCTGGCCATCAGAAGCGATGTGAGATAAAGTGCCAAACAGGACACCAATCAGGGAGAGAAAAGGGACCACGCCGCAGGGCATGGTTTGTTCTAAAGAATGTGGCATGTTTTCTTGACTTGCTCAATAGTCTTCAACAGACATCACTATGTCCAGGATTCAGGAGTCCTCCAGAACTTTGGCTGCAAATGCTGATTATATGTGCTCTCTCCGTGGCTGGAAGATGTGCTAAAAATGGCCATTTCTGAGCTCTCTGGCTGCCATGACCCTCTTTGCTGGGAACCGTCATGTTGTACATAGGGATTACCAGGGTTTATGACTCCATGGCCTCTGAGAGAAATCTCTGCCTTGCAAATAAAATAGAAGGTATTAAAAGAAGGTAGTACTTTCTCTTATAGGGAGCTTTATGGGACTAAAAATATCATAGAAGATATCTTCATTGCTCCTTTGGAGCCTGCCCTGGCTTGCATTTCCTCACCGGAATTGTGTGGGATGTTGTTAAAGAGAGCAAACTTCCCCTTCTCTGCAGCCAGCCAGCCAGCCAGCCAGCCAGCCAGCCAGCCAGCCAGCCACCTCCTTTCTGCCCTGGATCAGATCTCATTCCACAGCCAGGCCTCATTTCCTGAGAGGCCACACATGCCACAAGCCCAGAGAGCAGACCTAAGGAAGAGTAAGCATTGGAACATGTGCTCTGCCAGAGGCCGAGTCAAGAGAGGATGCGAGCTGCTGACACCCTAGGCTTCCCCTGGCCAGCTCCCACCATGAGTCGGGACAGACACTGGGTGTGATTGCTTTGAGCACGTCTCCCCGTAACCATTTGAGAGGCCTACAGCCATGAAAAAAAAAAAATCACCTGCAGGAGATGAAAATGCAGTTCTGCTTCTGTTTCAGGTGCTAAACCTGCCCCTGGGATCTGCTTTGAGAGAGTCAATTCTGCAGGTGATCCTTATGGCAACTGTGGCAAAGTCTCGAAGAGTTCCTTTGCCAAATGCGAGATGAGGTATGGAATCCAGACATCCTGGCAAAGTCTTTGCTCTGACCTTCCCACATTGCATAGGGTTGGTTCCAAATGGTTTCTCCTTGGGAATTGTTTGTTCTTACCCTTCCAGAGATGCTAAATGTGGAAAAATCCAGTGTCAAGGAGGTGCCAGCCGGCCAGTCATTGGTACCAATGCCGTTTCCATAGAAACAAACATCCCCCTGCAGCAAGGAGGCCGGATTCTGTGCCGGGGGACCCACGTGTACTTGGGCGATGACATGCCGGACCCAGGGCTTGTGCTTGCAGGCACAAAGTGTGCAGATGGAAAAGTAAGACCCAAATGTTTGCTTGGATCATAAATGTAAGTCTGGAACAGGGCCCATTGAAAAACAGCAAGAACTGGGTTACAAGGTTTGTTGGTTTTCCTAAATCTACTTCTTCTCAGATGCACCTAGAAGAAAAAGTCAATAAATCCTAGATCCTGGTCTGACTATTAAAATGCAGATTGGGGAAAAATCAAGCCTGTCTTCTTAGGCCTTGAGTGTTAATAAGTCATTTCTACACTCCAGGTGGCATGAGGACTTCTAGCCAGGAAATTACTTTGGAAAGAAATACAATCGCATATTCTATTGGTTTTGGATATGTGGCTTGGTTTTTAGCACAGAGTTCTTGGGGGCTTGTCCTCACCTGAACAGAATGGGAAATCAGATGTATTTTTAGAACCCTGTAGAGAGAAGAATAGGAGAGGGAAAGGAGTGGAAGAAACTCAAAACCAGAGGGGAGTCCTTTCAGAGAACAGGGAGAAAGATACATGGAGATATTTTGAGGTTTAGAAATAAAGTCAAACTTTTTTTTTTTTTGGAAGAAAAAAAGAATTTGAGATTTTCATGCTCTGCCATACTGATTTTTTTTTTTTCACCAAACTTTCTCATCAGACTAAATGACAGCAAGCGAATACAATGTTTTAAGAAAAGGATGAAACAACCCCCAAATGCTTCTTAGGACTCCATTTTCAACATGGTCTTGAAATCACTCACTAACATGAGGTCACACAGGCAAGAAAAGACAGAGGCAGAGACAGAATCCTGAGGACAGGTGTTGCCTCCACTCTCCTGTCTTTGGCCCCACACACCCTGAGCCACAAATCCTTTTTCCTTGAGAAATAGGATCGTACATGAATCTTCTTATACATTCTGAATGTCTCCTTACCCACATTTGCTCATATTCAGGCCTTGACATTAAAATGACATCTGATATTTTTAGGCTCAAATCATATTTTGTCTTTTAACTTTTAGGTTCAGGGGTACATGTGCAGGTTTGTTATACAGGTAAACTTGTGTCATGGGGGCTTGTGGTACAGATTATTTTGTCACTCAGATACTAAGCCTAGTACCCATTAGTTATTCTTCCTGATCCTCTCCCTCATTCACCCTCTACTCTCTGATAGGCCCAGTGTGTTTTGTTCCCCTGTATGTGCCTATGTGTTCTCATCATTTAGCTCCTACTTATAAGTGAGAACATGTGGTAGTTGGTTTTCTGTTCCTGAATTAATTTGCTTATGAAAACAGCCTCCAGTTCCATCCATGTTCCTGCAAAGGACATGATCTCATTCTTTTTTATGGCTGCATAGTATTCCATGGTGTATATGTACCACATTTTCTTTATCCAGTCTATCATTGATGGACGTTTAGTTTGAGTCCATGTCTTTGCTATTGTGAGTAGTGCTGCAATGAACATATGAGTGCATGTGTCTTTATGATAGAATGATTTATATTTCTTTGGGTATTACCCAGTAGTGGGTTGGCTGGGTCAAATGGTAATTTCTGTTTTAGGCCTTTGAGGAACGACTGCACTGTTTTCCACAATGGTTGAACTAATTTACACTCCACCAGCAGTATATAAGTGTTCCTTTTTCTCCACAACCTTGCCAGCATCTGTTGTTTTTTGACTTTTTAATAACAGCCATTCTGACTGACACCTTTTTTTTAAACTGTAGCCTGAACAGCCAGGGCCAGGTGCATCTGGACATTCCAATTCCAAGGGCTCAATTTATCATCAAATTTGTTTTCCACGTTCAAGATGAAATGTGCTTTGATCTCAGAACCTTGGTTCTCTGAGGGCTCAGGGATCCGCAGTGATTCCCATGAGGGTCCTGCTGTGTTCACTGTAATCCAGGACAGGTTCTTTTATCAGCTGGAATGTGACCATCCCCTTGGCCAGGATTCGCACCCACCGAGTGGGAATCCCTCAGTGCTGCTTGGGCCAGCGCTTCTCCCAAAGGCTATGCCTCTTGCCCTTATATGAGCTGTTGGGGTCGGATGGTGACCTCCTCAATAGGAAGGTTCTACTTGATTAAAAATTCTTCTGCCATTTGAACGTTAGACTCTTTTTCCTTTGACTCCACGGATTTGTAAAATCTTATAGGAGATAAAGGGCTGCATCCCTTGAGTCTGGAGTATATTATGCACATTTGAAATGAGGCTGAGTTCTTTCAGCCAGCCCAGTATCACTTAGGAAATGCCTACCACTACAACAGCTTGATAAATTCAAGGAGCCGTCTGTTTTCCTCTGCTGAGCCTCGTTGCTGATGGTTTATGTCATTGATGATACTACTTGTCAGTCAGTATCTGGAAAAAGTTCCCATATTTCAACCTCTCCCTTAAAAGACTCTTCAACCCTGGATTCTTGGAGTCTCCATCTATGTCTATCCAGGCCCTGGGATAAGGAGTAATCTGTCTCGCCCTCCCCTATATCTTTTTTTTTTTTTTTTTTTTTTTTTTGAGACGGAATCTCTCTCTGTCGCCAGACTGGAGTGCAGTAGCATGATCTCGGCTCACTGCAACCTCCAACTCCCTGGTTCAAGCGATTCTCCTGCCTCGGCCTCCCAAGAAGCTGGAATTACAGGCACGTGCCACCACACCCAGCTAATTTTTGTATTTTCAGTAGAGACAGGGTTTCACCATGTTTTCCAGGAGAGTCTCGATCTCCTGACCTCGTGTTCTGCCTGCCTCGGCCTCCCAAAGTGCTGGTATTACAGGAGTGAGCAACCGTGCCCAACCTCGCCCTCTCCTGTATCTTTTAATGGAAGAAAAAAATACTGCAGTACATAGATTTCTTTACAAGCTCCAAACAAAACTCATAAGAAAATCAGTTATAATTTTAGGATCAACTGAAAGTTATATTAAAAGCCATAAAATGCAAAATAATTTAATAGTGTTGACATTGAACTTAGTCTCAAAATGTGCTGAGTTTGGAGGAGTCAGGCAATAAGATCCATGCCTGAGTCCAGTATAAAATGTATTGTTATGCTCCATCCGTATTAACTGAGACAAGGTTGGGTCTTCTCCAAGCTTTCTTTTGCTTGCTTTTTGTTTGAATACAGGTATGTATGCATGCTGGAGGGGTTGGAGAAATACTAAGAGATTTGCTGTGTTTTCCTCCTCCTACAGATCTGCCTGAATCGTCAATGTCAAAATATTAGTGTCTTTGGGGTTCACGAGTGTGCAATGCAGTGCCACGGCAGAGGGGTGAGTAGGCTGAGCTGCCCTTTTACAGCCAGCCCATAACAAGTTAAGTAATAATACATTCATTTGTAAAAGGTTTTGCAATCCATAGCATTTTTTAAATAGAGCAGTTATTGTGTTTGAAATATTTTCTTCTAAAGGTATTCATTTCTTTTGACCTTTTCATGTGACTTTTATTTAACAAAGAAAATCAGACTGAGCTGTAATTACCTTTTAAATTAACATTCTATGATTTTAAAAAAGACTTTTGTTGT
Organism: Homo sapiens; assembly: GCF_000001405.40. Taxonomy (NCBI): domain Eukaryota; kingdom Metazoa; phylum Chordata; class Mammalia; order Primates; family Hominidae; genus Homo; species Homo sapiens. The sequence goes on along the minus strand of NC_000010.11, from coordinate 126,045,803 downwards.
TCAAAGTAATTTGAAAAGCAACCTTCCTTCATGAAGAGTTTCAAAATAACATTTCAAACTGTGCTGTTCCTCTTACTACCAACATTCAGAACCAGTGTCTGAACTGAAATATTTCCAAAAGGAATTAAAACAAGGACAACAGATCATATTAAACACATGTTCTTGAAATCACACACAATGGGTTTCAACTAAAGAAGGCTGTTATTTTAGTTCAGAGAACCTTTAGGGTAGAAGAGGACTCTAATTGCTGAAAACATAATTTATTTTTCTTGATGGGCTTATTTCCAATGGAATCATATTAGTCTTGATTAACCACACCAGAGGTTCATTTGTTTTCCTGAAACCTTTCCTACAGAAATCCTGCTCCAAATTCTTTATTTTAAAACTTGTAGACACTTGCCAATGATTCTTACACAGAATTACCGGGTGCATGGGGGGAGGGGGTTGTAAATTACCATCATGCTGGAACCATAAAGGATCACAGTGTCACCTCAGATGGGGGTGTTGACGGTAAGGTTAGCTAACTCCCAATATACAATGGAATCTTCTTATGTCTTCATTGGATCATAGATTATTTTCTGATGGCTGTTAAGAGATGATCAAGTCCAGTCCTATTATTTTACTGAAGAAGCCAGGCCCTGAGCTGTGGGGATGGTGTGCCCAAGGTAATATGGCCGGCAAGCTGCAAGCTGGTTGAGGACCCTGGACCACTCCCTTTCCAATACCCCTTGGCCTTATCCACACATGGGAGCGGAGAGGCCCGCATTTGCTGGGTAGGTGGAGCCTACCCAGCCTTGCTGAAGGGTAGCTTGGCCACAGTCCCACCCTAACAAGGGCAGGCTCCCGGCAGCACCTTCCTGTGGGTTTTAAAACAAGGCGCATGACCACAAGTTGCAGAGAGAAGCCATGAGGGGCAGGCATGAATCTGGGGCTAGTACGTCCACAGCAGCATCTTTGAGGGGACAGGCAAGACACTTACATTTGACGTAGGCTCTGCCACTTGCTGACAAGTTCTACTCAATTTCTGCTTTATAGCAGTCTACTTTCTAACTTATTAAAGCCTATCTTGACAGTCGGCCTTCTTATCTGAAGCAATGAGGGTAGGTGGTTGATTCATCAAAACAAGTCGGTTGAAGCAGGAAAGCATTACATGGGAGACATATACTCTACGCATTTTATTTTGCCTTAAAATATGAAACTGTATATCTGGCAGCCATATTTTGATGGCGGGCTGAGGCCTTTAGGATTGATTTACTGAATGTCATTGTGCATCGACTTCCTGATATAAACCACCCAAAAATGCATCATCAACAACTTCTAGTTCGTTTCTTTTTGTGGAAGGGAACCTTAGACACTCAACAGCATCCAAGAACAGCCTCCTCCTTGTCCTCTGCAGCTCTTCCCAATCATTGTGCAGTAGTCCCACTCATTCCTAATTTTTCAGAAATTCTTTTAGTGATTTCTCTTTTTTAATCCAGTGTTCCCAAAGGATTCAACCTAATTTTTTTTAACTTTTTTTTTTTTTATCTTTATAAAGACAGGGTTTCACCACGTTGGCTAGGCTGGTCTTGAACTCCTGGCCTCAAGTGATCTGCCCACCTTGGCCTCCCACTTGCTGGGATTACAGGCATGAGCCACCGTGCCTGGACTTGACAACCTAATTTTCATAGAAAAAAATATATTAAATATATATCATCTTCATGGTCATCTTCCATTGGATCATGTACTTTCAGTTAGTTACATCTGGCATAATAGCGAGTCCAACCAGCATGGACAGGCTTGGGAGTGGCCGCCATCAGTAGCCCTTGGTAACCAGGTGGGCAGGGGCTGCTGGCCCCTGCATGGAATGCTCTGGTCTATGAGCTGGGCCCAACAAGGGTGAAGCACAGCCTCCTCGGGCTTTCTTGGTCTCCCTTTCCCGCCGTGCCAGAACCATTCTCTTATTTCACAATGAAAAGAATCCACTGTTGGATTCGCACCCTGGTGCGTGACTGGGAGCCAGGGAACAGCCACTGGGAACCTCTGCAAGAAGGAGGCAGGCGTTGCAGGAAGGACACACGGGGACAGGCTTCAGGAAGTATTAGTGGAAATCCCATGCACCCTGCTAGGATTGCAGGAAACAGGATTCCTTTGCTCAGGAAACGGGGGGCCTGCCTCGGACCCCAGCCTGGCGTGGGACCCGGCAGTCACCAGCCTCTCTGAGCCTTCTGTCTGAAGGAGACAGGGATGCGCCAAGCATCTGTCAGGTCCCGCGGTGCCCCAGGGCTCTGGGTCTGTAGCCCCAAAGCACGGTCCCTCCTCACTGCTGAGGGGGCTTCTCCTCATGGTCAGACAGTTTTCCAGATTGAAAAAGGAAGATGGGGAGATGGAGAAGGAAGTGAGGTGGGTGGGGGAGGCAAGCTGATGAACCCAAATAATCTTCATCACTCTCTTTACAGCCACTAATAGGCAGATGATGCATCTTCACAGCCTCAGGTTTGGTCGCCCCTGTGTGGTGTGTAGTGCCGGCTTTGGGCTTATTCGCACCATGGCGTGTGCTGAGTCTGGCTGTGTCAGTGTTGGGGGGGGGCTCTGACCATGGCCCCCCTTGCTTCTGCTGTGGTGATGCACAGAGCATATGCCCTAACCCCACGTCCCTCCCCTCTGCCCTGAAAGGTGTGCAACAACAGGAAGAACTGCCACTGCGAGGCCCACTGGGCACCTCCCTTCTGTGACAAGTTTGGCTTTGGAGGAAGCACAGACAGCGGCCCCATCCGGCAAGCAGGTCAGTGAAGCCCCTGCATCCCGGTGGGAGGAGGCTGAGCACCTGGGGGCGGGTGGGCTCGCCAGCTGTCAGCATGGGTGCAGGTAGAGCCAACAAGAAACCCAGTGGGGACCCCACATGGGTCTACACAGCCTAGGGTCTCCCGCAGTTTCCAGATGCCCCTCTCATCCCTGCCCGATCTTCTCTGAGGCTCCTTGCTCTCTGCTTTGACTGAGTGGCTGAGTTTGCCAGTTCCTTAGCCTGCGACACTTTTCTTAACTAAGGTCATTTCTATAGTGAACTGCTGAATGGGTATGAATGTCATCACTGTATCAAAGTACTTTGTAAAGGCCGACATCTGTGTGGTAGGGTGACAAGGTGTGAAGTTTAATGCCTTTTAAAAATCTTACTGGAAAGACACCCACCTCTTAGTAAAGGTGACAGTCACGGCAGCAGTGGGAGTCATTGCAACAGCTTTTGCATATGGAATGATGTGTGCAGGTGCTGTGTGGTGCATTTTATGCCCATGATGTCATCCCCTCCTTATACAACTCTGAAGAAGGTGGTATGATTCTTTTCTCACATACCTAGGACCTGAGGCTCAGGGAAGTTAAGTAATTTGCCTAATGTGATCTCGCTAAGATTTACACACACACAGGTCTGCCTGTCCCCCAAGAAGCTCTTAGTAGCAGCTGTGCTTGAACTCGTGGCCATTTCTCCTCGGATGACCTTTAGAAATGGTTTACTGGTGCGGTGCTGTTTTCTCTGAGTTCTTATTGGGCAATTCAGGGGCAAGTCTAAATGATGCCTCTTTTCGAGGGAAAGAAGCAAGGCAGGAAGCTGCAGAGTCCAACAGGGAGCGCGGCCAGGGCCAGGAGCCCGTGGGATCGCAGGAGCATGCGTCTACTGCCTCACTGACACTCATCTGAGCCCTCCCATGACATGGAGACCGTGACCAGTGCTGCTGCAGAGGAGGTCACGCGTCCCCAAGGCCTCCTGTGACTGGCAGCATTGACTCTGTGGCTTTGCCATCGTTTCCATGACAACAGACACAACACAGTTCTCGGGGCTCAGGAGGGGAAGTCCAGCCTACCAGGCACGTCTGCAGAAACAGTGCAAGGAAGGGCAGCGACTTCCTGGTTGAGCTTCTGCTAAAACATGGACATGCTTCAGTGCTGCTCCTGAGAGAGTAGCAGGTTACCACTCTGGCAGGCCCCAGCCCTGCAGCAAGGAGGAAGAGGACTCAAAAGTCTGGCCTTTCACTGAGCCTCCACAGCAGTGGGGGAGAAGCAAGGGTTGGGCCCAGTGTCCCCTTTCCCCAGTGACACCTCAGCCTTGGCAGCCCTGATGACTGGTCTCTGGCTGCAACTTAATGCTCTGATATGGCTTTTAGCATTTATTATATGAAAATAGCAGGGTTTTAGTTTTTAATTTATCAGAGACCCTGCCACCCATTCCATCTCCATCCAAGCAAACTGAATGGCAATGAAACAAACTGGAGAAGAAGGTAGGAGAAAGGGCGGTGAACTCTGGCTCTTTGCTGTGGACATGCGTGACCAGCAGTACTCAGGTTTGAGGGTTTGCAGAAAGCCAGGGAACCCACAGAGTCACCAACCCTTCATTTAACAAGTAAGAATGTTAAAAAGTGAAAACAATGTAAGAGCCTAACTCCATCCCCCGTGGCCATTACTGCATAAAATAGAGTGCATTTGAAATACCGCTGCCTCCACCCTGTTCATACATATATAAAATCAAGGCAGGCCATGAGCAAGCATGGCTCACTGCTCCCTGGCCTGGCCATGGCTCAGGGGCTCATTAAACAAGTACTTGTGTGTCTGCCACACACCAGCCACTCTCCTGGGTCCTGGAGAGACATTAAGCAAGAATGACATGGCATAAGTGAGGGGTACGACTGCAGGGAGAGAGGGCATCATGGGAGGGGAGCAACCCCCACAGAGCGGCAGGGGGTTGTCAGGAAGGCTCCTGGGGACCCTGCATCTGTTGAGGTCTGAAGGGGGCGAGGGAAACATGCATTCTGAAGCCGAGATAGCTGGCTGTGCGAAGATCTAGAGGAGTGTGGACTGGCCTGGGCTCAGATTCTAGAGTGCGGACTGGGCCAACAGGAGGGGACACAGGACACGGTGCTCGTGCTGGTCCTGGGGAAGAGGGAAATGGAGTCAGTCACTGCCCGGGCCTCTGGCTTGAGCAACCCTGGGGAGTTCAGCAGGTTCAGTGTGGGGGCCCTGTAAATGTTCAGTTTCATAGATTGATGTATTGAAGATTTATGGATTCACTTTATGGAACTAGAAATTATAGTTCAAGATTTTTGCTGTTCACTTTTTAAATTAACTTTAATTAACTTTGTTATGAGACACCAGAACTCTAGCTAGAGCCCCCTGTGATCACTACTAAGGGTCTGAAAAGAGTGACATTTTGCCCAGGAAACCAGAAGCAATGCTTTTCCAGTAACACCAACAAGTAAGTCAAGACTGTCATCTGTTGGCTGTCTTGCTTAGGCTAAGACACATCCCTGATAGGCCTTGTTAGTGGGGGATGGGGTCCAGAAACCAAGAAGGTGTGAAAGACATTCTTTCCCTGGAGTAGGAGCTGCTGCTGCAGTGATCCACAGCCAGCTGAGGGTCCAGGTGGGAGGCAGGGCCGAGGAGAGCCCAGGTAACTGCATCACGGCGATCACCAGCAGCCGGAAAGGACTGTTGCACACTTACCTGATGTGAAGTACACCCTGATCCTTGCTGATGGGAAGACAAATGAATCAAGATCCCTGTCCTCTAAAAATTCACTGTCCAGTTGAAATCACAGGTAGACCTCCTCTAAGTCTGAGCATTTAGAGTCCTTCCCAGACAGCCGCTGACCATAGCTACTGTAAGAAACCAACCTGATGGTTTGATTTTTTTCCTTCCTTTCCCTACCCTTGAGGAGGCTCTTAACTGTATTAAACAAAATGGCAGCAGGTCATAGAAAAGAAGATGTTTTCATAGAGAAAATAGCTTCCTCCCAGGAAAAGGGTTTCCCCCACAAAGGCTGTGTTTTTAAGTCCCCAACATAACAAAGCAAAACCCATGGGTGTTTCATTTAAATGAGTTTTCTTTCTCTTTTTTCACTATCTACTTTGAGATGTCCAGCAAGAAAGCAATTCATTTTTTAAAAACACGAAAAGAGATAAAGCAGAACCCAACTACAGAATGAGTAAAGAAAAGCACTTTGGAATGGCAAATCTGTGCTGGGGACTGGAAACATTTGAGCCTGGGGATGGCTGTGATTCCAGTGAGGCTTCAGTGATGGCTCCCTGCTACCTTCTGTGGCTACCATGGTCCACTGTGCCGTTGTCACGCCTCAGGGAACCTGCGTGGTCCAGACCATCACCCCACCTACCCGACTATATATTCCTGTTTAGCAAGTTCTAGAGTTGTCAGAAATGAATGATGGTAACATAGATTGAACCTCAAACATGGCATCTGAAGTAAGACAGTTTATTAGTACATCACTCACGGGTGTACTCTCTTCATTTCTGTTGCTTCAGAGTTCACTTTGCCATAAACGTCACAACTTGATACCTCCCATATTTCATTGTAACTGCCTCCTTCTGTGAGCCCCATGTGTTTTGTTTCAGATAACCAAGGTTTAACCATAGGAATTCTGGTGACCATCCTGTGTCTTCTTGCTGCCGGATTTGTGGTTTATCTCAAAAGGAAGACCTTGATACGACTGCTGTTTACAAATAAGAAGACCACCATTGAAAAACTAAGGTACCCTGGGTTTAGCTTGTCATCTGTTCTAGAAATGGTGGCTCAGAGGCTGGGTGCGGTGGCTCAAGCCTGTAATCCCAGCACTTTGGGAGGCTGAGGCGGGCGGATCACGAGGTCAGGAGATCGAGACCACGGTGAAACCCCGTCTCTACTAAAAATACAAAATATCAGCCGGGCGCGGTGGTGGGTGCCTGTAGTCCCATCTACTCGGGAGGCTGAGGCATGAGAATGGCGTGAACCCGGGAGGCGGAGCTTGCAGTGAGTTGCGATCACTCCACTGCACTCCAGCCTGGGCGAGAGAGCAAGACTCCATCTCAAAAAAAAAAAAAAAAAAAAAAAAAGAAATGGTGTCTCAGAAAATGTACAGCAAACTGCTTCTCACTTCATTTTTTTAGCAAAGGTCAGATTTTCTGGATCATAAACCTGGGACTTGGTTCTTTTTTGGGGGGTTTCTTGTTTTAAATTTCTGCCAGATCAGCTGCCTCCTTTACTTCCCTTCAAACAACAATGTGCTGCTTATTACATAAGCTAGCAGGGTGTCAGGAAATTCCACTGATGTGTTTTCTCCCACCCTTATATTAGTAATTTTTATACAACATGGAGACATTGAAATATTTTCATCAGATGGGGTAGCTTTTGATCCAAATATATTCAAAGACATTATCGCTGAAATGCCAGCTTCATACAAATCATCTTCCAGGTGTCACTACACTGCATTTCTATGGAGCGTGAGAACTAATTTGACAAAATAGAGGTTTTGAGGGAAAAACCAGTATTTATTTTTTAATCTCCTAAGAGTGTTATTAGGTAATTTTTCCTTTGCATGTTTAGCACACTGAGTTAAGTAAACTGTCTTTTGAGTGCCACTATGAGCAAAGTGTAAAAAGTCAAGTCAGTGAGAAGGGGAAACACGCTTGGTCAGCAGGTATGGGATTCTGTTGCAGGTGTGTGCGCCCTTCCCGGCCACCCCGTGGCTTCCAACCCTGTCAGGCTCACCTCGGCCACCTTGGAAAAGGCCTGATGAGGAAGCCGCCAGATTCCTACCCACCGAAGGTGAGTCTTGAGTAGATGTGAGTGCTCAGGGCACACATGCAGACATGAGGTTTTCAATACGAGACTGAATAAGAATGGGATCCTAGAGGCGCTGCCTGTGAAATGCTGAGTCAGCCTCACTAGGTCAGCAGGCTCTGAGGGAGGGTCTCTGTGATCTGGGGCCAGAGGGAGGCCCCACGGTGCCCCCATGGAAGCCCACCTAGATCCTGTTGGCGCACTCAGTGCCCCCTGCATGATATGGTGCAGCATAGTGTGAGCTGTGATCCCTTCAGTCACCCAGACCAGCCACATTTCTGGGGCCCCACTGGGTCTGCAGCCCGAGCTGGCTCCTGACACCAGCCCCCAATGCCAGCCCCACCATGGTTTCCAAATGCCACCACCTGGCTTTAGGTGAGCTGCTTTAGCCCACTGTTACTCTTAAAATATTTTTCAAAAGTTACATGGAGCTCTCAGAATTGACCATTTTGCTCCAGCCCTGAGCTGAGGAAGCCCTGTCCACCCTGTGGTTTCAGAGAACTGGATCCTTAACCCAGAGTACCTCACGGCTCCCTGCTGTCTCTTAACCCTCTTGCTACCCTGGTGAATTACAGCTAGAGTTCATTCTAATAGTTCTTCCCCACCGAGTTTTTCTGATGTACCCACAAGAATTCTTGAATATTGAACTTAGTCAACAAGAGTCCAAATTATAACAGTGAACAAGATTGGTGTCAAAAAAAATAAGTGATTGAAAAATCATTGCTGCATATGCAGTAGGCAATAAACTGTTTTAACTCCCTTGATCCAAAAAACGCAAAGGGTGGGGCTCCAAGGAGGAGGCTGCCATTCCCAATAAGCTTTACCCCTGCTCGTCCCCAAAGGTGGAACCATAAGCGAGAACGGCTTTGTGTGGTAGCCAAAAGCACATCTTCATTTTCGTAAAAAAGAAAAATGCAGCTCTATTAAAAAAAAAAAAAAAGCACAGCCTTATTTTTGAGAGCCCCAAACTAGAAACAATCCAAATATCCATCAACCAGTAAAAGGATAAACAATGGTATATTTGCACAATGGAATGAACCATTGATGTATACAACATTGAGGATGAATCTCTAGATAATTATTCTGAGTAAAAGAAGAAAAGCCAGAGTATATACTCTGTGATCCCACTTATATACAATTCTGACAAATGCAAACTGATAGTGACAGAAAGCAGACTGATGATTGGAGGGAGAGGGAAGGGAGAAGCATGACAAGAAAACTCTTTGGGGTGATGGATGCATTCATTTGTCCACTTGTTTGTTGTGAGGGTTTCATGGGTGTAAACACGTCAAAAAATGACCAAGTTGTATACTTTATGTCAACTATACCTCAATTAAGCTGTTTTTAGAAAGAGAGGAAGGAAGGGGTAGAAGCCTGAGGTATAAGGGTCCCTGCAGCACCTGTTCTAAGAACAAGGGTTACCATATGGGAGAACGTCTCCAACTCCAAGCCCCAACCTCAGCCCTGGCTTCCTGAAGCCGCAACTCTCCTTTCCCCAGTGGTTTTCTCAGTTCTCATTGAGCCTTGAACACATTAAGCTGTATCTTATTTTCACATCTCTTTTGTAACTTCCCTAAGATCTCGGTCCGTGTCTTTCTTTATACTTGGTACTTTTTCAAGTGCTTTGCACCTATTTGTTAAACAGTTTTTTAAAATCTAAACAAAAATCGATCCTTCTATTCCAGATTTGGTGGGGTGGAGGCAGGTGATGCTTCTGTTTGAATTTTGAAGTTTAAATAAATACAAAAATAATTCCCCTCTTGTGTACATCCTTGATTTCTTTCCTTTACCCCACCTTGGCCTTCAGCTATAACAGATGAGTTAGCACTGCTTTTTCCTTAAGGAGTTACTGATATTTTTGAAACCCGCTATAGCATGGCTTTTTACTTTGACTGTACAGGACAATCCCAGGAGATTGCTGCAGTGTCAGAATGTTGACATCAGCAGACCCCTCAACGGCCTGAATGTCCCTCAGCCCCAGTCAACTCAGCGAGTGCTTCCTCCCCTCCACCGGGCTCCACGTGCACCTAGCGTCCCTGCCAGACCCCTGCCAGCCAAGCCTGCACTTAGGCAGGCCCAGGTATGCTTTCAGTACTAATATGATAGGATGTAGTTCAAATCCAGATTCTGCTACTTGTTAATGTGTGAGCTTAGATAAGTTGCTTAACTTCTCGGTGCCTCTGTAAAATGGAGATAATTCAGCTACTCAGATGGTTAAATGAGATAATCCACATAAAGCAGTTAGTTTGGTGCCTGGAGTATAATAATAAGAGTGTCATATATTTTAATTTACTAGTTATAATTTTTTAAGTATTTGAATAGTTAGACCACTCATGCAACTAAACGATGACACTATTGAGAATAGCAGAGGGACTAGTAATAATTAGGCCTGTACAGTAAAATAGAGACAGGCAATCTAAGACAGATGGTCACCCTAAGAAGCATCAGTTATACTCTCTCATCATTTTATTTCAAAATTATTTACAAGAACTATACCACCTATATACAGAGTGTCTCCGTACCAAACTTAGCACTGTATTGTTTATGTATATCATCTCATTTTTATGCTGTTTTTGGAAGTAACCATTTCTGTTTGCTGCAATAACGAATGATATTTCACAATAGAAAACTTGAAGGGAGGAGAAAACAAGCAAATAAGTAGGAGATAATCACTGGTAATTTTTCACTGCTATTAATATTTTTTGTTTATAATTGTGTATTTTAACATAATTTATTTGTACACAGTTTTATATGCTGCTTTGTTTTGCCTTAAAAATTAGTCCCATTTACAATGGCATTAAAAATCCTATTTAATAATAACACTATACTTGAATATAAATGTTTAAGTACTTGCAAATTATTGGGCATGTATTGATGTATCATTTTTTGCTGTTAGAAAGTTCTAGAGAGGTAAATCTTGGGACCTCTTTATTCCCCTAGGAGAGATTCTTAAAAGTAAAATATTGGGTTGAAAGATTGTATGACCATTTTAAGCCTCATAATATAAAAATATTTTTTCAGAACTCATATACATTTGCGTTCCCACATTGTTATTGTCTTTCTCACCATGACTTTGCTAACACTAAATTTTAACTTTTACCAGTTTGATAAATACAACAAAATATCTCAATTTGTTGCTGTCTAGTAGTTCTGTCAGTTACCAAGAGGAGATGTTGGACTTTTCCACTATAATTGTGTCTCCTTTGAGTTCATCAGTTTTTGCTTCATGTATTTTGAAGCTCTGTTGTTTGCGATACACACAATTAGGATTGTTGTGTCATCTTAGTAAAGTGACCCTTTTATCATTATGTCATGTCTCTGTTTAGCTCTGGTAATCTTTGTTCTAAAATCTACTTTATCTGATATTATTATATCCACTCCAGTTTTATTTTGATTAGTATTAGTGTTGTCTTTTTGCAATCATGAATGATATTTCACAATAGGAAACATCATTCATGATTGCAGCAAACAGAAATGGTTACTTCTAAAAACAGGATAAAAAGCAAAGTATGAATTTTTCCATCCTTTTAACATACCTATGGAATTACATTTGAAAAGCGTTTCTTGTAGACAGCATATAGATTTTTTCATCCATTTAGCCAGTCACTATATTTTAATAGGTGTGTTTAGAACATTCATATTTAATGCAATTGTTGATATGTTTGGATTTAAGTCTACCATGTTAATATTATTCTGTTTGTTCTCTCTGGTTTTTGTTTCATTGTGCTTTTTCTGTGTTCCTGTAGATTAGTATTCCATATTGATTTATCTGCATTTATGTTTTTGAGTATATATCTTTGTATTTTTTTTGTATGATTACACTAGGGCAGTTTCTCAACCTCAGCATTTTGACATATTGTACTGAATACTCTGTTATGTGGGGTTTTCCTATGCATTGTAGAATGTTTAGCAGCATCCATGGCCTCTATCAACTAGATGGAAGTAACATGTGTAATTATGTTTCCAAACATTGCCAAAATGTCCTCTGAAAGGCATAACCTCCCTTGATTGAAAACCACTGCTCTAAAGATTACAGTATGTATGTACTTACTTTATCACAGTCTACTAGTCAATATTTCTTCACTTTAAGTAGAATACAGAAACTATCACCTTTTAGGTCGCTTTTCCTCTTCCTTTTATAATACAGATGTCTTAAATACTACCTTTATGTGTACTAAGAGTCACTGCAGATGTTGTAATTTTGCTTTCAGCCAAACATAATCTTTAAAACTTAACTTTGCTTATTATTTTCTGTCTGAAAAACTTTCTTTAGCCATTTTTTAAAGCAAATCTGTAGGTGACAAATTCTCTTCATTTTCCTTTATCTGAGAATGTATTTATTCCTAGAGGATAGTTTTGCTGGATATAGAATTCTGCGTTGACTGTTTTCTCCATTCAGTACTTTAAAAATGTTGTTCCCCTTCCTTCTGGACTCCATGGTGATGAGAAATCCACTAAAAGTTCTACCCATAGTCTCTGTTCCAGGGAAGGGATGTGGCATGTTATTGCAAGAAGTGATAGAAAGTAGAGATCTGCCAGTCTCTAGGCTATGATGCCTGGTGAGGAGCAGGAGGGAGGCATGGCTTTTTTCAAGTGTTGAGCTGGAGTAAGGTCAGGTATGGTCAAAACACTTCTGTGTTTCTGGACTGCTCTTTCTCTAGTCTTTTGGCTCAAGATAGCAGGCTTTTCCAGTTGTGGGCCTATCCAGAGCCCAGGCCAAGATATATAAAAGAACACACACACACAAACACACCACTGGGTAGTTCCTTGAGTTCTGAGATCCCTAGCCAGCATACTTTATGTCCAGACATTTTTGTTGCACTTAGCAGGAGAAATAGGGTGAAATGTACTTATTCCACCTTGTCCAGACCTCATTTCTCCTTGTATTTTTTTGATTACTGGTACACTTGAACTACTTTTTATGTATCCATTAGCCAATGGTATGCTGGCAAACTGGCCCTTTTAAAAAAAAATTCTGATTTACAGCTGATTTCTCTGGTATAAAACTTCCCATTGTGGCCAGTTTCAAGCTACTAGTGTGACATTACTGAATGAGGAGTAGGGAACTGGCAGTTATGAGCCAGTACCAGCCAGCTCAAGCATACCACTGCTGTTCACTGTATTTGTTCTGTGACTTGTCTTTTCCTATCCTTTGCCTATTTATTTCTGTTTGAGAGGTAGAGGTTTTCTTCTTGGTTTATAAGTTTCTTTTAAAAATATTTTAATGTAATTTTAGTTATGATTTTTTGGCATAAGAATAATTCTGGTTTTGAATATTGAATTTTTCTTTTGTGAATTTTCCCATTCCTTTCATGCTTGCAAAGTCCACTCCCATTTCATTATTAGTGAAAGTCCATATATAATTTCTTCTGTTTATTGACAGTTCTTTTACATTTGTTTTTCTAATTTGTTTTAGATTTGCAGTCATGGAAGGTGGTGAGCATGCCCTAAACTTTTCTGGTCCGTGGACTTGAGAATCTGACAAAAGCTATGAACTCATAAAATGCACCAATATTAGCATTTTGTGTGCACATTTCAGGTAGCCAAAGAGCAGAGAAGCTCCTTTCCCATGTACCCCTCATCCTGAACTTTTTTATTTATTTTAAGCAACTCACCTGTGTACCATGTCAAACTGGGGCTAACAGACCATGTTATCAGAGGAAGGTATTCCTACTGCTGGTGTTTTTTTCTCCACCAGCAGGGACTCTTGCAAGATTTCCTTTAAAGCAGGCCCGAAAAAGTCCTTCATTCTGTTTTATGAAACTAAGGAAATGTTACCCTTTAAACATCAGTCACTGAAAAATCCACATTTCTCACTCCAGGCTGGTGTCTGTCTGGAACTTTTCTAAGACATATGATATAGATTAAGTGGGTGATTTCTCTCCCATCACACATAGGGAACGGAAATTAATTCCATGCAGGTGTGGAGAATATTTGGAGGTGACTCTTGTTTGGCAGCACAAATTGAATCCACTGACATTTTGTACTTTGGGGTTCCTCATGCCCTGCCCAGGACAACGTGACACACAGCTAATCCTGCTTCATTTGTCCCAATGTACTAAGCATTCCAGAAGAAAACACTACCACAAACACCATCTTGGTCCACCTCACATTTAAACTGTAAGCTAGGTCTTTATAGAAACCATTTCATTTTCTATAAATGTTCTGTTTGACTTATAAATGAAGGAGAGCTGAATGAATGTACCCTCTTGTCCACAAACATACCTTTGCAATGTACCACTTCCTTCATGGTAAAAGGACCCTTGGAATTCAAGCTTCTCATCCTAACTCCCCAGTCTTGATCAAGGAAACAAACTTTTTTCATCCCATCAGCTATATTAGAGGAAAAATAATTCAGTGTATTCATCTAGCTGTTCACTGCATCTTAAAGAAGGCTCTATGCATTTTCTGCAGAGGTGGAGATCTTCAGTTCAGTGATGCTGTCAAAACACAACATTTCTCCTAATCAACAACTTTTATCTGTCTGTATTATATGCAACATATAATATTTTATAACACAAGACTCACCAGTCTGGCACAGTCTCATCTAAGAAAAGGCTACTTTGTTTAAGTTGCCATGGGAAGACGGTGGCAGCTATTACAAGGAAGTCCAAATTCCTCTTCCTCCTCAAACCTTTATAAAAGGTGATGAATGATGAGCTGGGGCTGTTACTGGTAAACAGCAGCTACTCCTTCAAATGCCTGGTCAGGATGCAGATGTGAGCAAAGCCAATTAATTTAAGCCACGATTGTAGATCAGTCAGGTGCTGGCCAGTTCAGAGGTTAAGTCCAAACTTTCAAACTGTTCAACAAAATGAATTTGGCTCCGAATGGATAAGGGCATGTGCCCTTCTGGACCTGTGTGGGTGTCTGATATTGAAACCTGCACTTGCAGAGCCTAGAAATCTGGGGATTAGGTCCTTGCTCATCAGAAATGCCAATTTGTAATGAGAAAAAGAAGACCCATTTGTTAGTATGTTCTCCTGAAGAAGATGAAATACAAGAAAACTGAGTTTTATGAGAGCTTCTGTTGCTACACACAAAGCACAGGCTAATAACTGGTAAAGGTGCTGGTGAGTGTCCTTCTGTGCCCTTTCCCTGCATTCCAGATCTCACCCTCCCCTAAGACCTCTCCACAGTCCTCCCTCCAGGACCTCTGATCACCTGCTGCCGTAGCCTGGAGTTACCAGTATGCCAGCTCTGCCCTACTTCTGAAGGCATAGACTGATCCCAGGCACAGCTAAGTCCAGCCCCTCGAACATAATAGATGTGTAGGAAATATGCTGAATTGATGTGGACTTAAAATAGTAAAAAATCAGTTGTCACAGTGTCATTCTCCATGGCGCCATCACACTCAGTTACGGATTAATGACAATGAGTCCATTCCCCCTGTAAATCTAAAACACAGCTACCAAGGTCTTGGACTCTCCCTGCCACCTACCCAATACTTCCAGAAACTTTAGCTGAACTTTCTTTGGCATCATATACTAATTATTCATCAGACACAAACATCAAATGTCTTTAAGGGTATCAGTTATCCACGGAAGCATGATCTCTCCCTGAAGGGAACTTCTCAGAACATGTTTTCAAGGGAAGTTGTTCACGTGATTACAGGGTTCAAAGGGGTATTTGTTTCCCACTTATTTGTTACTATAAACATGAAAATTACATAAAAAGCAGATGCCTGATATTTTAGCCTTTACATTTGCTAATAGGTAATATAGGCCTATAATTAAAAATCTCAACAGTATAAAGGGTCATTCGGAAAACAGTCTCCTTCACACCTGTCACCAGTCTCCCTTCCCAGAAGCAATCGTCACTGTTACTAGGCTTTTATAAAACGCAATTTGGGATACAATGAAAAGTCTCAGCTCTACCCCCCACCCACCTCTCTGCTAGGAGAGATTATGGAAATTTTCAAACACTCAAAATTGGAGAGAAGAGTACAGTGAAACCCTATCTACCCATCACTCAACTTCAGCAACCGTCAACTTGCTGTCACTCATCTTACATCCTTGTTTTGAATTCAAATGGCAACACATTATGTACTTTCTTCTACTTTGGTTATTCCTTATTAGTTTTATACATCTGCTTCATTCTTTTCACTGGCTACATCATTATTTGTGAAGCTATACCATGACTTCTTTAACCTGTCCCTTCCAGATTCCCAGATGGGTTGTTTTCAATCATTTGCTACGTCACACAGGCATAATCTTGCCCAAGATGGATAAATTCCTGAAAGCACAATTGCTGTGCAAAAGTCATATGCATTTAGAAATTTGATAGACTGAGTGAAGCTGCCTTTAAAGGAGCTGTTTCAGCTATTCTATTATCCAGCTCCTCACCAACACAGTGTGTTCGGAGGTTTTTCATCTCTTTGCCAATCGATAGGTTAAAAACAGTGGTCTCCATGTTTTTCTTCATAGGAAATACTTCATAGTGAGATGAAATACCTTTTCACAGGTTTAAGATTTTCTTTTTCATGAACTGCCTTTTCATCTTTGCCATTTTTAAAATTTAAGATCGGGGTACATGTGCAGGATGTGCAGGTTTGTTACATCGGTAAACATGTGCCACAGTGGTTTGCAGCACAGATCTCATCACCCAGGTATTAAGCTGGGCATCCATTAGCTATTCGTCCTGATGCTTTCCTCCTCCCCCTGCCCCATTGTGTCCATGTGTTCTCATCATTCAGCTCCCACTTAATAAGTGAAAACATGGGGTATTTGGTTTTCTGTTCCTGCATTAGTTTGCTGAGGATAATGGCCTCCAGCTCCATCCATGTCTCTGCAAAAGACATGATCTCATTCCTTTTTATGGCTGCATAGTATTCCATGGTGTATATTTACCACATTTTCTTACCCAGTATATCACTGATGGGCACTTAGGTTGATTCCATGTCTTTGCTATTGTGAATAGTGCTGCAGTGAACATATGCATGCGTGTATAATAGAATGATTTCTATTCCTTTGGGTATATACCCAATAATGGGATTCCTGGGTCAAATGGCATCTCTGCTGCTAGGTCTTTGAGGAATCATCACACTGTCTTCCACAATGGTTGAACTAATTTACACTCCCACCAACAGTGTAAAAGCATTCCTTTTGCTCTGCAACCTTTCTAGCATCTGTTAACTTTTTAATAATTGCCATTCTGACTGGCATGAGATGGTAGCTCATTGTGGTTTTGATTTGCATTTCTCTAATGATCAGTGATGTTGAGCTTTTTTTCATGTTTGTTGGCTCCATGAATGTCTTCTTTTGAGAAGTGTCTGTTCATGTCTTTTGCCCACTTTTTACTGTTTTCTTGTAATTTTAAATTCCTTATAGATGCTAGCTATTAGACCTTTGTCAGATGGATAGATTGAAAAACTTTCTCCCATTCTGTAGGTTGTTCATTCTGTGTTTCTTTTGCTGCAGACACTCTTTAATTAGATCCCGTTTGTCAATTTTTGCTCTTGATGTTGTCATGAAATCTTTTCGCATGCCTATGTCCTCGATGGTGTTGCCTAGATTTTCTCCTAAGGTTTTTATAGTTTTGGGTTTTATATGTAAGTCTTTAATCGATCCTGAGTTTATTTTTGTATATGGTGTAAGGAAGGGGTCCAGCTTCAATTTTCTGCATATGGCTATCCAGTTCTTCCAGACTATTTATTAAATAGGGAATCCTTTCCCCATTGCTTTTTCTCAGGTTTGTTGAAGATCAGATGGTTGTAGGCGTGCAGTCTTATTCCTGGGTTCTCTATTTTGTTCCATTGGTCTATGTGTCTGTATCAGTACCATGCCATTTTGGTTACTATAGCTTTGTAGTATAGTTTGAAGTCAGGTAGCGTGATGCCTCCAGCTTTGTTCTTTTTGCTTAGGATTGTCTTGGCTATTTGGGCTCTTTTGGGGTTCCATATGAATTTTTAGTTTTTTCTAATTTGGTGAAGAATGTCAATAGTAGTTTGATGGGGATAGCATTGATTCTATTTGGGCAGTATGGCCATTTTCATATTGCTTCTTTCTATCCATAAGCATGGAATGCTTTTCCATTTGTTTATGTCCTCTGATTTCTTTGAGCAGTGGTGTAGTTCTCCTTGAAGAGGTCCTTCATGTCCCTTGTAGCTGCATTCCTAGGTATTTTATTATTTTTGTGGCAATTCTGAATGGGAGTTCATGATTTGGCTGTTGGCTTGCCTGTTGGTGTATAGGAATGCTAGCAATTTTTGCACATTGATTTTATATACTGAGACTTTGTTGAAATTGCTCAAGAAGCTTTTGGGCTAAGACAATGGGGTTTTCAAGATATAGGATCACGTCATCTGCAAACAAAGTTAGTTTGACTTCCTCTCTTCCTATTTGAATACACTTCCTTTCTCTTGCCTGATTGCCCTTCCCAGAACTTCCAATACTATGTTGACTAGGAGTGGTGAGAGAGGGCATCTTGTGCTGGTTTTCAAGGGGAAAGCTTCCAGCTTTTACTCATTCAGGATATTAGCTGTGGGTTTGTCATAGATGGCTATTATTTTGAGGTATGTTCCTTTAATACCTAGTTTATTGGGAGTTTTTTATATTATGGGGTGAATTTTATTGAAGACTTTTTCTGCATCTATTGAGATAATCATATGGTTTTTGTCTCTAGTTCTGTTTATGTGATGAATCACATTTATTGATTTGCATATCCCGAACCAACCTTGCATCTTGGGACGAAGCCTACTTGATTGTGGTGGATAAGCTTTTTGATGTGCTGCCAGATTCTGTTTGCCTGTATTTTGTTGAGGATTTTTGCATCAATGTTCATCAAGGATATTGGCCTGAGGTTTTTTTTTATCTCTCCCAGGTGTTGGTACCAGGATGCTGTTGGCCTCACAGAATGAGTTAGAGAGGAGTCTCTTCTTTCCAATTTTTTTGGAATAGTTTCAGTAGAAATGGTACCAGCTCTATTTTCTACCTCTTGTAGAGTTCAGCTGTGAATCTGCCTGGTCCTGGGTTTTGTTTGGTTGGTAGGCTATTTACTACTGCCTCAATTTCAGGACTCATTATTGGCCTATTCAGGGATTCAATTTCTTCCTGGTTCAGTCTCAGAGACTGTATGTGCTCTAGATTTTCTAGTTTATGTGCATAGAGGTGTTTATAGTATTCTCTGATAGTTGTATTTCTGTGGGATCAATGGTGATATCCCCCTTATCATTTCTGATTGTGTCTATTTGATTCTTTATAGTCTAGCTAGTGATCTATTTTAGTAATTTTTTCAAAAAAACTAGCTCCTGGATTCACTGATTTGTTGAAGAGTTTTTCATGTCTATCTCCTTCAGTTCCACTCTGATCTTGGTTATTTCTTGTCTTTTGCTAGCTTTGGGGTTTGCTCTTGTTTCTCTAGTTCTTTTAGCTGTGATGTTAGGTTGTTAACTTTGTTAACTTTATCTTTCTAGCTTTTTGATGTGGGCATTTAGTGTTATACCTTTCCCTCTTCTGCTTTAGCTGCTTCTCAGAGATTCTGGTATGTTGGCTCTTTGTTCTCATTAGTTTCAAAGAACTTTTTGATTTCTGCCTTAATTTCATTATTTACCCAAGAGTCATTCAGGAGCAGGTTGTTCAGGTTCCATGGAGTTGTGTGGTTTTGAGTGAATTTCTTAATCTTAAGCTTTAATTTGATTACGCTGTGGTTTGACAGACTGTTATGATTTCAGTTCTTTTGCATTAGCTGAGGAGTGTTTTACTTCTGATTACGTGATCAATTTTAGAGTAAGTGCTGTGTAGTAATAAGAATGTAGATTGTTGGTTTTGGGTGGACAGTTCTGTAGTTGTATAACAGATCCACTTGCTCCAGAGCTGAGTTCAAGTCCTGAATGTCTTTGTTGATTTTCTAATATTGTCAGGTGGGTGTTAAAGTCTGCAGGTCTCTAAGAATTTGCTCTCTGAATCTGGGTGGTATAAGATGCACACATATTTAGGATAGTTAGCTCTTCTTATTGAACTCTTTACCATTATGCAATGCCCTTTTCTTTTTTTGATCTTTGTTGGTTTAAAGTCTGTTTTGTCAGAAACTAGGATTGCAACCCCTACTTTTTTCTGTTTTCCATTTGCCTGGTAAATTTTCCTCCATCCCTTTGTTTTGAGCCTGTGTGTGTCTTTGCACATGAGTTTCTTGAAGACAGCACACCAATGGGTCTTTCTTCATTATCTAGATGATATTGGGCCAGATATGAAATTCTGGGTTGGAAAATCTTTAAAGAATGTTGAATATTGGTCCCCAAGCTCTTCTAGCTTATTGGGTTTCCACTGGGAGGTCTGCTGTTAGTCTGATAGGCTTTCCTTTGTAGGGGACCTGGTTTTTCTCTCTGGCTGCCCTTAACATTTTTTCTTTCATTTTGACCTTGGAAAATCTGATGATTATGTGTCTTGGGGTTGATCTTCTCATGGAGTATCTTACCTTCTCTGGATTTCCTGAATTTGAATGTTGGCCTGTCTTGCCAGGTAGGGGAAGTTATCCTGGATTATATCCTGAAGTATGTTTTCCATCTTTGTGGGCTTATCTACCTTTGATCTTCGAGGTTGCTGACACCTTTGGATGAGATTTTTGTGGGTCATTTTCTGTTTAACAGTCTGGCCACTCTTCCGTAAGGCTGCTGCAATTTGCTGGGGGGGCTCTGTTCTGCCCGTCTCTTTTGGGTACCCCAATCACTTGTAGATTTGGTCTCTCTACATAATCCGGTATTTCTCAAGACCTTCTGTTCATTCCTTTTCATTCTTTTTTCTCTATTCTTGTCTGCCCATCTTATTTCAGGATAGTCTTCAAGCTCCGAGATTTTTTCCTCTGCTTCATCTATTCTGCTGTTAATACTTGTGATTGTGAAGTTCGTATAGTGTGTTTTTTAGCTCTAACAGGCCAGTTATGTTCCTCTCTAAACTATTTTGGCTGTCAGCTCCTGTATTGTTTTATCATGATTCCTAGCTTCTTTGAATTGGGTTACCACATGCTCCTTCAGCTCAGCAAAGTTCTTTATTACCCACCTTCTCAAGCCTACTTCTGTCATGTCAGCCATCTCAGCCCCAGCCCAGTTCTTTGCACTTGCTGGAGAGGTGTTGCCATGATTTGGAGAAAAAGTGGCACTCTGGCTTTTTGAGTTTTCAGTGTTTTTGTGTTGATTCTTTCTCATCTTTGTGGGCTTATCTACCTTTGATCTTTAAGGTTGCTGACCTTTGGATGGGGTTATTGTTGTTTTCTGTTTAACAGTCTGGCCACTCTTCTGTAAGGCTGCTGCAATTTGCTGGGGGTCTGCTCCAGACCCCAGTAGCCTCAGTTTTTCTTGTACCACTTCCCATGGTGAGGGTTCCCTTGGCTCCGTGTCACTCCCAGGTGGGCCATTGCCTCACCCTGCTTTTTTTTTTTGTTCTCCATGTGTCTATTTGTTTCCTGAATCAATCCCATTTAGTGTATAATCAAATTTTATTTTTTTCTAGATGACCACCTAGTAATCCTTAATACCATTTATTTTATTTGTCCTTGATTGGCCTATGTTTTATTAGATTTGTCTGGTTTCTCATTCTCCCCTACCTTCAACCAGCTCAAAGTCTTATATGATCTTCCTCTTGCTACCATTAGATCTTGGAAACATCACTTTAATGTCCCCTCTACAAATGTGAAATAATAGTACTTGCTTTTGGGACTTTGTGACAGTTACATGAAAATATTATTAAGAACTTTCCTCTAAACATTGCTTTACACCTTGCTCACTGGTTCCAATTTGTAGTGTATATTTTTTAAATAGTCTATATATTCTCTTCTGTTTTCCTCCTTAGCCCAAAGATTGAAGTTATTTTTTAAAATATTTAAAATATAGAAAAGTAAAAACTAAAATTTACTCACATTTATTCTACATAGAAATAACTAGTTTTACATCTTTCTAGATGTACATGCCTATTTAAGTTTCAGATATATATCCTTTTTCAAAAGAAGTGAAACATTAAAGTCACTACATTAGCCTCCCTCCAGATACAAGCACTGTCATAAGTTTGCTTAATGTTTTCAATATTTTTGTATAAATATGTATCCATTAATATAGTGTTTCGTGTTTTAAACTTTACGTAAGTGGTATCAAACTGTACTTACCTTCATGCAATTTGCACTCATCTATGTTGTACTTTTTTTGCTTCTAGAAGTTCTCTTTGGTTCTAATTCAACTATGCTAGCTTGTCTTGTACTTCTTTAAACATAGTAAGAAAACTTTTTCCAATAATACCCAAATCTGAAGTCTTTGGATATGTTACTGCTGAAGTTTCTATCACTTCTCACTCCTGGTTCCTTGTTTCCCTGTATGCTTTTTTTTTTTTTTCCATGAGTTCACTTTTTTAAATTATAGTTCTTCAAGGCCTAGGATGCAGGTGTGTTCTTCCATAAAGGGCTATTTTGCCTCTGCCAGGTGCCTGGAGGCAGTACCAGTTTGAGACCACTTTAAAATGGCTTGGAGCTTATTGAAATACCCAGGTGATGTGATTTCAGCTTCAAGTCCTCAAGGACAATTTGTGGTGACAGGTTTATTTTTCTCCCTCGGTCTGTCCAGCACCAGAAGAATGCTCCTTGTAGTATCCTGGGGATAGATTATAGTATGTATTTACTTCTAGAAGATTCTTAACCTGAGGTCTTGTCTGTAGAGCCCAACTTGAATGGAGAGGAGTCAGGAAGAGAATTCTCTCTCATTAAACTTGGACATTTGGTTTCTGCCCATATGTCTTGACCTTGGTTGGATTTCTCTATTCCTCACTGTGAAAGAGTATCAAAACCCACATTTAGGTTTCCCTAACTTGGCAGATGCCTCCATCTTCAGTTACTACTCCCTCTCCAAGCTGCTGCTTTCACTTAGACTTAAAACATTTGCTGTCTTGTAACTCTTGGTGGTCATCAGAGAAGGGGTAGGGCACAACAACAGAGCCTGCCATGTTACTGGAAATGGAAGACCCGCCTGTCAACTTTGGCGAGTTCCATGATACCTACATTAGGGTTTACGACATTTATATTCTGATCTATAGCCATAATTCCCACAATTGTTTTTAGCTAGAGGTAGACCGAATTTGCACAGTGAAACATATTGATGCCGCCCCAGCCCTGCATGAGCTCGTCAGGGATCTCTGGGGCATCTCTGGCATTTTCCTGTGATGAATTCCAGTCTTCCTGCAGAGATTTCTCTGGATAAGCAGGGCATGTTTACTCTCGTTTACCATGTGAAGTTGATAACAGCTGAGACTTCATGATGCTGGTCAAGGCAAAGTGGTTATATCTGGATTTAAAATTGTTTTGAAACCTCTAAAAAATCTGAAATATGTGGCTATTGCCAGAACATGAGCAGAATATAGAAGAATGGAACAGCCCTATTTAATAGCATATTAATAGCATACCTGGATTTTTCTTCAATATCTGGAAGAAGTTAAGAGGGCATAAAAATGAGGTTTGAATTCATTTCCTTGTTTAAAATGAAAATAGATTTAAAGAAATGTTTATCGTGTGTGAGCAATCTGCTTAGAGTCATTTCTCAGCTCCCTTCAGATGATGCTTGGTGATCACACTGGACTTCTCTGGGAGAGGTTCAGGTTTAGGTTTTGCAAAGGCAGAATGAAAAGCAACACCTAGAAGACAGCATGGCAATTTCATCCCTTCCTCCAGGGTCAAAATGTGCAGCTGGTGCTTCTTGCATCATGGGTTCCACACCTCCATGCCTAATGTCTAAGGAGTGAAGGCACATCTTCTTGGACTAACCCCCACTGTTCCATGGCCATTCTGTCCCAGTTAAGCCCTGGCAGGAAGCCAGCATCTTACCTAGGCAACATCTTTGCTTGCAACCTGTCTCATGCTTCCATCCAAACCATGTCCTGGCCATGGCTGGAGGAAGCAGATGGTGCCTGCGCTGATCCCCAGGTTGGAGGTCAGACCCTTCAATCAGCGTCTCAGTCATTTGGGTTTTCATCACTATGGTGACCATATAATTTATCTTCTAAAGTAGGAGACATGCCTGAGAGAGTGTGATTAATAATTAAACAGGACGATAAACATAAATTGGGAACGTCCCAGGCAAACTAGAATGAATGGCTAACCTAACTATCTCCTATGTTTCCATGATAAATCCAAATATATTGTGATACATACCTCACTTTTTCTCCAGCATTGCAATAAAAACCTGACGTTATTCTTTATTGCCAAGACAGCTTAGTCATACTTAGCAGCAAAACTAGTATTGCTAATTATTTCAATTTGATGAGTGCATACATCCATTTTTACATGACACACTAATGTCTTGCTCACAGTTTTCTGTTATCTATAGGAAGGGGAGCTTGATTTGTTACCTTAGTTAATTATCCAAAGTTTGTTGGTAGGGTTATGGTGCTTTTTGGTGGTAAATTCACTCCATTAATAATAGTTGTAATCCAGCAGCAGCTAACACTCATGGGTTATATTGCATGCCAGGCCCTGTGCTAGGAGCCTCAATATCTCATTTAACCCTCACATCCACCCGGGAGGAAGGGACTATGATCATCCCTGCTCCACCAGTGAGGATACTGTGTGTGTATGTGGAACTGGTTGAATATATAAACAATCCGTGCTCTTGGGCACATTATATGGCCTTTATTCCTAGCTAGGGAATTTTTTCTATTTAATGTTTCTTTTAATGAAAACTAATGTAGAAATATCACTTCTAAGTCTGTCCCTTGTTCAGGGGCTTTTTCCTAGCCCAATGTGTCCGTTGTTCCAACTCAGCTTATCTTCCACACACCTGTGGACACTTGTGATTTACAAACTTCTGTGGTAGCTTCCTTTGCTTTACAAAGATATGTTAAATGGTGATTATATTGTTGCATTCTTTCAGCTGAGCCCCAACTGCTAAAGAAATGTAATTTTCATATGATAGGCACTGTGAGAGAAATTCAACTCAAGTGTTTGAAATCATTGTTGAGTGTTGCTAGATATATACTGGGTCCTATGATGGTGAATTGAAGCACTTGGTTATTAGGGGTGTTCTGTCTCCCTGGAGGTTCTAGCACCATTTCCAACAGACATTCTGTGCATTCATGAGTGTTTCCGGGCTTCAAAGACAAGACATGGCACCCACATTCACCTGGGGCCAAGAGCAGAGATGTGTCCAACACTTACTGACTTCTGGACACAGCTCCAATGAACCCCTCTCTCATGGGTATCCACAGGAGGGGCCCCACGAAAAAAAGGGGCATGTGTTCTTACATTTTTTTTTTTTTTTTTTTTTGAGACAGAGTCTCACT
The DNA here is from genome assembly GCF_000001405.40 of Homo sapiens. Classification (NCBI taxonomy): domain Eukaryota; kingdom Metazoa; phylum Chordata; class Mammalia; order Primates; family Hominidae; genus Homo; species Homo sapiens. Next base: position 126,020,976 of record NC_000010.11, on the reverse strand, counting down.
CTGTCACCTAGGCTGGAGTGCAGTGGCACGATCTCAGCTCACTGCAACCTCTGCCTCCCGGGTTCAAGCGATTCTCCTGCCTCAGCCTCCTGCGTAGCCTGGGATTACAGGCATGTGCCACCATGCTAGGCTAATTTTTGGTATTTTTAGTAGAGACGGAGTTTCACCATGTTGGCCAGGCTGGTCTCAAACTCCTGACCTCAGGTGATCCGCCCGCCTCGGCCTCCCAAAGTGCTGGAGTTACAGGCATGAGCTACCACGCCCCGCCGTTTTTCTTCTATTTCTACTAAACATTTTTAAATTGCGGCATGAAGGAATGCTGATATTAATAACTATTATCTGTGTGCTGGGAACTTCCTATGCATTATTTTCTTTAATCCTCATAACAATGCTGAGATAGGTCTTTTTCCCCACATTTTCCAGAGAAAGAGGTCAAGTGACTTGCACAAGTCCCAAAGCATCATTTTTGGCTAAAACCTAGCGTGGAATAACCCCACCTTCCCTGGCCAGCTCCCTCACACTGGCTTCTGGTCAACACAGCCCTGCCCCTTAGTGTGTTTACAAAGCTTGACTTGCCCCTCAGACCACTGCATCAATTCTCTGAGCTTATGAGAAAGTATCTAGTGGAAGAACTTCAGTGTATTTCGCGGAGCCTTCAGAGCAACATGTGGAACAGCGCCTGCACGTGGCAGACTGAGCACAACCATCCTCACCGTCTCATCCACCCACAGATGAACGAGTCCTGCTATGTGATGTTGGCAAAACTGAAGAAACGAATGTGATGTTTGAAAAGATTTTCACCAACTTCTTATTTTAGGGTGAACAGAGAAGCCGCCTAACTAAAAGCACAGGAAAGTGTGTATCCTCAGGGTGACACTGACAGAGAAACCCCAACATCAACGCTACCCCAGGGCCCAGGGGCAGTCCAGAAGCCCCATAGTTGAGTGTTTATAACTACGATCCATGGATAAGTCTTAAATGTTACAGAAAATTTTGGCAAGAAGATTAACAGAGGTCAGCCTCCACCCACCTTGTATGGTGACAGGATGATATTCAGGAAGCAGGGCCTGTGCCAAGCGGCAGGCCCTGCTTCTCAGGGGCCTCTGCTGGCTCCTGGTAAGTGACCCTGCCTAACCCTATGTTTATTGCAGGGGACCTGTAAGCCAAACCCCCCTCAGAAGCCTCTGCCTGCAGATCCTCTGGCCAGAACAACTCGGCTCACTCATGCCTTGGCCAGGACCCCAGGACAATGGGAGACTGGGCTCCGCCTGGCACCCCTCAGGTTTGTGTGACATGCCATGCCCATCTCTTTCTCTCTCAAACTCTTGTGGGACCAACCACGACTAATCCAAGCCAGGACAGGGGTGCAGTGGTCTAGGCCGTGCTTCCTGCTCCCCCTACAACTGGGAATACCGTAAAATAGACATGACAATTACCAGGAAGGAAGCAGTCCCTGTGAGCTTATAATCACAGGCATTGGCACACAGTGCCTATCAACAGCCACAGTGGACCTAAGAGAGCAAATCAAGATGTCATAAAACTACAGTACCTCAGAAAGCCAGGCCTGTAAGACACAAAGAAAAAGAGGAGCTACCAAGTAGCATGACAGTATGAAGACTGGACACCTGTGTTAGTCTGTTCTCACATTGCTATAAAGAAATATCGAAGACTGGGTAATTCCTAAAGAAAAGAGGTTCAATTGGCTCACAGTTCTGTAGGTTGTACAGGAAGTATGGCAGCATATGCTTCCGGGGAGGCCTCAGGAAACTTACAATCATGGCGGAAGGGGGAGCCAGCACTTCACATGGCTGGAGCAGGAGAAAGAGAAAAAGGGGAGGTGCCACACACTTTTAAACAACCAGATTTAATGAGAACTCCTATCACTTAGAACCAAGGAGATGGTGCTAAACCATTCATGAAGGATCTAGTCACCTCCCACAAGGCTCCACCTTCAACTTTGGGGATTACAATTTGATATGAGACTGGGGCAGGAACACAGATTCAGACCATCTCAATGCCCACCTCCACAACTCTCAGCAGAATCTGCCCAGTTCCTGAGGTCCTGAGACATTAGTCGGGTTGGAGGCATACGGCTGGAGCAAGGGACATATGGGGAGTAAGGGAAAGCAGCTGCCTGGCAGCAGGACACTGGGAAAACAGGGACAATGGGCAAAAGGAATCACCTTTCACAGCTTATCCTGCTTGGTCCACTAGGAAGGCAGAGACCTCAATCCCAACTTATGCTGGGAGGCTAACCCCATGGTGTAGGGGAGCCAGCTTACCCTGGTTGGTGAGAGATAACCAATTTCCAGGAATTTTGCAAGCTAGGTGTTAAACCTAGCCAATATTAAGGATTAAATTATACAAATTTATGATATTTTATATTAGAAACAAAGGTAATAAGTGCTCAAAACTCACTTCACATTTTTCTCCATTTTGCTATAATTGTCTGTGCTCTTGAGATTGCACTCATCCATTATTTCTGTATGGCAGAAAACCTAGGTCATGGTAGCTGCCTGCATCTCTTCCATGTTTAGTGATGTCAGGTGGTAGCTTGAAACCAGCCACAGGAGGAGTATTTACACCATGGACATTGGCAAATACTGCAAATCAGGCTTTCCTGCCCCCAACCCCATGGGCTGTTCAACATTTACCAGCACACAGATGAGTTAAACCCACAGCCAAAGTACTCTTCTGACACACATGCCCTCTTGGCAGGAAGCCTGCTTTGTGAGCTCAAAAGAACCAAAGGTACTGTGTTGGCCAGGCCCTGGGTTCAGTAATCCTGTATCTCTGAAGGAGAAGACACACTGGAGTGATTTTATTACAGCTCTTGGGAAGAATGTTTGGCCCGTGAAAGAAAGAGCTGCTTAATAAATGTCAGAGATAAAGGCGGTCAAAGGGTCAGGACAATTGTTTAATTCCCAACTTCATAAATAGAGAAAAATTGCATAGCATCCTAATTATTTCATTGTGGTTTGCATGTTGATCTTGAAGTTATTTTTCTTGTTCTATTTGAGGAAGAAACACTACTTTACATGAAAACAATGAGGGGAAGCCCTTTTTCTTAAATGCCCTCAAGCTGTGGCCAATCTTACCTCTGGTCAGTTGCTGATTTTGGTCCTGTCCTGCACATTTCATTTTTTAGGGATACTGGGTGCCCACCTTTGCTCCCTGTTCTCTGGAGCTGTGCTGTGGGATGCAGGGACTGCTAGGCATGTTGCGCCTGGTAAAAGTCTTACTGTATTTTGAAGACTTAGTACCCTAAAATGTCAACTATCCATTTTTTTCTATTGATGATGACCTGTTGAAATAATCCTCTAGGTATACTGAGTTAAATGTATTACTAAAATTAATTGCACCTTTCTCTTTACTTTTTTCATGTGGCTACTAGAAAATTTAAAATTTCTTGTGTAGCTCACATTTTTTCTGTGGGACAGTGCTGGTCTAGAGTTGACTTGTGGGTGGGAAGTGCGGCTTTGGAGACAGGTTTCCCACCCCCGTTATGAGGGGCAGTGGTATCTGACACAGAAAACCCTTCAGACTATCAGAATACATCTCCAACCCCAGACCTCTCTATCCTCAGAATCACTTCTCAAGGTCTCTGATCATTTTTTTTTCTCCTCTCTTCATTCAGACCTGCTCCACAATATCCACACCAAGTGCCCAGATCCACCCACACCGCCTATATTAAGTGAGAAGCCGACACCTTTTTTCAACAGTGAAGACAGAAGTTTGCACTATCTTTCAGCTCCAGTTGGAGTTTTTTGTACCAACTTTTAGGATTTTTTTTAATGTTTAAAACATCATTACTATAAGAACTTTGAGCTACTGCCGTCAGTGCTGTGCTGTGCTATGGTGCTCTGTCTACTTGCTCAGGTACTTGTAAATTATTAATTTATGCAGAATGTTGATTACAGTGCAGTGCGCTGTAGTAGGCATTTTTACCATCACTGAGTTTTCCATGGCAGGAAGGCTTGTTGTGCTTTTAGTATTTTAGTGAACTTGAAATATCCTGCTTGATGGGATTCTGGACAGGATGTGTTTGCTTTCTGATCAAGGCCTTATTGGAAAGCAGTCCCCCAACTACCCCCAGCTGTGCTTATGGTACCAGATGCAGCTCAAGAGATCCCAAGTAGAATCTCAGTTGATTTTCTGGATTCCCCATCTCAGGCCAGAGCCAAGGGGCTTCAGGTCCAGGCTGTGTTTGGCTTTCAGGGAGGCCCTGTGCCCCTTGACAACTGGCAGGCAGGCTCCCAGGGACACCTGGGAGAAATCTGGCTTCTGGCCAGGAAGCTTTGGTGAGAACCTGGGTTGCAGACAGGAATCTTAAGGTGTAGCCACACCAGGATAGAGACTGGAACACTAGACAAGCCAGAACTTGACCCTGAGCTGACCAGCCGTGAGCATGTTTGGAAGGGGTCTGTAGTGTCACTCAAGGCGGTGCTTGATAGAAATGCCAAGCACTTCTTTTTCTCGCTGTCCTTTCTAGAGCACTGCCACCAGTAGGTTATTTAGCTTGGGAAAGGTGGTGTTTCTGTAAGAAACCTACTGCCCAGGCACTGCAAACCGCCACCTCCCTATACTGCTTGGAGCTGAGCAAATCACCACAAACTGTAATACAATGATCCTGTATTCAGACAGATGAGGCTTTCCATGGGACCACAACTATTTTCAGATGTGAACCATTAACCAGATCTAGTCAATCAAGTCTGTTTACTGCAAGGTTCAACTTATTAACAATTAGGCAGACTCTTTATGCTTGCAAAAACTACAACCAATGGAATGTGATGTTCATGGGTATAGTTCATGTCTGCTATCATTATTCGTAGATATTGGACAAAGAACCTTCTCTATGGGGCATCCTCTTTTTCCAACTTGGCTGCAGGAATCTTTAAAAGATGCTTTTAACAGAGTCTGAACCTATTTCTTAAACACTTGCAACCTACCTGTTGAGCATCACAGAATGTGATAAGGAAATCAACTTGCTTATCAACTTCCTAAATATTATGAGATGCTGGCTTGGGCAGCATCCCCTTGAACTCTTCACTCTTCAAATGCCTGACTAGGGAGCCATGTTTCACAAGGTCTTTAAAGTGACTAATGGCATGAGAAATACAAAAATACTCAGATAAGGTAAAATGCCATGATGCCTCTGTCTTCTGGACTGGTTTTCACATTAGAAGACAATTGACAACAGTTACATAATTCACTCTGAGTGTTTTATGAGAAAGCCTTCTTTTGGGGGTCAACAGTTTTCCTATGCTTTGAAACAGAAAAATATGTACCAAGAATCTTGGTTTGCCTTCCAGAAAACAAAACTGCATTTCACTTTCCCGGTGTTCCCCACTGTATCTAGGCAACATAGTATTCATGACTATGGATAAACTAAACACGTGACACAAACACACACAAAAGGGAACCCAGCTCTAATACATTCCAACTCGTATAGCATGCATCTGTTTATTCTATAGTTATTAAGTTCTTTAAAATGTAAAGCCATGCTGGAAAATAATACTGCTGAGATACATACAGAATTACTGTAACTGATTACACTTGGTAATTGTACTAAAGCCAAACATATATATACTATTAAAAAGGTTTACAGAATTTTATGGTGCATTACGTGGGCATTGTCTTTTTAGATGCCCAAATCCTTAGATCTGGCATGTTAGCCCTTCCTCCAATTATAAGAGGATATGAACTGAGTTTTTCTTTTGTTGTTTGTTCTTAGCTGTAATTCCTATGCTTCTATTTCAGAGAGCCAGGAGAGTTTGATATTAAAGGAGGTTAAAACTGTGATCTTATGCCATGTCATCAATGGCCACTTAGGGGCCATGGCTGATGACACATTCTTATCTCTACAGTACTAATGTGTTATTATAGAGCCATGCATTTTATTTCTGAATAAGAACATATTTAAACTAATATTCCCTTACAATATGGACAGTATTAATCCTTCCAAGATGCAGTATTTATCAAGTGAAGCATATTTAGCAGCAAATTCCATTTTAACATAACTTAGGAACCAATAACCAGGGTGTTTTGTGGTTGGGGGAGGCACGGGGTGGAGTATTCTTTTTTATATCCTCAAAACAAAAAAAATCAATACTTATATTTCAATGGCAATCTAGTATTTTTTTAAAAGACTGTATAGGCATGAATAATAGAGGTGGTTTGAGTTTTGTAGGGCCATCACCTGGAAAGTCAATGTGACTAGACACAAAGTAGCCCAGAGGCTACTTTTCTTCCTACAGCTTATTATAGTTGTAGGTTCTATGACCTCACTTCATGGGTTCCAGGCAATTCCGCTGAAAGGTTTGTCTCCTGAAATTTTTTAAGTTTGTTTTCCTGACACATGTAATCAGATGTGTAGCAACCGAGGGAAACGAAGCCTAACATTCTCCATTGTGGAAATACACACAGGAGGTTACATTTCACAGCGTGGATTTTTCCAGCTTACACATGTGGGATGACATCACAGAAACCACAAAAGCAGCAAATTAAACTGTAGGAGAGTCAATACTCCTGACGAGTCTCGGGGGGGGGGCATTTTTATGCCTTCTTAACTTTATGAGAATTCTCAGGCTGAACTATAGGCCATTGTTCCCAGGCAAATCAATACATCAATGCATCCTCAAAAAAAAAAAAAAAAAAAAAAAACCGGCTAAAACTGTGTCAAAATGTTCTTAAGGAGCCTATGGTCTCCACGGTGCTAAAAAGAGCCTGGTGCTGGGCCGACTGGCAGGGCTGAGCATCCTCCTGCCCCCTCGCCACTGATGTTTACTAAGCACTCTGAGCCAATGAGACCCCCAGCAGCAGAAAGGGCACAAGGTGGCGCCAGGGCAGCAGGGCCAGATCTTTCTCATGCACCTCGACCTCTTGCAGACTTTCTTCGTGAGATGTACTACTCATTTCAAAACTGCTTTGCAGGGCTCCCCTATGTATTCGGGGGGCCCACGGCACACTCAGGCTGGAGATCCTTCCTCACTGCGCTCAAGATGGCCTCAGCCAGACACCAGTTACCCAGCTGAAAGTCACAATCCCTCCCAGAAGTCTCCCAACACTAGTGCTGACCAGAGGTGGGGCTCTCAGGCTAGGAGTTTCACACACAATGACAGGCTGCTGGGGGACATTGCAGGACCCCTTTTCCTCTCCTCTCCATGCTAGAAGCCAGCCCTAGGCAGCTGCAGTTACTCCCTGTGACTCAGCAGCAGGCTGATTCAACACAGCTGCCCACACAAAGCCAGTGGCTAATACATCTGTTTACCTTTCCCTATCACCCAGACACAAGCCCCTTTCCCAGGTCAAACCACAGGCCGATGCATCTCCAGTTTGACAGTCAAATCACTACTTCCATTGCTACTTTAGATCAGCCAAAGTGGTGACTGCTGCAGTGTGTGGCTATCCCTACAAGGCCCACCCAAGGGATGCCCAAAGCCCAACCTTCTCCAGGGCTGCAGCCCAGAGCAACCCCACCAGCCTAAGTCCAGCAGAGGACCTCCCACCCAATGTCTTGTTCTAATTAGAAGGGGAAGTTAGCCACAGAAAATCAACTTATCTATAATTACAAAATTCTCTTGACTCACCTTAAAGTTCCTATTGACATCTACTGCTTTTAAACCTATTTGAAAACTCTGATACTAAAACAAATGACACTCTAAGAAAGTTTGGGAGCCCCATGCTGAGAACCATTTCTGTGCAGTGAGGATGTTTCCAGAAGCTACTTACCTACATGTGAATGTGCCATTTTCTTTCCTTTTGTAGAGAAAATCCCCTTTACTTTTTGGAACAGTAATGGCAGCTTCTAGTACAGCCATTACAGTTTCATATGAGAAAAATTAAGAATAACTATAAAATTGTTAAAATATCCAATAATGGATAATGATGGCCAGAAGATTTAACATACAAAGTAATTCTCAATGTAAAGCTATTCAGCTCTTCCAGGTTGAATGCCCTGTAACCCACCCTGACCTTCCACATCATCTTCAAAAAGCAGTTTCTCTGTTCCCCATGATTCTCCTATAAGGTAACTCTTTAGTCCTCCATTTAGCACATTTTAAATCCTCCAAAGAATAAGTATCATGTGATTATTTTAGCTTTACAAAAAAAAAGTTGAATGGCGTTTTATTTTCATGGCCTATAAGCAGGTACCTTAGTAGGGCAGATATAGGAAAAACAAATTAGAGCAAAACAAATCCTCTACAAATCCAAGGCAGGAAAAGTGGTGGCAGAGTGACTCATTCTCCTGTCCCTCCCATCAGGTCAAATCAGGAGGCTGCAGTGAATGCCTGTTCTTTGAATGTGTAGCAGTTGTTCCTGTAACTCTTTAAAACTTGGCTATAGGCTGTTTAGCACAGTACAGATTAAAGATACAGTTACGTAAACAGCAAAGTAATTTTATAGTGCTTCATCCATTTATCATGCTTTGGTTTGCTAATTTTTTCACATACCTTTTTCTATCACAGTCTGTTGCTTTTGTACACATTTCTCATATTGGGGTTCGACAGGTAAACACAAACTGCTATTTCAGTAGAAAAAGTTATTGTTATGAATATTAAACCCAATAAATTGTATAAAGGTAAATATCAATGTGTCTCTCATTTGTTACTGAGAATGTTACAAAAATTGGCGGAAGGCCTTCATGTAGAAAAATGTATTCTCATTCATTTATAGATGCTTGAGAAAAGTTTGGAGCAGTACATAAGAAACTAAGAAGAATGGTTGGCAGGGTGGGGGTGCATAAGGGGTGTGTGCTACCAACCTCATGAACGTGTGAGACCACGGCACAGGAAGGAAGATGCTCACACACAACACGGGGGGTGGGGCATGATATGGTTTTTGAACAATGTGAATGTATAACCTAATTTTTTAAAACTCATCTATTTACATAAGAAATCCAAAAAGCAAGCAAGCAGTGGTAGAGACAATATCGGAGTTATTTGGTATGAAAAATCTAAGTGTAAATAGATACCTATTTAAAAAACACAGCATCCAACTTAATAAAACTACAGAAAATACAAAAATACAAATACAAAATGCTAACAAGAATAAAGGAGTCTTTTTTTTTTGTTTTTTAAGACGGAGTCTCACTCTGTCACCCGGGCTGGAGTGCAATGGTGCTATCTCAGCTCACTGCAACCTCCGCCTCCTGGCTTGAAGCAATTCTCCTGCCTCAGCCTCCTGAGTAGCTGGGATTACAGGCACGTGCCACCACGCCTGGCTAATTTTTGTATTTATAGTAGAGATGAGGTTTCACTGTGTTGGCCAGGCTGGTCTCAAACTCCTGACCTCATGATCCGCCCACCTTGGCCTCTCAAAATGCTGGGATTACAGGTGTGAGCCACGGCACCCAGCCGAAGAAGTCTTTATTCTTACCACTCTCCACCTATGATCACACAAGCTGGCAAAAATTAGTACATACAGAACTTCAGACATAATTGATATATATCAAACAGGATACTCCAAACATACAGAATATATCATCTTTCCAAGTGCCTTGGAGGAATAAAAATTCTCAAAAAATAATTCCATACCCTAGAAATGAATTGATTCATTAGTTTTCAAAGATGAATTGCAGATTAGAAAACAGCAAGTGAAAACATTTCTAATAGCACATGTGATGGTAGGGATTCTCAAGATCTTAGAATTAGAAGACCTCACTTGTGATGCTTGTTCAAACCCATTAAAATCCATTGCTCATGCCCTTTCCCTGAAGATTCCAATTCAGAGAGCAGAGATGGGGCTACGAAATGTGTACTTAGCAAGTTCTCCCAGTTGAATTTTTCATTAGAAAAGTTTAGAAAACTTCTATGATAATGTAACTAAAGCACTGCTGGGGGAAAATTCATAGCCCTAAATCTATAAATTAATTTGTAAAGGATGAAAAAGGGAACTTAATATCTACTATAAAGTTATAAAAGGAACAATAAAATAAACCCAGGGGAAAAAATAGAAGAAATGAATTTGTAGACCTAAGGATAAGTTCATTAGAATACAGTAGAGCTAATAAAACTATGAGTTGCTCTTTAGGAAAATTCTAACAGTGTATACGCCACTTTCTAATCTCATTAAGTAAAAAGAAGAAAAAGAGCAAACATACATAGCATATGAGCATGAAGAATCCTGCAGTCCACCATAACCCAGGGAGATGATCTCAAGAATATAAGGATGGTTCAATATCGATCGGGAGGGTGGGCAGTTTTGCCAAGCTTGATGTCAACCAGAAGGGATGCACACTCCTACCATAAGAGCAGGCTAGTGAATACAGTCTACAACAGACCAAAAAATGAAACTAAGGTGAACATCAACATTGACCACCAACCAAAGGAGGGACCTCTGGAGAGTTGTAAATGTGCTCCAATTTTTAAAGAGGTTTTAAAAACCTAATCTGGCAAATCTAAAGGAATTTGCATTTGTACAAAAGGTAAAACACTCATGAAATATCTAAGGAATGGACTATATATGGTCCACAAATCCAATTCCTAAAACGAATATTCTGTGGGCTCTTTGGAATAAAGCTGATTGCTAACGTCAATAAAATTGTGTGCTTTTTCTCTATGCCCCTCAGCAAAAGCTTTGGAGCTTTAATTACCTTTTATTAGGCTTTCCCTACAGGAAAAAAAAAATCCACTCCTCTACAGACCTATGTAGCTGGTTTTCCCATGGGGTCAAGTTAACCAGTGTCTCTCTGGAGACATAAACTCATGTGGTCTGTGTGCTCACTTTTTTGCTGATTTTGAAGTGTGTTTGCTGAGTTGAAGCTCTACCACATTTGTGTCTTTAAGCTCCCAACCAGCAGACATGGTTGCAGTTAATTCCTACTTGTCTAGGAACTGCATGATCAGCATCAGAAAACCTTCTGCTCTGAAGACAAAATTTAATATACTACCCTTTGGCTACATCGTCCACCCATCAGCAGGCTGAGTCTTCCATTGTCAGGGCATGAGTATATGCAAACACATTAGACCTGTCTGTGGCCAAAAAGGCTGACCCTCAATCAGACACCTCCAATAGAACAGAATCAGAGTCCTGAAATATGTATTCTGAGCTTTGATGTGAGGCCAACAGCTGAAGAGAAAACTCCTGGGCTTTTCGGAGGAGCGCCACTCCAGGAGGGAGCAGCGGCCTGACAACCAGCCTGGAAGCCCTAAGTTGGGAGGGGAGGATTTAATTGAAAACACATGAGGGAAAGAATTCCAACAAGGCCTAGCATGGTAGAAGGACAGCTTGCGGGGCAGGAGCCGGGAGTGGGAGACCCCATGTGTGTTTGTGTAGCTCCGGTGCATAAATATTTTGTTTCATGTCTAACTCCAAAAGGCGCAAGTGCAAGAAAACATCCCCATTCTACAGACACCCAATGATGGTACCACATACGCACATGCTTAGGTAAAAAGATGTATTTCAAAGTGGGATCAGTGAATCTTCAACTAAATAAATAAATGTACAGCCCCCCAAGATGCAGAATTTCCCATCCCTAGTTTAACAGTCACGGTTCACTTTGTTTTACGTGCGTTTCGCAGATGAGTGGTGCTCTCATCAGCAGACACAAGACTTCTTTGGCCTCTGCTTTTTTTTCCTTTCTTCTAATAAGGAGACTACACTCTAGATAAACAAAACAGACAGGCGAATGTAATCCAGGGTTTTGGTGGTTTTTCTGAGTCTAGAAGGACTAAAAATTAGCCTTGATAGGCAGAAAGAGCATCCCAACCTGTCTGTCAAAAACTCTGGCCATTTCTAGGACACCTTTGCCGAACTGAAACAGGAAACAACAAAAATTTTACATGCTTATAAATGTTTTCTCCCCCTCCGAGGAAAATCTTTACATAAAGATGGACTCATTTACCTCATTTTTTACACTTGCATCTGCCCCTTTGTCAAGAAGTAACTGAACTAACTCTTCATGATTATTTAACACAGCCACCTAGAAAACAAAACCCAGGGTGGTGTGCATGAGCTTCTCCCTCCAGGGCACACACAGCAGGGGGCATGAGCCTGGCACATGCAGGGTCCCAGCAGCCCCCCTGCAACCCCAAAAGACCACTGTGGCTTTGCATGGCCTGCAGGCACAGCGCTTCCTCTGCAGCTGTATGGTAGCAACTCCAGAGAAAATGGAAAATGGACTCCCTCTATCCACACTAAAACCAGAACAGAAAGCAGCTTGTTCTTTGTTTCACCAGTTCTGTTTTGATCCCACAGTGGTCCTGGGGACAGGGGTTCTTTAGTCCTTAAATAGTTGTAAAAAGACAACGAAAGTATTCTAGTGACAGCCTCATGCCCTTATGAACAAGCCGACAGGGAACACACACACACAGTCAAACCCAAGGGCTGGTGCAGGGCTGAACTCACAAGAATTGTCTAATTACAGAAAAAGCTCTGACATTAATTCCACGTAGAAAACTGCCTATTTTCGGGAGGAGGACCTACCATAAGGGGCGTCTTTCCATTTCTGTCCTTCACATTCACATTGGCCCCAGCATCAATTAGAAGAGAGGCCACCCTCTGATTTCCCGACACCGCAGAGACTCTCATGAGTGGGGTCCATCCTGAACCAGTGTCCACGACGTCTACCTGTTGGGCCAGAGAAACAGCTGTGTTGAGCCCAATTTCTTTTTCTTAAAATGATTCAAACTTATAAAAGGAATATTTGCTTGCCCCAACACCCGGACTTAGATAGCCGTCTTTCTATATTTGGTTCATTGCACTGTGCTAATTTAAGTCACATTTTGGTGCTGAGAGGCCCCAGGGTCTCCCCACCGGCTTCTTCATCTACATCCTTTAAAGTGGAAAAAAGATGGGCTAGAAAAGTTAACTGAACTACTTTCCACTTGGCCCCTGGGGAGTTCTTATTTTCTCTTGCCTAACTTTCCTCACCTAGCATTCATTTTTCTTACTTTTATGTATTGTTGTAAGCAGCTTTACATCCTTTCTGGAACAAGACAGTAATAATATATATACACACTTATACTTACTAATACTTATCAATTTTAGGCAGGAGACCTACAGGTAAAATACAGAACAACCAGATTCATTACACAAACTCTGTCTGAAAAGTCTGACTAAAGGCTTCTCCAAAACAGTGTGCCCAGTAATCAGATGGCTGTTTCCTGATCATCTTCTCTACACTGAAATCTCTCAATTTAGTGTTTTAAAATAAATATTTTAGATTAAGAAAATGTAAATATTGTCGCTTCCAATTCCAATGAAGACATCGCCAATCCATGAAGAGTGGTGCTGAAGTAAAGACAGATACGTGTTTGTGCTCAGACACGCACACACACTCGTGTGTGCACACACGCATACCATGTGCACATAAGCACACATGAGCACGTGCACGCACACACACAATCTGTTACAGAAGAATTACTCAAAGATGATCCATAGCTTTAGTAAAACATCAGAATGGAAAAACAAACAAGGAATTTCCAGGAGATCTTGGGAGCACTTCAGGGTATTTCTACATATAAGATTATCCACTGTAACATGATTTGGATTTGCAGCTCTTCTTCATGCAAAGAACTAACCTGTGGGCAACACACTCCATTATATTTAAAGAATAATAAAATAAGCACCTCATATTACATGATGCTTTACACAGCTTTCAACCCTCTTTACACACACTTTCTCTTTTGGTCCTAAACGTTAATCAGAGGTAGGTATTTTTATTCTTGGTTTACAAACAATCAAAATAAACCTCAGAGAAGTGCCTTTCCTGAGATCACATGGATCATTAAATGCACAAATGAATAAGTCAGTCGCCAAGTAAATAAGTCACTCTTAGTATATGATCATTACATTTGGGAAGAAGGTGGTGATTGGCTCTCAAGTCCTTCCCATGGGCTTCAGAAGCATCAGGTGAGCCACCTGCCAGAATATGGAAAGACTCATGTTGACATCATCCATCCGCCACCAGGCCAGTCATGTGGAAATCTATAGTAAACACATCCATGCTTATTGTTCTGTCCTCTGCAAAGTAGTTCCAGTGCTTCAAAGAAAGATGGAATTTATCCCAAATAAGTATATTCATATCTGAAGCCCAGAGAGCCTACATTTCCAAAACTCCAGTATTTAAATGTTGATAGCAGAGATTTGCCCTATTGTGAATGATTTATTTATTTGAGATGGAGTCTCACTCTGTCACCCAGGCTGGAGTGCAGTGGCACAATCTTGGCTCACTGCAACCTCCACCTCCTGGGTTCAAGCAATTCTCCTGCTTCAGCCTCCCTAATAGCTGGGATTACAGGTGCCCACCACCACGCCTGGCTAATTTTTGTATTTTTAGTAGAGACAGGGTTTCACCATGTTGGCCAGGTTGGTCTCAAACTCCTGACCTCAAGTGATCCACCCGCCTTGGCCTCCCAAAGTGCTGGGATTACAGGCATAAGCCACTGTGCCCGGCCCCGATGCTTGACTTCTTTCAGCAAAGTACAACCTTCTTTTTCAACCACAGACTTTCACTAGGTGCAAAACCTGCCCAGAATTCATCATAAACCAATCAAGGAGTGTGTGGCTGTCACTACCACACATGGCACGTGGGCCCGGCTCTACTATGGAAGCCCACTGACTCAGCCTTCTGCCTCTGTGCCTGTCTCTAAAACATAAGGAAAATAAGAAATGTAATAAATTTTTAATGACTGAGATTTTTCCTATAAGGGGGCACTTTTCTTAATTCTCCAAAAGCAGCAGCAGGAACCAGATAGATCCCATAACTGCAGTCTCACTTTCCCTCAATTACCCTTCAGAAACAAACTAGAAGAAATCTACTGACATCTTCCAGGAGACATGACTTTTCTCAATTTGAGTTGATTTTCCAGGTCATCGACTTAATTTCTCAGCACTCTACACACCATCTGGCAGTCACAGATAGCACAGAACTTTGTCCATCATTCTTTAGTTCCATGCTTTGAAATTTTTAGCTAATTTCTTCAAAGTCTTGAAATAAAGTTTTCAAAGTTACCAGCAATTTCCATAATTGATCTAATTCTAATTACCCATCTTCAAATATCTATAGACGTCCAACAACACTGCTTCTATTTGCTAAATCAAATTTGCAGTTTCTGATAACGTGAAATCAAAAGTAGACCACTTGCCTGTTTCCAGGTAAAGATGCAAAGAACTGAAATGTTTTATTCTTGATATGGTCAGTTTCCTCTTTGGAAATTTTTTGTAATGACTAATCTTTAAAACAAACCAAGAATAAAAATTACCTAATTTTAGAAGTAACAAGAAGCACAATGGCTATAAGGGCTCTCTTAATATCTTTGTATCTCCGCCATTTGAAATAATATCTGGTACATGCTTAGTAAAGCTTTGGTGACAGACTGAATGGAGAGAGAAGCAAATGAACAAAAGAACAAAGTAGAAACATCAGGCTGGGCACGGTGGCTCACACTTGTAATCCCAGCACTTTGGGAGGCTGAGGTGGGTGGATCACTTAAGGTCAGGAGTTCAAGACCAGCCTGGCCAACATGGTGAAACCCCGTCTCTACTAAAAATACAAAAATTAGTTGGGCATGGTGGCATGTGCCTGTAGTCCCAGCTACCAGGGAGGCTGAGGCAGGAGAATCGCTTGAACCTGGGAGGCGGAGGCCTCAATGAACCGAGATCGCGCCACTGCACTCCAGCGTGGGCGACAGAGTGAGACTCCATCTCAAAAAAAAAAAAAAAAAAGAAAGAAAGTAGAAGCATCAGGTCCAGCTCTGGATTCAGACCTGTTTCTTTTCCCTACACAAGATAAACCCCCATGACAATCGGAAAGCTCACTCTCATGTCCATTCTAAGGTTTCAGGGGCTTTCTTGCTAAGTCAGAAAACTTTCTCCAGCATTTCTAAGGTTAGCTAATCAAAGGCCCTGCTTCTGCCAGACCCCATGGAGCAGCATTTCAGATTCTTAACGATATGTGCGTGGTTAACAAGGCAGGTCCCGTACCTCACAGCCATCCTTTATCATCCACTCAATCACACTGCAGTGGCCTCCATCTGCAGCCCAGTGCAGAGCTGTACAGCCTCCCAGGTCTCTAGCCTGCCAAGAAGCGCCATGTCTTCGGAGATATTTCACAACATCTAGGTGTCCCGCATAGCACGCCAGCATTAGACTGCAACATATGGAAGAAGCGGCATTTGACAATAAGCACAGTCACCAAACTCAGCTCCACCTTTTACCCTACCTGGCTTAAACCAAGAAATCCTAACTTGAGTGGAAAAGCCATGGGAACTGTTCATATAAAACGTACACGTATCCATCAACTGATGTACAAAATGTGGTATATCCATACAATGGAATATTAGAAATGAAGTGCTACAAACATGCATGAACCTCGAAACACTGTGCTGAAAGATGCCAGCCATGAAAGGCCACATATTGTCTGATTCCATTTATACGAAATGTCCAGAACAGGCACATCTGCAAGACAGAACTAGCAGGTGAGCGGTTGCCTGCGGCTGAAGGGAAGGAGTAATGGGGTGTGATTGCTGAAGAGGGCAGGGCTTCTTTCAGGGGGGCAGGGGATGAATATTCTGGAAGTAGATAGTAGTGGTGGTTCCACAACTTTGTGAATACATTTTTAGATGTTGAATTGTATGTTTTAAAAGGTGAATTTTATGGTATCTGAATTATATCTCAATAAAAAATGAATAGTGACTGTAACTGAGGGTAAAATATTGGATTTTAAAACATCCAAAGTCCATGATATTCAAAAAAGAGAAAAAGGAAAAAAAATACTCATTTGACACTATTAGAGATAACTATCAAACCAATTTCTTACTCTAAAAATTGGTATTTAAAAATTAAATATTTTCTTTTTTTTTTTTTTTTTTTTAAGGATAAAATGTAGTCCATCCCCAGTTGGTGGGGGGAAGCTGTTTTTCACAGAAGACTGCCAACTAATAAATATAAAAGGAACCATAGAGTTAGAAAAACCCTTATTTGCAATTCCCAATTAAATAATTGATTCAGGCAATAAAATTATTGGCACTGAAATGATTGGGTAAAAGTTAATGGGGAGGCCAGGCACAGAGGTTCACCCCTGTAATCCTAGTACTTTTGGAGGCCGAGGTGGGTGGATTGCCTAAGCTCAGGAGTTCAAGACCAGCCTGAGCAACACAGCAAAACTTCATCTCTACTAAAAATATAAAAATTAGCTGGGAGTGGTGGCAAGAGCCTATAATCCCAGCTACTCAGGAGGCTGAGGCAGGAGAATCACTTGAACCCAGGAGGCGGAGGTTGCAGTGAGCCGAGATCATGCCACTGCACTCCAACCTGGGAGAGAGAGCAAGACTCTGTCTCAAAAAATAAAAAAAATAAATAAAAAATAAAAGTTAATGGGGAATGGAATATTCACATGGCAATGAATTATCCCAGAAATTATTTTCTAAGTGCAATGGGAAAACTGTATCTTTACAGAGAAGAAAATTTGCTGTCATCATTCTAAAAAAAATAATGAAACCTAGAATCACTACCTGTGAGACAACCTGCATCACAGGCCTCCCAATGGATGTAACATGAAGTCACAACACTAGCTCTGAAGCATTCTTGCTAAAGTGTTAACCTGAGTCTAATTAAGCCTTTAATTTTTTTTTAATTCTTAAAAAATTTCACCTTATTGCCCACGCTGATTTCAAACTCATGGCCTCAAGTGATCTTCCTGCCTCGGCCTCCCAAAGTGCTGGGATTACAGGCAGGAGCCACAGCACCCAACCTAATAGAGCCCTTAAGCCTGTCTTTAACTTTATTGTTAATAAAGGGATAGATGAACAAGTGAAATGCCTGCCCCACAACCGGGAGACAAGCAAATCCAGAACATAGGACATTCTATAAGATAACTGGTCTGCTCTCCTCAAAGAGTCACTGCTATGAGAAAAAAAAAAAAAATTTAAAGAGAGGACTGGTCTAGAACCAGAGACTATAAAGAGAGAGAATGGCCAGATGAAATGTGGGAACGTCTCACCCCACAACACCCCCAAAACCCCACACCACCTCCCAAATAGAGCTGTGGAAGACCTTTGGGGAACAGGTTGGGAGACCTGCAGGGTGGTTGTGTATCAGTGATATTAAGGAATTAGTTGAAGTGTCTTAGAAGTGATATGACACGATTACTATGCAGGTTAATGACTGTGTTTTTAGGAAACATTTTCTGACGTATTGAGGGGTGAAGGGTTATGCTATCTACTAATTTCAGAATAGTTCAGCAAGAATGAAAAAAAAAAAAAAAAAAAAGGAGAGGCAAATATGGCCAAATGTCAACTGCCAAGCCTAGGTGGGGGGTATACAGGTGTTTGTTGTACTATTCTTTCATTTTTTCTAAATGTGTAAATATTTCAAAATAGAGAGTTGGAAAATAAAACAGAAGATCTTCTCAATAGGGAAACGTGCAAAGCCTCTGAGTGATAACTGGAATATCCAGCCCCCAAGGCAAGGCACAGCCGAGCTGAGATGGCGCCAGAACTCTGCAGCTGCATGTCCTCACACAGTCCCTCATTTCTTGGAGACCCCCAGAAGACAGTCAGCATGGTGCAGCACCTGCCTGCTGGGTTTAGGGTGTTCATACTGCTTTCCCAAGCACTCAAAGGTCTTTAGAATGACCTTTGCTAAGGGAAGAAAACTTCATTTTTTAAATTATATTCAAACAGAACTCTAATTGTCTGCATGACTTTTTGTTTGTTTTTTTTGAGACAGAGTCTCACTCTATCGCCCAGGCTGGATTGCACTGGCACAATCTTGGCTCACTGCAACCTCCGCCTCCTGGGTTCTAGTGATTCTCCTGATTCAGCCCCTCAAGTAGCTGGGATTACAGGCGTACAACACCATGCTCGGCTAATTTTTTGTATTTTTAGTAGAGACAGGGTTTCACCAGCCTGGCCAGGCTGGTCTCAAACTCCTGACCTCGTGATCCGCCTGCCTCAGCCTCCCAAAGTGCTGGGATTACAGGCGTGAGCCACCACGCCCAGCCTATCTGCATGATTTTTAAATAATGCCTCTTTTCTGATTATAAAGTAAGGCATGGTACCTAGAAAAAAAATCCCATATCAGAGTCACCCATAGCCTCACCTCACAGAGAACAAACTCTTAAGATTCTGTTGAATTTGCTCTAGGTGGTGAGGAGGATTGTTTAATAATCCTGGATTATTTTAACAATCCAGAGACTCCAGCCCCGGAGGCTCTGGATTGCCCAGCAATGAGCTCATTGAGACCAGGCGCTCTTCCTTCCCAGGGATAGGCACAGCCCTGAACTTACCACCTCCCACTGGCAGAAAGCCACCAAGGTCCTCCAAGGGCCAAGCAGCTGGAGTCAGCCACCAGCCCAACTGCCATCTGAACTCAAACTGCCTGGCACCCATGGGGTCTGTTATCTGCTGCTCTATAAGAATTCCCCTCTCTGGTTCACAAGGTGGGAGAAGGGGAGAGTGGCCAGGACATAGCACACTCCTGAGCACAGCCCTGCAGGGCATCCCACTGTGCCCTAGTACAAGCCCACCAGAAATGGAGGACCCGCTCCGCTTGCCTGCTGCTGAGTCCCCTGCTCAGGGTCACATTCCTAGCTCTACACAAAATCCCGTCTTTTCTCTCTTGTTCTGTATGATTTTCTCTTCTCCCTGCCTTTTAAAAGTATTATTTCAGTTTCTTATTATTTCATATACTTCCCTGTTTACTTAAGCACTGAAAACAGCATTGGCATACTAAATATTCCATCATATGAATATATCATAACACATACTAAATATTCTATCATATGAATGTATCATAACTTCAATCAGTCCATTATTGTCAGACATTTCAGTTGTTTCACATTTTCCACAATCTTAAATAAGGCAACAACAAACACCCTTACTAATCGTATTTGCATTTCTGATTATTTCCTAAAATGGGATCACTGTGTCCATGGATGTGGCTTAATATGGATGCACATTTCCAAATTGCTTTCCAGAAAGATGATACCAATTCACATTTCTATCAACTATATTTGAAAGTACAGGTTATTTCACTGCATCTTTACCAACATGATTATTTTTTAGTCACCAATTTGATAGAAAAATTGTTATTACTAGTAATGCTAAACATCTTTATATGAATTGCTTATATTGATTCTGCTATAAATTGTCTTCTTGTGTAAACTGCTTTTTTCTACTGTGTGTGGAGGCTTTTTTGGAGTATATGTATGGGCATGTGTGTGTTCTGTACATTAAAGATGCTGGTAATTTGTCTCTAATACATTTGTAAATATTTCCCTGGAATGTCCTTAACATTGTAATTAAGTTTTTAAAAATATATAATACACTCAATCTTTTTCTTAATGATTCCTTTCAATGCATTTGTTCCTTTCACATTACAAGATAAAATAATTATGCCTCTGTGTTTTCTGGTCATTTTTTATGGTTTTGTTTTTTACATTTAATTCTTAATTCATCTGGAATTTATTTTGGTACACGCTATAAGACCAGGATCTAACTTGACTTTTTCCTTCAAACATCCTATTTTTCCAATACCTTCCTCAATGGTTTATGTTACTTCTATCATCATATACCAGGTTCTTACGTAGATAGGGATCTATTTGAGGATTTCTATTCCATTCTACTTTTTTTCTGATTATTTGTTCCAGTATCATACTACATTAATTACTATAACGTTATGAGGCATTTTAATAACTGTCAAGGCAAGTCCTTCCACATTCTTCCTTGACAAAGTTTTAGTAGATATTATCTATTTGTTCTTCTAGATAAATTACAATCATTTTGACAGGTTCCCAAGAATAATTCCAGTTGAGGGTCCATTGAACCTCAATGCAGTATTTGAGAAGAACTAAAAATTGTATAATAGTCAATCTTGCCATTCTGGCATATGACATGTCTTTATTTCTTAAATTTTTATATCTCTCAGTAAGGTTTTTAGGGTTTTTTTTAATTCAGATTTCCTACCTTTCTTGTTTTCATTCTATTTCCCCATTATATTTATTAACCAGTAATTGCAGGGATTTAAGAAAGTCTTTTCTTTGCCTTGTAGCTGTCCACTTTACTGAGCCTCCTTATTAAGTCTAAGTTTTTCAAGTTGATTCTGTTGGGTTCTACAGGAAATAAATCATACCTCTTATCTCAGTTCACATCTTCTTAAGTAGATCAGCCTTCAAAATACTGTCTAATCATGAAATAACAAAATATATCTGTATTTACCATATGCCAGGAACTGTTTTAACGCATTTTTCATATTAACTCATTAAATGCCTACAAGCTATAAGTACTTCTGTTATTCGAATTTTACAGACATGAAACTGAGATACGGAGAGGTTAGGTAGCCTGCCCAAGGTCACGCCACATCCTCAGAGGGATGCAGATTTCACATCAAGCTCTCCACCACTCTCCTGGGCTTCACTACTAATTTTGGAAAGGAATTTGCCAATACTAAGAATGACACTGGCTGATTGAGATGATTTAAAAAATAAAAGAAACCTTGGTATGCTGCAATCAAAGGAATCCTTCATTCAACAGACACTTCCTGCCTCCCATGTGCCATACACTGTTCAAAGGCTGAAAGTAACCTTCACTTTAAAAAATAAGATACTTCTATCAAGACCATCCTGGCTAACACGGTGAAACCCCATCTCTACTAAAAATACAAGAAGTTAGCCGGGTGTGGTGGTGGGCGCCTATAGTTCCAGCTACTTGGGAGGCTGAGGCAGGAGAATGGCGTGAACCCGGGAGGCAGAGCTTGCAGTGGGCTGAGATCGCGCCACTGCACTCCAATCTGGAGGACAGAGTGAGATTCCGTCTCAAAAAAAAAAAAAAAAAAAGATACTTTTTAACATACATGCCAAGTTACACCCAATTTTTGTTTTGCATCTACACAAATAAAGGTTTTCACCTTTAATCGACTGATGGAAAATGTTACGTTAAAAAATTTCCTAATACCTTACCCTCTGGTATGGCCCTCATAGGAGGGATGGAAGAGATTTATAAATACCTACACACAAACAAACATACAAATAGCTTTTTTTTCCTCTATCAAATTTTAGCAATAAGGTTGTCCTCTGGAGCTTTCCAGCTTCCTCTCTGCTCTGGAAAAGCCCAAGTTTATTATCAGTGCCTAGAAAATCTGAACAGGTTCACTGGTCGAATAGTCAAGCCACAGAGCCTACATTGGAGGTAATTTTTAAATGAATTTTCTAGTTTCTTGCATGGATATTGGTTATTTCGAATTTTCTGCTTCTTGGGTTGACTTGGCGGTTTAAATTTTCTCAGAAAAAAAGTATCCATTTCAATGAAATTATCTACTATTATAGACACAAACTTCTTTTCATGTTTACATTTTCTCTATAACCAGTTATTCTTCTCTTTCAAACTTCTAATTTTTTTCTTCTTAGATTTACAAAAGATTGGTGTATCTTATTAGATAGCTTTTTGTTTAAGAGGCAACTCTCATTTCTCAATAACCTTTCTATTTTTTAATCAATGTCTACTTTTAATTCTTTCATTTTTCCTACTCTCCTCATACTTTTTTTCTTTTCCCTTTTCAGATTGCTATTTTTCTTTTCAAACTTGGAGTTGATGGCTTAGTCTCAACCTATGAGTTATTTGGAAAAATACTTTTTAAATTTATAAGTGATATTTAAGATATTGTTATTTAAAATCTATTGCTGTATTGTGTTCAGAGAATGTAAATGTAGAAGATAGGCCTTCTGATTTGAGAAGTTAGTTGGGGTTTTCTTCAAGGCCTCCCCCAGAAGGTGTTTGGCAGCTGTCTGTCGATGTCATCTACAGTGCCCAAGCCCTGGTTCTGTGTGTGTTGTGACCACAGCCCCTGAAGCCAGGGCCTGGCATTTTGCTCAGTGTTTCACCCATGTGCCAAAGCACAGCACCTGGCAAGTAGTAATCCATCAATAAACATGGGTTAGTTGGAATTTATTGATGAATGACTAGATGAGCAAGTGTTTTTAGGTCTTTCAGGAACACTCTCATCTGTCCTTTATGTGTGTCACGTTCTTCCCCTGAGCTTTTCCTATAGCGTTCTCAGCCCTCCAAGGGGACATGTGCCTCTCACCTCAGGAAAGTGCTCTTGGTGTCTCTCTTGTGGTAATTTCTGTCTGCTTCTTTAGAAACAACGAAGATTTCTTAGCAATGAATGAGGCTGAAATGCAGCGGGGGCCTGAGAGAGGCACGGGGTGCCAGGGGCAGGCGCTTGCACCCACGCCCAGCGCGGATGGCGAGAGCTGCTCTGTAGCTGCCATTTCCCGTGCACTGCGTGTCCACTGGGCACAGGGACCATGCCAGAGAAGTCACCATACGTTACAACAGATGCCCCCCTAAGCACCCTGGTGAGCAAAAGCACAAGACCATGTGAGCAAGCCAGCTTTTGTGATCACCATCTTTCCTCAGCGACCCACTCACCTCTCAGGACTGTCAAACTCAAGACAATGTTTTGGTGAAATCACAACCCCTCTGGGCACAAGCCTAGCAACACAATTCTGAGAACATCAGCACAATTTCAGTCATATCCCACCTCCTACCTGTCCTTGCCACTTCCATTCTTCAGATTCACGTCTGTGCCATTAGAAACTAGGATTTTCACAAGCCTAAAGGAAACAAACTTAAGTGTAGCTAGATAAGTCACCTTGATCACTCAGAACCCACAATAGTCCAGTAAAAATGAGTAACACAGCATCCAAGATGTATCTTTCAACAGTTTCTTCTGCACCTTCAGAAGCCAGCTGGTTTTAAAACCAGGCACCATTAAACCAGAAAACCACCTCTTTATTCCAGAAATGTGGGCTTTTACCTTTGACACGAGTTATTCATTAAAATCAAATGAAAGCACATGAAACAAATCGGGCTACCAAAATAATTCGCTGTCCTTTGAATGGCCATTTTTAATGTATTCTTAAATGGTAGCATGTAATGAAGATGCATTTCTGTTTTTTTCAAATGGCATTTAATTAAAATATAAATGAAAATGAGGTATTCATATTAATACTTATCTCTGTGTGGAACAGATAATGAGAGTGTATCTGTGAAAATTATAACTTAGCAACCTAGCAGAAAGTTTTCCAGAATATCCCTCTCTCTACATCTTAAAAAAAAAAAATTGAATTCCAATAACCAGTTTTCCAAGAACATAAAAAATATATTGCATGTAATTAAATGGCTACCTCTCTTCCTCAACACATGATTTACATTCTCTCCTGCATGTTGTGTAACTTTATGATTACAATAGTTGAATTTCTAAGCCATCATATGGTACGGTTTGGGAGATAGAAAAGAAACGGTTCCTCCATGGCCCTTTTTCCTCCCATCCTTATCCTGACCAGAGCCTTTGAATAAAATAAAAAGTTAAATCCCCAAGAGAGATTTAAAAAAAAGAAGAGCCATACCTGGTGTATCCTTTCTGGGCAGCAACCATCAGAGCGGTAAAGCCAAACTTATTGGGAACATCAACCTTAACACGGCTTGGGAAAAGCAGAGAAAAGAGATAAACATGCTCAGTACAGCTACTGCAGAGTCAAAGCCGGTGGTTCTCACAGGGCTTAGGTGGGTAAAATGACTCATTTTACTGAAAATTCCAATTTCTTTGTGGCCATTAAATCTTTTCTTGTCTTAGACTGCTAAGAATCTTCTAAACTATATACCTAATATTCTATGAGATTCAAATGTATCATAAAAGAGAAAATTGATGTAATTTCACTTAAAATATACATGCTTCGGCTCAAAGCCATGAGGCCATCGGATAAAGCACTCTCCAGTGAACACAGCTCTTTAAGATAGCTGAGGACAGTGTCTTCACTGCTGACTCTCAGCTCTACCGAACATGAGTCTGTATTGGTGGAGACTCAAGCTTTATCCTTGCCTCCCATCTCACCTACTGGGTAGAGAGCAGCCCTTTCGGAGGTCTTCACGCACATACTCCAGCGTAGCAGCTTTGGCTTTTTGTGGGAACCTTCTCTTAAGAGCTCCAAATTACAGAGCCGAATTCACAAATGACTTGTCTTCTAGGGCACTCAAAACTATTGATTCAAAAAGAACCTAGATAACATCTACTTTTCATGTAGAAGGTAACTTCAAACATCTCATCTGCAGCAGCTATATTCACCATTTCCCCTCTAGTGTTACATCAACCTTCTAAATTAGAAAGCAGTTGATTTGGCGAGTCCCTTGTTTCATCAGAAATTAGATGTGGGCATTTGGGGGTGAAATTTGCCTAAATGCTGCGGCTTATAAGCAAGAGACAGAAATTATTTCTGGGAAGAAAATATGACACCCAGCCTTGTAATTCCTTTTACAATTTCTATTACACAATCACAAAATATAACATTTACATGGGGCTTCATGAGCATCTTTATTAACTGTGGTTTATTAACTCACACCAGTCACCTGAGATCCATTTTGGAGGCAGTTTCAAAGCCATGGGAATTTTTAGGAAAACAAAATGAAACTACTGCATGTATTTCTATGCACTTTATAGGCATGGGGGAAAAAAAACAACTGACAGAGTTCTCTCACCCTCCTTGAAGTATTCGGACCAGCAAATCTTCATCATTCACACTGACAGCCCGGTGCAAGTGCTCACTACTTATGGGCTCTCCTGGAGAAATGAGATGGAAGGCAGTCATCCAGAACATCAGAAAAGGAGACTGCTTCCCGCCATCGTCCTCCTGTGGCCTTCAGGGGATCATCTTCAGGAAGGCGCTTGGCTATTCCTGTTAAGTATATCTTACATTTCCTACTCACCTGCTTCTTTTACCGAAAATGACCTTGTTTTCACATATTAAGAGAACATTTTGACTGACCTAAAGCTTGGGACATTTCCAAGTTATACAGTATTGCTTTGTGAATGTTACTTTGATATTTGGAAATAATCCTTTCAGATTTCATAAGACTTAATAAATGTCTCCTACAAGCAAGGAAAACCTCAGCAATTGTCACAATATGCTAGTTTTATTTGCCAAAGAGATGTTAAACTACTTGGAAAAAAAAAAAAGACAAAGTGCTTTAACATTTGAAATTAAAATTTTCAGTTCTTCCCAGGAATGTGACTTACATATTGGCCTTGTCTTCTCTGAGCTTCTGGGGGCAGAAGGGCTTCGACCCACAGGAAGGTGGGGAGCACCAGGAGAAAAGCCAATTAGGGGAGAGAGCTTGCCAACCAGCGAAGACCCAGGAGGAGTCCAGAAGCCTAAAAGAACAATGGGCCACAGCCGGGGAGGAGGGCATCCTTTGTACAGGGGACATCAGCTCCACAGCGAAGCCAACAGGCAGGCGGGCAGCACAAGCAGAGGGAGAATAAAGGGCTATGTAGAAGCCACCCATCTTTCTAGGCGTTTCTAGTTTCATTTGTTCTTTATTCTACACCTTCTGATTTTAAAAAGTATCACAATTAAGCTTAAATGAAATAACACCAATGAAGCACTTCGAATAGCACCTGACACATCGTAAGTACCCAGCACACAACCTGTTGTTGGGGGTGACAGTACAGCAGCTACCATCGTCAGTGGATACAGCCCCACCACTTCTTACATACTCCAACTGTACGCCCAGCCCCTCATCCGCAAACGGCAAGAGTTTGAGTTTATAATCCCTGGTCTAAAAAAACCTCAAAGGTCTCATTTATTCATTCAACAAACCTAAGTAATGTACATGCCAAGTCCTGTGCTAGGCTCTAGGGGGTTAGCATGAAAAGAGCTAACCATTAGTTCCCATGCTCACTTACACTGTAGTGCCTGCTTTCAGCCTGTTATTCTAAACCCTGAAAGAAAATATCCACTCCTACCCCATCCTCCCCCACTGCACCCTACACTGCCTCCTGGGGCTCACCCACCCTCCCTCTTACCCCATCCTCCCCCACTGCACCCTACGCCACCTCCTGGGGCTCACCCACCCTCCCTCTTATGGTCCGGCCCAGAAAGATCAGCTGGCCTCCCTCTTCCTGCTCCTTATGGTAGAAAATCTCTCTGGGATGCCAGTTCCTGGGCATAGGAGACACTTTTTCTCTGGGTTTCCTCGGAGGGTTTCAGTGGTGCCAAGTGAATTGGGCAATGTACAAACTGGGAAAACAGTGAGACAGGAGAATAAAAGGATTTCTACCAGAAGGATCTTTAGCCGATACCTTTTCCTTTCTTTCATAAAAATAAATTTATGCCAAGTTTAAATTATTTTGAAATAACAATTTTGTCTGCTAGAGCTAGCCAATCTCTTACAGACTTTTTTTAGCTACATTATACTTCCTTTTCATCATTCTACACATTTTTTAGATCAAAAGTGTCAAATAAAAGTCGCACGATAACCTGTCAAAGGCCAAGGCTCACAGCTGTCCCTGGCCTTCCAAGGGAGTTCATGCCATGCTCAGTGGTTTCACTAGAAGGGCTTAGAAAGGAGGCAGGGTTTTATACCCCAGAGGACATTTGGCAATGTCTGGTGACATTTTTGATTGCCACAACGAAGGGGATGGAGCACTGGCATCTAGAGGATAGAGGCCAAGGAACCTGCTAAGAATCCATAAGTGCACAGGACACCACAAGGAACCATCCAGTCCCCAAATATCAGTAGTACCAAAGTTGAGAACCCTGGGCTAGATTAATAAGGACTTAAAATCATGATGCGTCTCATCTATACTTTAGATGGATGAACTAAACCCATAGACTGTTTCCCCTTCTGTTGCTAACCAGGAGAAGAAAAGTGGTATGTTTATAAAAGTCTCTGTTATCCCATTAACAGGCCCCACTTTTTCCTAATCTGAAACTTCACCTGCCACTCAAACATAAAAACAAGTCATTTGGATAAATCACCTATAACAACATATAAAGCTCATTCTATTTCTACTAAGTTGTACAATGTGTAGTATCCTAAATCAAATCCTATGAATTAAGCTGTACGTAGGCTTTTTACCCAGTGCTTTTAAAATTCTCCTCCAAACCACAAGACTGGGAGTCAGAAAAGCTAAGTTGTCCAAGGTCGCCCAGTTAGGAGAGGGCAGCATCAGAGCCAAGGCCAAGTCTTCCATGAGGCCCACTCCTTCCCTTTAGTACTTAGTAAACACTGCAGTATCGACCAGTTCACTATATGCTTCCATTCTTACCAAATTTTGAATACAGATGAACATCATAAGTAAATGTGATCCTCCCGCAAAGTGTTAAAAAAGAAAGGGGATGCCTAAAAATCTTCCAAAACGTGCTAACTGCTTGAGATGTTAAGGAAAGTTCTAAGGGCACAGCCCCAACCACCTCTCTACACCGACCCCTCTACTCCACAGCCTCCATCTTACCTGAACAGAAAGGCTCTCTCGGTGGGGACACTTCCTAGCGCATCCTAACCAGGAAGCTCTGCAGCATGCAAAGGTTGGGAAATGAAACAAGTTCACTGCATGTTTATAAGCTTAAGGACCGTTTGTAGCAAAGACCAGGGCTTTTAGTATTAGGATATAATAAATGTAATGCCAATTCCAGCTTCCACGGGAGGTAAAGAGCACTTCACAGCTTACTCTGAGAACAAAGGGACACCTCACTGAAGAGAGGGGAATGACATAATTGTTCCTCAGTCCTTGCTTGCTGAGCAGTAACCATCGTTCCAGGGTGTGAGAGCTCTTTCTCAGTGTTAACTCCTTAATCGTCCTCACGCTACTACCAAGAGGGAAAGGAGGGACTGAGGATTACACTGAAACCTGTGTGAAGCAACAGAGGTACGAAAACGTCTCCATTTACCTGAATTTGACAAAGAAACAGAAAAGAAATGAAAAGGCC
Organism: Homo sapiens; assembly: GCF_000001405.40. Lineage (NCBI taxonomy): Eukaryota > Metazoa > Chordata > Mammalia > Primates > Hominidae > Homo > Homo sapiens. The sequence goes on along the minus strand of NC_000010.11, from coordinate 125,992,265 downwards.
CTTGTTTGCAGTGCACAGCAATTCTTTCTACTCCCACTATAGGCAGGAGTCCTGAGGAACAGAGAGGAAATTCCAGGGTGAACAGAATGTTTCATTCCTCCCACCCCTGAATCCTTCAAGACTTTGTGGGCCTGGCCCAAGGGAATGCCATCAATAAGTGCAACTGAATATTTTTAAAAGGCCGGCCATTGCTCTGCGGGTTTTTCTAGTGTTTTACCCTGAGTGTTGCAATTACAATTATCAAACTGATTCTGCCCATGGTGAGGATGTTAGCCCATGCTCACGTGAGCCAGATGGACTCACCAGTCAGGGCCAGGTGAGCAGGGGCACCGAGGAGAAGGGCAGAGCAGGGCAGAGTGGTCTTGAGGAAGCCATCGCTCATGTTCTCTAAGAGGGTCATTTAGTTGCAGATGTACCTGCAGATATTATAATATGGTGCTAACACCTTTCTTGGTGGAATTTTAAGTCTTTATTAAAAGCAGTGAATAAATCACGAGCTCATTGGAGAAGATATTTGCCAATTAACAAGTAGCAGCTGTTTTTCTTTCTTTATAAGGGCCCAACTGATTAAAATTGTAAGCCTCATTTAAGCAAGAATCTGTGTACTTTACCTGGGGGGAAAAAAAAGGCTGTTCATTCTTTATTCAAACAAAGTGCATGCCTCTGTGACTCATTAAAACACTCTCAAACTGAATGCAAATTACCACCACACAGAAGCATTTTGTATCATGTGCACCTTCTTAGTTCTTTGTTTAGCATGATCTGCCTCCTTAGGAGAATCTGCTTTGGATATTATAAATATATAACACAATAGCATAAGGGAGCTGCAGCCAGCCCACAGAGCCAAGAGCCTGCCCCAGCTAGGAGGAGGAGGACACCTGATCCTCACCACCCAGTACAGCCCCCCTGAGGTTGAGAAGGCTTCCTGGCTGCAGGCAGTGATGCTATCTATTATCTGGCAGTGAAATGGCCAGGATCACTCCCCCAACACACACACACACACACACACACACACCCCTGGTCACCACCACACACTCATCCCTGCAGGAGGCCTCATCTAATTACTCATGGAAGCCATGGCGCTGTAAGGACAAATGCGCTGCACCAACTCTCCATGGCTGCCTCTGGAGCCAGCTCAGTGGGGAGAAGGCACATCTGGCCCACAGGCACAGCCTGATATAGTTTGGCTGTGTCCCCACCCAAATCTCATCTTGAATTGTAGCTCCCATAATTCACATGTGTCATGGGAGTGACCTGGTGGGAGGTAACTGAATCATGGGGGTGGGGCTTTCCCATGCTGTTCTCATGATAGTGAATAAGTCTCATAAGATCTGATGGTTTTATAAAGGGAAATTCCCCTGCACATGCTCTCTCTTGCCTGCCGCCGTGGAAGACATGCCTTTACTCCTTCTTTGCCTTCCACCATGGTTGTGAGGCCTCCCCAGCCATGTGGAACTGTGAGTCCATTAAACTTCTTTCCTTTATAATAAATTACCCAGCCTCAGGTATGTCTTTATTAGCAGTGTGAGAACACACTAATAAACAGCCCTTCCTAAAATTGCTCCAAATGGTACTCCAACCCCATGTAAACTCAGGCTAGGACGGCCAGAAGCCCCTGCCCTGGCTTTGGTGTGCTATTAAGAGGATGCTAGAGGCCACCTGAAGCCCACAATGGAAGGCTGCAGAACCAACCATATTCACCCTCACCTGGAAGGTTCGGGTGGACTCTCACTGGCCAGTGGAAAACTAATACATCTTCCAACAAACATAAATGCAACCTGAGAAAATCAGTGTTTCTTTTCATACTCTTAATTCTGCCACTGGTCTTTAATTCATTACCCATCCATCCATCAAGGATCTTCTTTTTTTAAAGAAAGGGTC